>NC_000020.11:27871541-28180874 GCF_000001405.40 Homo sapiens | reverse complement strand
ATCGCAAGAACAGAAAACCAAACACCGCATATTCTCACTCATAGGTGGGAATTGAACAATGAGATCACATGGACACAGGAAGGGGAACATCACACTCTGGGGACTGTTGTGGGGTGGGGGGAGGGGGGAGGGATAGCATTGGGAGATACACCTAATGCTAGATGACGAGTTAGGGGGGGCAGTGCCACCAGCATGGCACATGTAGACATATGTAATTAACCTGCACAATGTGCACATGTACCCAAAAACTTAAAGTATAATGAAAAAAAGAGTGTTTCAAAACTGCTCTATCAAAAGAAAGGTTCAACTCTGTTAGTTGAGTACACACATCATAAACAAGTTTATGAGAATGGTTCTGTCTAGTTTTTACGGGAAGATATTTTCTTTTTCACCATACGCCTGAAAGCGCTCCAAATGTCCTCATCCAGATACTACAAAAAGAGTGTTTCCAACCTGCTCTATGAAAGGGAATGCTCAACTCTGTGAATTGAATGCAGACATCACAAAGAAGTTTCTGAGAATGCTTGCTGTCTCCTTTTTATATGTAATCCCGTTTCCAACGAAATCCTCAAAGCTAGCCAAATATCCACTTGCAGATTCCACGAAAACAGTGTTTCAAAACTGCTCCTTCAAAACGATGGTTCAATCCTGTTAGTTGAGCAAACACATCACAAATAAGTTTCTGAGAATGCTTCCGTCTAGTTTTTATGGGAAGATATTTCCTTTTTCAACATAGGCCTGAAAGCGCTCCAAATGTCCACTTCCAGATACTACAAAAAGAGTGTTTCAAATCTGCTCTATGAATGGGAATGTTCTACTCTGTGACTTGAATGCAACATCCCAAAGAAGTTTCTGAGAATGCTTCTGTCTAGAGTTTATCTGAAGACATACCCGTTTCCAACGAAATCCTCAAAGCTATCCAAATATCCTCTTGCAGATTCTACAAAAAGAGTGTTTCAAAGCTGCTCTTTGCAAAGAAAGGTTCAACTCTGTCAGTAGAGGGCACACATCACGAACAAGTTTCTGAGAATGCTTCTGTCTAGTTTTTATGGGAAGATATTTCCTTTTTCACGTTAGGCCTGAAAGCACGCCAAATGTTCACTTATAGACACTACAAAAAGAGTGTTTCAAACCTGCTCTGTGAAAGGGAATGTTCAGCACTGTGACTTCAATTGAAATATCCCAAAGAAGTTTCTGAGAATGCTTCTGTCTAGAGTTTATCTGAAGACATTCCCGTTTCCCAAGAAATCCTCAAAGCTATCCAAATATCCTCTTGCAGATTCTACAAAAAGAGTGTTTCAAAACTGCTCTTTGCAAAGAAGGGTTCAACTCTGTCAGTAGAGGGCACACATCACAAACAAGTTTCTGAGAATGCTTCTGTCTAGTTTTTATGGGAAGATATTTCCTTTTTCACCTTAGACCTGAAAGCAATCCATATGTTCACTTACAGACACTACAAAAAGAGTGTTTCAAACCTGCTCTGTGAAAGGGAGTGTTCAATTCTGTGACTTGAATGCAAACATCACAAAGTAGTTTCTGACAATGCTGCTGTCTGCTTTTTATACGTATTCCCGTTTCCAACGAAATCCTCCAAGCTGGCCTAATACCCACTTGCATATTCCACAAAAAGAGTGTTTCAAAACTGCTCTCTCAAAAGAAAGGTTCAACTCTGTTTGCTGAGTAGATACATCATGAAAAAAGTTCTGACATTGCTTCTATCTAGTTTTTATTGGAAGATATCTCCTTTTTCACCGTAGACCTGAAAGCGCTCCAAATGTCCACTTCCAGATAGTACAAAAAGAGTGTTTCAAACCTGCTCTATGAAAGGGAATGTTCAACACTGGGACTTCAATTGAAACATCCCAAAGCAGTTTCTGAGAATGCTTCTGTCTAGAGTTTACATGAAGACATTCCCGTTTCCAACGAAATCCTCAAAGCTATCCAAATATCCTCTTGCAGATTTTACAAAAAGTGTGTTTCAGAACTGCTCTATCAAAACAAAGGTTCAACACTGTCAGTTGAGGGCACACATCACAAATAAGTTTCTGAGAATGCTGCTGTCTGCTTTTTGTATGTAATCCCGTTTCCAACGAAATCCTCCCAGCTAGCCAAATATCCACTTGCAGATTCCGCAAAAAGAGTGTTTCAAAACTGCTCCTTCAAAACGATGGTTTAGTTCTGTTAGTTGAGTACATACATCACAGATAAGTTTCTGAGAATGCTTCTGTCTAGTTTTTATGGGAGGATATTTCCTTTTTCAACACAAGCCTGAATGCGCTCCGAATGGACACTTCCAGATATGACAAAAGGCGTGTTTCAAACCTGCTCTCTCAAAGGGAATGTTCAACTCTGTGACTTCAATGCAAACATCACAAAGAAGTTTCTGAGAATGCTGCTGTCTGCTTTTTACATGTATTCCCGTTTCCAACGAAATCCTCAAAGCTGCCCTAATATCCACTTGCATATTCCACAAAAAGAGTGTTGCAAAACTGCTCTCTCAAAAGAAAGGTTCAACTCTGTTAGCTGAGTAGATCCATCACATAAAAGTTTCTGACGTTGCTTCTATCTAGATTTTATTGGAAGATATTTCCATTTTCACCGTCGTCCTGAAAGCGCTCCAAATGTCCACTTCCAGGGAATGCAGAAAGAGTGTTTCCAACCTGCTCTATAAAAGGGAAAGTTCAACACTGGGACTTCAATCGAAACATCCCAAAGAAGTTTCTGAGAATGCTTCTGTCTAGAGTTTATATGAAGCCATTCCCGTTTGCAACGAAATCCTCAAAGCTATCCAAATATCCTCTTGCAGATTTTACAAAAAGAGTGTTTCAAAACTGCTCTATCAAAAGAAAGGTTCAACTCTGTTAGTTGAGGGCACAGATCACAAATAAATTTCTGAGAATGCTTCTGTCTAGTTTTTACAGGAAGATATTTCCTTTTTCACCATAGGCCAGAAAGCGCTCCAAATGTCCTCATCCAGATACTACAAAAAGAGTGTTTCCAACCTGCTCTATGAAAGGGAATGCTCAACTCTGTGAATTGAATGCAGACATCACAAAGAAGTTTCTGAGAATGCTGCTGTCTCCTTTGTATATGTAATCCCATTTCCAACGAAATCCTCAAAGCTAGCCAAATATCCACTTGCAGATTCCACGAAAACAGTGTTTCAAAACTGCTCCTTCAAAACGATGGTTCAATCCTGTTAGTTGAGCAAACACATCACAAATAAGTTTCTGAGAATGCTTCCGTCTAGTTTTTATGGGAAGATATTTCCTTTTTCAACATAGGCCTGAAAGCGCTCCAAATGTCCACTTCCAGATACTACAAAAAGAGTGTTTCAAATCTGCTCTATGAATGGGAATGTTCTACTCTGTGACTTGAATGCAACATCCCAAAGAAGTTTCTGAGAATGCTTCTGTCTAGAGTTTATCTGAAGACATACCCGTTTCCAACGAAATCCTCAAAGCTATCCAAATATCCTCTTGCAGATTCTACAAAAAGAGTGTTTCAAAGCTGCTCTTTGCAAAGAAAGGTTCAACTCTGTCAGTAGAGGGCACACATCACGAACAAGTTTCTGAGAATGCTTCTGTCTAGTTTTTATGGGAAGATATTTCCTTTTTCACGTTAGGCCTGAAAGCACGCCAAATGTTCACTTATAGACACTACAAAAAGAGTGTTTCAAACCTGCTCTGTGAAAGGGAATGTTCAACACTGTGACTTCAATTGAAATATCCCAAAGAAGTTTCTGAGAATGCTTCTGTCTAGAGTTTATCTGAAGACATTCCCGTTTCCCAAGAAATCCTCAAAGCTATCCAAATATCCTCTTGCAGATTCTACAAAAAGAGTGTTTCAAAACTGGTCTTTGCAAAGAAAGGTTCAACTCTGTCAGTAGAGGGCACACATCACAAACAAGTTTCTGAGAATGCTTCTGTCTAGTTTTTATGGGAAGATATTTCCTTTTTCACCTTAGGCCTGAAAGCAATCCATATGTTCACTTACAGACACTACAAAAAGAGTGTTTCAAACCTGCTCTGTGAAAGGGAGTGTTCAATTCTGTGACTTGAATGCAAACATCACAAAGTAGTTTCTGACAATGCTGCTGTCTGCTTTTTATACGTATTCCCGTTTCCAACGAAATCCTCCAAGCTGGCCTAATACCCACTTTCATATTCCACAAAAAGAGTGTTTCAAAACTGCTCTCTCAAAAGAAAGGTTCAACTCTGTTTGCTGAGTAGATACATCATGAAAAAAGTTCTGACATTGCTTCTATCTAGTTTTTATTGGAAGATATCTCCTTTTTCACCGTAGACCTGAAAGCGCTCCAAATGTCCACTTCCAGATAGTACAAAAAGAGTGTTTCAAACCTGCTCTATGAATGGGAATGTTCAACACTGGGACTTCAATTGAAACATCCCAAAGCAGTTTCTGAGAATGCTTCTGTCTAGAGTTTACATGAAGACATTCCCGTTTCCAACGAAATCCTCAAAGCTATCCAAATATCCTCTTGCAGATTTTACAAAAAGTGTGTTTCAGAACTGCTCTATCAAAACAAAGGTTCAACACTGTCAGTTGAGGGCACACATCACAAATAAGTTTCTGAGAATGCTGCTCTCTGCTTTTTGTATGTAATCCCGTTTCCAACGAAATCCTCCCAGCTAGCCAAATATCCACTTGCAGATTCCGCAAAAAGAGTGTTTCAAAACTGCTCCTTCAAAACGATGGTTTAGTTCTGTTAGTTGAGTACATACATCACAGATAAGTTTCTGAGAATGCTTCTGTCTAGTTTTTATGGGAGGATATTTCCTTTTTCAACACAAGCCTGAATGCGCTCCGAATGGACACTTCCAGATATGACAAAAGGCGTGTTTCAAACCTGCTCTCTCAAAGGGAATGTTCAACTCTGTGACTTCAATGCAAACATCACAAAGAAGTTTCTGAGAATGCTGCTGTCTGCTTTTTATATGTATTCCCGTTTCCAACGAAATCCTCAAAGCTGCCCTAATATCCACTTGCATATTCCACAAAAAGAGTGTTGCAAAACTGCTCTCTCAAAAGAAAGGTTCAACTCTGTTAGCTGAGTAGATCCATCACATAAAAGTTTCTGACATTGCTTCTATCTAGATTTTCTTGGAAGATATTTCCATTTTCACCGTCGTCCTGAAAGCGCTCCAAATGTCCACTTCCAGGGAATGCAGAAAGAGTGTTTCCAACCTGCTCTATAAAAGGGAATGTTCAACACTGGGACTTCAATCGAAACATCCCAACGAAGTTTCTGAGAATGCTTCTGTCTAGAGTTTATATGAAGCCATTCCCGTTTGCAACGAAATCCTCAAAGCTATCCAAATATCCTCTTGCAGATTTTACAAAAAGAGTGTTTCAAAACTGCTCTATCAAAAGAAAGGTTCAACTCTGTTAGTTGAGGGCACACATCACAAATAAATTTCTGAGAATGCTTCTGTCTAGTTTTTACGGGAAGATATTTCCTTTTTCACCATACGCCTGAAAGCGCTCCAAATGTCCTCATCCAGATACTACAAAAAGAGTGTTTCCAACCTGCTCTATGAAAGGGAATGCTCAACTCTGTGACTTGAATGCAGACATCACAAAGAAGTTTCTGAGAATGCTGCTGTCTCCTTTTTATATGTAATCCCGTTTCCAACGAAATCCTCAAAGCTAGCCAAATATCCACTTGCAGATTCCACGAAAACAGTGTTTCAAAACTGCTCCTTCAAAACGATGGTTCAATCCTGTTAGTTGAGCAAACACATCACAAATAAGTTTCTGAGAATGCTTCCCGTCTAGTTTTTATGGGAAGATATTTCCTTTTTCAACATAGGCCTGAAAGCGCTCCAAATGTCCACTTCCAGATACTACAAAAAGAGTGTTTCAAATCTGCTCTATGCATGGGAATGTTCTACTCTGTGACTTGAATGCAACATCCCAAAGAAGTTTCTGAGAATGTTTCTGTCTAGAGTTTATCTGAAGACATTCCCGTTTCCCAAGAAATCCTCAAATCTATCCAAATATCCTCTTGCACATTCTACAAAAAGAGTGTTTCAAAACTGCTCTTTGCAAAGAAAGGTTCAACTCTGTCAGTAGAGGGCACACATCACAAACAAGTTTCTGAGAATGCTTCTGTCTAGTTTTTATGGGAAGATATTTCCTTTTTCACGTTAGGCCTGAAAGCACGCCAAATGTTCACTTATAGACACTACAAAAAGAGTGTTTCAAACCTGCTCTGTGAAAGGGAATGTTCAACACTGTGACTTCAATTGAAACATCCCAAAGAAGTTTCTGAGAATGCTTCTGTCTAGAGTTTATCTGAAGACATTCCCGTTTCCCAAGAAATCCTCAAAGCTATCCAAATATCCTCTTGCAGATTCTACAAAAAGAGTGTTTCAAAGCTGCTCTTTGCAAAGAAAGGTTCAACTCTGTCAGTAGAGGGCACACATCACAAACAAGTTTCTGAGAATGCTTCTGTCTAGTTTTTATGGGAAGATATTTCCTTTTTCACCTTAGGCCTGAAAGCAATCCAAATGTTCACTTACAGACACTACAAAAAGAGTGTTTCAAACCTGCTCTGTGAAAGGGAGTGTTCAATTACTGTGACTTGAATGCAAACATCACAAAGTAGTTTCTGACAATGCTGCTGTCTGCTTTTTATACGTATTCCCGTTTCCAACGAAATCCTCCAAGCTGGCCTAATACCCACTTGCATATTCCACAAAAAGAGTGTTTCAAAACTGCTCTCTCAAAAGAAAGGTTCAACTCTGTTTGCTGAGTAGATACATCATGAAAAAAGTTCTGACATTGCTTCTATCTAGTTTTTATTGGAAGATATCTCCTTTTTCACCGTAGACCTGAAAGCGCTCCAAATGTCCACTTCCAGATAGTACAAAAAGAGTGTTTCAAACCTGCTCTATGAAAGGGAATGTTCAACAGTGGGACTTCAATTGAAACATCCCAAAGCAGTTTCTGAGAATGCTTCTGTGTAGAGTTTACATGAAGACATTCCCGTTTCCAACGAAATCCTCAAAGCTATCCAAATATCCTCTTGCAGATTTTACAAAAAGTGTGTTTCAGAACTGCTCTATCAAAACAAAGGTTCAACACTGTCAGTTGAGGGCACACATCACAAATAAGTTTCTGAGAATGCTGCTGTCTGCTTTTTGTATGTAATCCCGTTTCCAACGAAATCCTCCCAGCTAGCCAAATATCCACTTGCAGATTCCGCAAAAAGAGTGTTTCAAAACTGCTCCTTCAAAACGATGGTTTAGTTCTGTTAGTTGAGTACATACATCACAGATAAGTTTCTGAGAATGCTTCTGTCTAGTTTTTATGGGAGGATATTTCCTTTTTCAACACAAGCCTGAATGCGCTCCGAATGGACACTTCCAGATATGACAAAAGGCGTGTTTCAAACCTGCTCTCTCAAAGGGAATGTTCAACTCTGTGACTTCAATGCAAACATCACAAAGAAGTTTCTGAGAATGCTGCTGTCTGCTTTTTACATGTATTCCCGTTTCCAACGAAATCCTCAAAGCTGCCCTAATATCCACTTGCATATTCCACAAAAAGAGTGTTGCAAAACTGCTCTCTCAAAAGAAAGGTTCAACTCTGTTAGCTGAGTAGATCCATCACATAAAAGTTTCTGACGTTGCTTCTATCTAGATTTTATTGGAAGATATTTCCATTTTCACCGTCGTCCTGAAAGCGCTCCAAATGTCCACTTCCAGGGAATGCAGAAAGAGTGTTTCCAACCTGCTCTATAAAAGGGAATGTTCAACACTGGGACTTCAATCGAAACATCCCAACGAAGTTTCTGAGAATGCTTCTGTCTAGAGTTTATATGAAGCCATTCCCGTTTGCAACGAAATCCTCAAAGCTATCCAAATATCCTCTTGCAGATTTTACAAAAAGAGTGTTTCAAAACTGCTCTATCAAAAGAAAGGTTCAACTCTGTTAGTTGAGGGCACACATCACAAATAAACTTCTGAGAATGCTTCTGTCTAGTTTTTACGGGAAGATATTTCCTTTTTCACCATACGCCTGAAAGCGCTCCAAATGTCCTCATCCAGATACTACAAAAAGAGTGTTTCCAACCTGCTCTATGAAAGGGAATGCTCAACTCTGTGAATTGAATGCAGACATCACAAAGAAGTTTCTGAGAATGCTGCTGTCTCCTTTTTATATGTAATCCCGTTTCCAACGAAATCCTCAAAGCTAGCCAAATATCCACTTGCAGATTCCACGAAAACAGTGTTTCAAAACTGCTCCTTCAAAACGATGGTTCAATCCTGTTAGTTGAGCAAACACATCACAAATAAGTTTCTGAGAATGCTTCCGTCTAGTTTTTATGGGAAGATATTTCCTTTTTCAACATAGGCCTGAAAGCGCTCCAAATGTCCACTTCCAGATACTACAAAAAGAGTGTTTCAAATCTGCTCTATGAATGGGAATGTTCTACTCTGTGACTTGAATGCAACATCCCAAAGAAGTTTCTGAGAATGCTTCTGTCTAGAGTTTATCTGAAGACATACCCGTTTCCAACGAAATCCTCCAAGCTATCCAAATATCCTCTTGCAGATTCTACAAAAAGAGTGTTTCAAAGCTGCTCTTTGCAAAGAAAGGTTCAACTCTGTCAGTAGAGGGCACACATCATGAACAAGTTTCTGAGAATGCTTCTGTCTAGTTTTTATGGGAAGATATTTCCTTTTTCACGTTAGGCCTGAAAGCACGCCAAATGTTCACTTATAGACACTACAAAAAGAGTGTTTCAAACCTGCTCTGTGAAAGGGAATGTTCAACACTGTGACTTCAATTGAAACATCCCAAAGAACTTTCTGAGAATGCTTCTGTCTAGAGTTTATCTGAAGACATACCCGTTTCCAACGAAATCCTCCAAGCTATCCACATATCCTCTTGCAGATTCTACAAAAAGAGTGTTTCAAAGCTGCTCTTTGCAAAGAAAGGTTCAACTCTGTCAGTAGAGGGCACACATCACGAACAAGTTTCTGAGAATGCTTCTGTCTAGTTTTTATGGGAAGATATTTCCTTTTTCACGTTAGGCCTGAAAGCACGCCAAATGTTCAATTATAGACACTACAAAAAGAGTGTTTCAAACCTGCTCTGTGAAAGGGAATGTTCAACACTGTGACTTCAATTGAAACATCCCAAAGAAGTTTCTGAGAATGCTTCTGTCTAGAGTTTATCTGAAGACATTCCCGTTTCCCAAGAAATCCTCAAAGCTATCCAAATATCCTCTTGCAGATTCTACAAAAAGAGTGTTTCAAAACTGCTCTTTGCAAAGAAAGGTTCAACTCTGTCAGTAGAGGGCACACATCACAAACAAGTTTCTGAGAATGCTTCTGTCTAGTTTTTATGGGAAGATATTTCCTTTTTCACCTTAGGCCTGAAAGCAATCCAAATGTTCACTTACAGACACTACAAAAAGAGTGTTTCAAACATGCTCTGTGAAAGGGAGTGTTCAATTCTGTGACTTGAATGCAAACCTCACAAAGTAGTTTCTGACAATGCTGCTGTCTGCTTTTTATACGTATTCCCGTTTCCAACGAAATCCTCCAAGCTGGCCTAATACCCACTTGCATATTCCACAAAAAGAGTGTTTCAAAACTGCTCTCTCAAAAGAAAGGTTCAACTCTGTTTGCTGAGTAGATACATCATGAAAAAAGTTCTGACATTGCTTCTATCTAGTTTTTATTGGAAGATATCTCCTTTTTCACCGTAGACCTGAAAGCGCTCCAAATGTCCACTTCCAGATAGTACAAAAAGAGTGTTTCAAACCTGCTCTATGAAAGGGAATGTTCAACACTGGGACTTCAATTGAAACATCCCAAAGCAGTTTCTGAGAATGCTTCTGTCTAGAGTTTATCTGAAGACATTCCCGTTTCCCAAGAAATCCTCAAAGCTATCCAAATATCCTCTTGCAGATTCTACAAAAAGAGTGTTTCAAAACTGCTCTTTGCAAAGAAAGGTTCAACTCTGTCAGTAGAGGGCACACATCACAAACAAGTTTCTGAGAATGCTTCTGTCTAGTTTTTATGGGAAGATATTTCCTTTTTCACCTTAGGCCTGAAAGCAATCCAAATGTTCACTTACAGACACTACAAAAAGAGTGTTTCAAACCTGCTCTGTGAAAGGGAGTGTTCAATTCTGTGACTTGAATGCAAATATCACAAAGTAGTTTCTGACAATGCTGCTGTCTGCTTTTTATACGTATTCCCGTTTCCAACGAAATCCTCCAAGCTGGCCTAATACCCACTTGCATATTCCACAAAAAGAGTGTTTCAAAACTGCTCTCTCAAAAGAAAGGTTCAACTCTGTTTGCTGAGTAGATACATCATGAAAAAAGTTCTGACATTGTTTCTATCTAGTTTTTATTGGAAGATATCTCCTTTTTCACCGTAGACCTGAAAGCGCTCCAAATGTCCACTTCCAGATAGTACAAAAAGAGTGTTTCAAACCTGCTCTATGAATGGGAATGTTCAACACTGGGACTTCAATCGAAACATCCCAACGAAGTTTCTGAGAATGCTTCTGTCTAGAGTTTATATGAAGCCATTCCCGTTTGCAACGAAATCCTCAAAGCTATCCAAATATCCTCTTGCAGATTTTACAAAAAGAGTGTTTCAAAACTGCTCTATCAAAAGAAAGGTTCAACTCTGTTAGTTGAGGGCACACATCAGAAATAAACTTCTGAGAATGCTTCTGTCTAGTTTTTACGGGAAGATATTTCCTTTTTCACCATAGGCCTGAAAGCGCTCCAAATGTCCTCATCCAGATACTACAAAAAGAGTGTTTCCAACGTGCTCTATGAAAGGGAATGCTCAACTCTGTGAATTGAATGCAGACATCACAAAGAAGTTTCTGAGAATGCTGCTGTCTCCTTTTTATATGTAATCCCGTTTCCAACGAAATCCTCAAAGCTAGCCAAATATCCACTTGCAGATTCCACGAAAACAGTGTTTCAAAACTGCTCCTTCAAAACGATGGTTCAATCCTGTTAGTTGAGCAAACACATCACAAATAAGTTTCTGAGAATGCTTCCGTCTAGTTTTTATGGGAAGATATTTCCTTTTTCAACATAGGCCTGAAAGCGCTCCAAATGTCCACTTCCAGATACTACAAAAAGAGTGTTTCAAATCTGCTCTATGAATGGGAATGTTCTACTCTGTGACTTGAATGCAACATCCCAAAGAAGTTTCTGAGAATGCTTCTGTCTAGAGTTTATCTGAAGACATACCCGTTTCCAACGAAATCCTCCAAGATATCCAAATATCCTCTTGCAGATTCTACAAAAAGAGTGTTTCAAAGCTGCTCTTTGCAAAGAAAGGTTCAACTCTGTCAGTAGAGGGGACACATCAAGAACAAGTTTCTGAGAATGCTTCTGTCTAGTTTTTATGGGAAGATATTTCCTTTTTCACGTTAGGCCTGAAAGCACGCCAAATGTTCACTTATAGACACTACAAAAAGAGTGTTTCAAACCTGCTCTGTGAAAAGGAATGTTCAACACTGTGACTTCAATTGAAACATCCCAAAGAAGTTTCTGAGAATGCTTCTGTCTAGAGTTTATCTGAAGACATACCCGTTTCCAACGAAATCCTCAAAGCTATCCACATATCCTCTTGCAGATTCTACAAAAAGAGTGTTTCAAAGCTGCTCTTTGCAAAGAAAGGTTCAACTCTGTCAGTAGAGGGCACACATCACGAACAAGTTTCTGAGAATGCTTCTGTCTAGTTTTTATGGGAAGATATTTCCTTTTTCACGTTAGGCCTGAAAGCACTCCAAATGTTCAATTATAGACACTACAAAAAGAGTGTTTCAAACCTGCTCTGTGAAAGGGAATGTTCAACACTGTGACTTCAATTGAAACATCCCAAAGAAGTTTCTGAGAATGCTTCTGTCTAGAGTTTATCTGAACACATTCCCGTTTCCCAAGAAATCCTCAAAGCTATCCAAATATCCTCTTGCAGATTCTACAAAAAGAGTGTTTCAAAACTGCTCTTTGCAAAGAAAGGTTCAACTCTGTCAGTAGAGGGCACACATCACAAACAAGTTTCTGAGAATGCTTCTGTCTAGTTTTTATGGGAAGATATTTCCTTTTTCACCTTAGGCCTGAAAGCAATCCATATGTTCACTTACAGACACTACAAAAAGAGTGTTTCAAACCTGCTCTGTGAAAGGGAGTGTTCAATTCTGTGACTTGAATGCAAACATCACAAAGTAGTTTCTGACAATGCTGCTGTCTGCTTTTTATACGTATTCCCGTTTCCAACGAAATCCTCCAAGCTGGCCTAATACCCACTTGCATATTCCACAAAAAGAGTGTTTCAAAACTGCTCTCTCAAAAGAAAGGTTCAACTCTGCTTGCTGAGTAGATACATCATGAAAAAAGTTCTGACATTGCTTCTATCTAGTTTTTATTGGAAGATATCTCCTTTTTCACCGTAGACCTGAAAGCGCTCCAAATGTCCACTTCCAGATAGTACAAAAAGAGTGTTTCAAACCTGCTCTATGAATGGGAATGTTCAACACTGGGACTTCAATTGAAACATCCCAAAGCAGTTTCTGAGAATGCTTCTGTCTAGAGTTTACATGAAGACATTCCCGTTTCCAACGAAATCCTCAAAGCTATCCAAATATCCTCTTGCAGATTTTACAAAAAGTGTGTTTCAGAACTGCTCTATCAAAACAAAGGTTCAACACTGTCAGTTGAGGGCACACATCACAAATAAGTTTCTGAGAATGCTGCTGTCTGCTTTTTGTATGTAATCCCGTTTCCAACGAAATCCTCCCAGCTAGCCAAATATCCACTTGCAGATTCCGCAAAAAGAGTGTTTCAAAACTGCTCCTTCAAAACGATGGTTTAGTTCTGTTAGTTGAGTACATACATCACAGATAAGTTTCTGAGAATGCTTCTGTCTAGTTTTTATGGGAGGACATTTCCTTTTTCAACACAAGCCTGAATGCGCTCCGAATGGACACTTCCAGATATGACAAAAGGCGTGTTTCAAACCTGCTCTCTCAAAGAGAATGTTCAACTCTGTGACTTCAATGCAAACATCACAAAGAAGTTTCTGAGAATGCTGCTGTCTGCTTTTTACATGTATTCCCGTTTCCAACGAAATCCTCAAAGCTGCCCTAATATCCACTTTCATATTCCACAAAAAGAGTGTTGCAAAACTGCTCTCTCAAAAGAAAGGTTCAACTCTGTTAGCTGAGTAGATCCATCACATAAAAGTTTCTGACGTTGCTTCTATCTAGATTTTATTGGAAGATATTTCCATTTTCACCGTCGTCCTGAAAGCGCTCCAAAGGTCCACTTCCAGGGAATGCAGAAAGAGTGTTTCCAACCTGCTCTATAAAAGGGAATGTTCAACACTGGGACTTCAATCGAAACATCCCAACGAAGTTTCTGAGAATGCTTCTGTCTAGAGTTTATATGAAGCCATTCCCGTTTGCAACGAAATCCTCAAAGCTATCCAAATATCCTCTTGCAGATTTTACAAAAAGAGTGTTTCAAAACTGCTCTATCAAAAGAAAGGTTCAACTCTGTTAGTTGAGGGCACACATCACAAATAAATTTCTGAGAATGCTTCTGTCTAGTTTTTACGGGAAGATATTTCCTTTTTCACCATAGGCCTGAAAGCGCTCCAAATGTCCTCATCCAGATACTACAAAAAGAGTGTTTCCAACCTGCTCTATGAACGGGAATGCTCAACTCTGTGACTTGAATGCAGACATCACAAAGAAGTTTCTGAGAATGCTGCTGTCTCCTTTGTATATGTAATCCCGTTTCCAACGAAATCCTCAAAGCTAGCCAAATATCCACTTGCAGATTCCACGAAAACAGTGTTTCAAAACTGCTCCTTCAAAACGATGGTTCAATCCTGTTAGTTGAGCAAACACATCACAAATAAGTTTCTGAGAATGCTTCCGTCTAGTTTTTATGGGAAGATATTTCCTTTTTCAACATAGGCCTGAAAGCGCTCCAAATGTCCACTTCCAGATACTACAAAAAGAGTGTTTCAAATCTGCTCTATGAATGGGAATGTTCTACTCTGTGACTTGAATGCAACATCCCAAAGAAGTTTCTGAGAATGCTTCTGTCTAGAGTTTATCTGAAGACATACCCGTTTCCAACGAAATCCTCAAAGCTATCCAAATATCCTCTTGCAGATTCTACAAAAAGTGTGTTTCAAAGCTGCTCTTTGTAAAGAAAGGTTCAACTCTGTCAGTAGAGGGCACACATCACGAACAAGTTTCTGAGAATGCTTCTGTCTAGTTTTTATGGGAAGATATTTCCTTTTTCACGTTACGCCTGAAAGCACGCCAAATGTTCACTTATAGACACTACAAAAAGAGTATTTCAAACCTGCTCTGTGAAAGGGAATGTTCAACACTGTGACTTCAATTGAAACATCCCAAAGAAGTTTCTGAGAATGCTTCTGTCTAGAGTTTATCTGAAGACATTCCCGTTTCCCAAGTAAATCCTCAAAGCTATCCAAATATCCTCTTGCAGATTCTACAAAAAGAGTGTTTCAAAACTGGTCTTTGCAAAGAAAGGTTCAACTCTGTCAGTAGAGGGCACACATCACAAACAAGTTTCTGAGAATGCTTCTGTCTAGTTTTTATGGGAAGATATTTCCTTTTTCACCTTAGGCCTGAAAGCAATCCAAATGTTCACTTACAGACACTACAAAAAGAGTGTTTCAAACCTGCTCTGTGAAAGGGAGTGTTCAATTCTGTGACTTGAATGCAAACATCACAAAGTAGTTTCTGACAATGCTGCTGTCTGCTTTTTATACGTATTCCCGTTTCCAACGAAATCCTCCAAGCTGGCCTAATACCCACTTGCATATTCCACAAAAAGAGTGTTTCAAAACTGCTCTCTCAAAAGAAAGGTTCAACTCGGTTAGCTGAGTAGATACATCATGAAAAAAGTTCTGACATTGCTTCTATCTAGTTTTTATTGGAAGATATCTCCTTTTTCACCGTAGACCTGAAAGCGCTCCAAATGTCCACTTCCAGATAGTACAAAAAGAGTGTTTCAAACCTGCTCTATGAATGGGAATGTTCAACACTGGGACTTCAATTGAAACATCCCAAAGCAGTTTCTGAGAATGCTTCTGTCTAGAGTTTACATGAAGACATTCCCGTTTCCAACGAAATCCTCAAAGCTATCCAAATATCCTCTTGCAGATTTTACAAAAAGTGTGTTTCAGAACTGCTCTATCAAAACAAAGGTTCAACACTGTCAGTTGAGGGCACACATCACAAATAAGTTTCTGAGAATGCTGCTGTCTGCTTTTTGTATGTAATCCCGTTTCCAACGAAATCCTCCCAGCTAGCCAAATATCCACTTGCAGATTCCGCAAAAAGAGTGTTTCAAAACTGCTCCTTCAAAACGATGGTTTAGTTCTGTTAGTTGAGTACATACATCACAGATAAGTTTCTGAGAATGCTTCTGTCTAGTTTTTATGGGAGGATATTTCCTTTTTCAACACAAGCCTGAATGCGCTCCGAATGGACACTTCCAGATATGACAAAAGGCGTGTTTCAAACCTGCTCTCTCAAAGGGAATGTTCAACTCTGTGACTTCAATGCAAACATCACAAAGAAGTTTCTGAGAATGCTGCTGTCTGCTTTTTACATGTATTCCCGTTTCCAACGAAATCCTCAAAGCTGCCCTAATATCCACTTGCATATTCCACAAAAAGAGTGTTGCAAAACTGCTCTCTCAAAAGAAAGGTTCAACTCTGTTAGCTGAGTAGATCCATCACATAAAAGTTTCTGACATTGCTTCTATCTAGATTTTCTTGGAAGATATTTCCATTTTCACCGTCGTCCTGAAAGCGCTCCAAATGTCCACTTCCAGGGAATGCAGAAAGAGTGTTTCCAACCTGCTCTATAAAAGGGAATGTTCAACACTGGGACTTCAATCGAAACATCCCAACGAAGTTTCTGAGAATGCTTCTGTCTAGAGTTTATATGAAGCCATTCCCGTTTGCAACGAAATCCTCAAAGCTATCCAAATATCCTTTTGCAGATTTTACAAAAAGAGTGTTTCAAAACTGCTCTATCAAAAGAAAGGTTCAACTCTGTTAGTTGAGGGCACACATCACAAATAAACTTCTGAGAATGCTTCTGTCTAGTTTTTACGGGAAGATATTTCCTTTTTCACCATACGCCTGAAAGCGCTCCAAATGTCCTCATCCAGATACTACAAAAAGAGTGTTTCCAACCTGCTCTATGAAAGGGAATGCTCAACTCTGTGAATTGAATGCAGACATCACAAAGAAGTTTCTGAGAATGCTGCTGTCTCCTTTTTATAGGTAATCCCGTTTCCAACGAAATCCTGAAAGCTAGCCAAATATCCACTTGCAGATTCCACGAAAACAGTGTTTCAAAACTGCTCCTTCAAAACGATGGTTCAATCCTGTTAGTTGAGCAAACACATCACAATTAAGTTTCTGAGAATGCTTCCGTCTAGTTTTTATGGGAAGATATTTCCTTTTTCAACATAGGCCTGAAAGCGCTCCAAATGTCCACTTCCAGATACTACAAAAAGAGTGTTTCAAATCTGCTCTATGAATGGGAATGTTCTACTCTGTGACTTGAATGCAACATCCCAAAGAAGTTTCTGAGAATGCTTCTGTCTAGAGTTTATCTGAAGACATACCCGTTTCCAACGAAATCCTCAAAGCTATCCAAATATCCTCTTGCAGATTCTACAAAAAGAGTGTTTCAAAGCTGCTCTTTGCAAAGAAAGGTTCAACTCTGTCAGTAGAGGGCACACATCACGAACAAGTTTCTGAGAATGCTTCTGTCTAGTTTTTATGGGAAGATATTTCCTTTTTCACGTTACGCCTGAAAGCACGCCAAATGTTCACTTATAGACACTACAAAAAGAGTGTTTCAAACCTGCTCTGTGAAAGGGAATGTTCAACACTGTGACTTCAATTGAAACATCCCAAAGAAGTTTACTGAGAATGCTTCTGTCTAGAGTTTATCTGAAGACATTCCCGTTTCCCAGGAAATCCTCAAAGCTATCCAAATATCCTCTTGCAGATTCTACAAAAAGAGTGTTTCAAAACTGCTCTTTGCAAAGAAAGTTTCAACTCTGTCAGTAGAGGGCACACATCACAAACAAGTTTCTGAGAATGCTTCTGTCTAGTTTTTATGGGAAGATATTTCCTTTTTCACCATAGGCCTGAAAGCAATCCAAATGTTCACTTACAGACACTACAAAAAGAGTGTTTCAAACCTGCTCTGTGAAAGGGAGTGTTCACTTCTGTGACTTGAATGCAAACATCACAAAGTAGTTTCTGACAATGCTGCTGTCTGCTTTTTATACGTATTCCCGTTTCCAACGAAATCCTCCAAGCTGGCCTAATACCCACTTGCATATTCCACAAAGACAGTGTCAAAACTGCTCTCTCAAAAGAAAGGTTCAACTCTGTTTGCTGAGTAGATACATCATGAAAAAAGTTCTGACATTGCTTCTATCTAGTTTTTATTGGAAGATATCTCCTTTTTCACCGTAGACCTGAAAGCGCTCCAAATGTCCACTTCCAGATAGTACAAAAAGAGTGTTTCAAACCTGCTCTATGAATGGGAATGTTCAACACTGGGACTTCAATTGAAACATCCCAAAGCAGTTTCTGAGAATGCTTCTGTCTAGAGTTTACATGAAGACATTCCCGTTTCCAACGAAATCCTCAAAGCTATCCAAATATCCTCTTGCAGATTTTACAAAAAGTGTGTTTCAGAACTGCTCTATCAAAACAAAGGTTCAACACTGTCAGTTGAGGGCACACATCACAAATAAGTTTCTGAGAATGCTTCTGTCTAGTTTTCATGGGAAGATATTTCCTTTTTCACCATAGGCCTGAAAGCGATCCAAATGTCCACATCCACATACTACAAAAAGAGTGTTTCAAACCTGCTCTATGAAAGGGAATGTTCAACTCTGTGACTTGAATGCAAACATCACAAAGAAGTTTCTGAGAATGCTGCTGTCTGCTTTTTGTATGTAATCCCGTTTCCAACGAAATCCTCCCAGCTAGCCAAATATCCACTTGCAGATTCCGCAAAAAGAGTGTTTCAAAACTGCTCCTTCAAAACGATGGTTTAGTTCTGTTAGTTGAGTACATACATCACAGATAAGTTTCTGAGAATGCTTCTGTCTAGTTTTTATGGGAGGATATTTCCTTTTTCAACACAAGCCTGAATGCGCTCCGAATGGACACTTCCAGATATGACAAAAGGCGTGTTTCAAACCTGCTCTCTCAAAGGGAATGTTCAACTCTGTGACTTCAATGCAAACATCACAAAGAAGTTTCTGAGAATGCTGCTGTCTGCTTTTTACATGTATTCCCGTTTCCAACGAAATCCTCAAAGCTGCCCTAATATCCACTTGCATATTCCACAAAAAGAGTGTTGCAAAACTGCTCTCTCAAAAGAAAGGTTCAACTCTGTTAGCTGAGTAGATCCATCACATAAAAGTTTCTGACGTTGCTTCTATCTAGATTTTATTGGAAGATATTTCCATTTTCACCGTCGTCCTGAAAGCGCTCCAAAGGTCCACTTCCAGGGAATGCAGAAAGAGTGTTTCCAACCTGCTCTATAAAAGGGAATGTTCAACACTGGGACTTCAATCGAAACATCCCAACGAAGTTTCTGAGAATGCTTCTGTCTAGAGTTTATATGAAGCCATTCCCGTTTGCAATGAAATCCTCAAAGCTATCCAAATATCCTCTTGCAGATTTTACAAAAAGAGTGTTTCAAAACTGCTCTATCAAAAGAAAGGTTCAACTCTGTTAGTTGAGGGCACACATCACAAATAAATTTCTGAGAATGCTTCTGTCTAGTTTTTACGGGAAGATATTTCCTTTTTCACCATACGCCTGAAAGCGCTCCAAATGTCCTCATCCAGATACTACAAAAAGAGTGTTTCCAACGTGCTCTAGGAAAGGGAATGCTCAACTCTGTGAATTGAATGCAGACATCACAAAGAAGTTTCTGAGAATGCTGCTGTCTCCTTTTTATATGTAATCCCGTTTCCAACGAAATCCTCAAAGCTAGCCAAATATCCACTTGCAGATTCCACGAAAACAGTGTTTCAAAACTGCTCCTTCAAAACGATGGTTCAATCCTGTTAGTTGAGCAAACACATCACAAATAAGTTTCTGAGAATGCTTCCGTCTAGTTTTTATGGGAAGATATTTCCTTTTTCAACATAGGCCTGAAAGCGCTCCAAATGTCCACTTCCAGATACTACAAAAAGAGTGTTTCAAATCTGCTCTATGAATGGGAATGTTCTACTCTGTGACTTGAATGCAACATCCCAAAGAAGTTTCTGAGAATGCTTCTGTCTAGAGTTTATCTGAAGACATACCCGTTTCCAACGAAATCCTCAAAGCTATCCAAATATCCTCTTGCAGATTCTACAAAAAGAGTGTTTCAAAGCTGCTCTTTGCAAAGAAAGGTTCAACTCTGTCAGTAGAGGGCACACATCACGAACAAGTTTCTGAGAATGCTTCTGTCTAGTTTTTATGGGAAGATATTTCCTTTTTCACGTTAGGCCTGAAAGCACGCCAAATGTTCACTTATAGACACTACAAAAAGAGTGTTTCAAACCTGCTCTGTGAAAGGGAATGTTCAACACTGTGACTTCAATTGAAACGTCCCAAAGAAGTTTCTGAGTATGCTTCTGTCTAGAGTTTATCTGAAGACATTCCCGTTTCCCAAGAAATCCTCAAAGCTATCCAAATATCCTCTTGCAGATTCTACAAAAAGAGTGTTTCAAAACTGCTCTTTGCAAAGAAAGGTTCAACTCTGTCAGTAGAGGGCACACATCACAAACAAGTTTCTGAGAATGCTTCTGTCTAGTTTTTATGGGAAGATATTTCCTTTTTCACCTTAGGCCTGAAAGCAATCCATATGTTCACTTACAGACACTACAAAAAGAGTGTTTCAAACCTGCTCTGTGAAAGGGAGTGTTCAATTCTGTGACTTGAATGCAAACATCACAAAGTAGTTTCTGACAATGCTGCTGTCTGCTTTTTATACGTATTCCCGTTTCCAACGAAATCCTCCAAGCTGGCCTAATACCCACTTGCATATTCCACAAAGACAGTGTCAAAACTGCTCTCTCAAAAGAAAGGTTCAACTCTGTTTGCTGAGTAGATACATCATGAAAAAAGTTCTGACATTGCTTCTATCTAGTTTTTATTGGAAGATATCTCCTTTTTCACCGTAGACCTGAAAGCGCTCCAAATGTCCACTTCCAGATAGTACAAAAAGAGTGTTTCAAACCTGCTCTATGAATGGGAATGTTCAACACTGGGACTTCAATTGAAACATCCCAAAGCAGTTTCTGAGAATGCTTCCTGTCTAGAGTTTACATGAAGACATTCCCGTTTCCAACGAAATCCTCAAAGCTATCCAAATATCCTCTTGCAGATTTTACAAAAAGTGTGTTTCAGAACTGCTCTATCAAAACAAAGGTTCAACACTGTCAGTTGAGGGCACACATCACAAATAAGTTTCTGAGAATGCTTCTGTCTAGTTTTCATGGGAAGATATTTCCTTTTTCACCATAGGCCTGAAAGCGATCCAAATGTCCACATCCAGATACTACAAAAAGAGTGTTTCAAACCTGCTGTATGAAAGGGAATGTTCAACTCTGTGACTTGAATGCAAACATCACAAAGTAGTTTCTGAAAATGCTGCTGTCTGCTTTTTGTATGTAATCCCGTTTCCAACGAAATCCTCCCAGCTAGCCAAATATCCACTTGCAGATTCCGCAAAAAGAGTGTTTCAAAACTGCTCCTTCAAAACGATGGTTTAGTTCTGTTAGTTGAGTACATACATCACAGATAAGTTTCTGAGAATGCTTCTGTCTAGTTTTTATGGGAGGATATTTCCTTTTTCAACACAAGCCTGAATGCGCTCCGAATGGACACTTCCAGATATGACAAAAGGCGTGTTTCAAACCTGCTCTCTCAAAGGGAATGTTCAACTCTGTGACTTCAATGCAAACATCACAAAGAAGTTTCTGAGAATGCTGCTGTCTGCTTTTTACATGTATTCCCGTTTCCAACGAAATCCTCAAAGCTGCCCTAATATCCACTTGCATATTCCACAAAAAGAGTGTTGCAAAACTGCTCTCTCAAAAGAAAGGTTCAACTCTGTTAGCTGAGTAGATCCATCACAGAAAAGTTTCTGACGTTGCTTCTATCTAGATTTTCTTGGAAGATATTTCCATTTTCACCGTCGTCCTGAAAGGGCTCCAAATGTCCACTTCCAGGGAATGCAGAAAGAGTGTTTCCAACCTGCTCTATAAAAGGGAATGTTCAACACTGGGACTTCAATCGAAACATCCCAACGAAGTTTCTGAGAATGCTTCTGTCTAGAGTTTATATGAAGCCATTCCCGTTTGCAACGAAATCCTCAAAGCTATCCAAATATCCTCTTGCAGATTTTACAAAAAGAGTGTTTCAAAACTGCTCTATCAAAAGAAAGGTTCAACTCTGTTAGTTGAGGGCACACATCACAAATAAATTTCTGAGAATGCTTCTGTCTAGTTTTTACGGGAAGATATTTCCTTTTTCACCATAGGCCTGAAAGCGCTCCAAATGTCCTCATCCAGATACTACAAAAAGAGTGTTTCCAACCTGCTCTATGAAAGGGAATGCTCAACTCTGTGAATTGAATGCAGACATCACAAAGAAGTTTCTGAGAATGCTGCTGTCTCCTTTTTATATGTAATCCCGTTTCCAACGAAATCCTCAAAGCTAGCCAAATATCCACTTGCAGATTCCACGAAAACAGTGTTTCAAAACTGCTCCTTCAAAACGATGGTTCAATTCTGTTAGTTGAGCAAACACATCACAAGTAAGTTTCTGAGAATGCTTCCGTCTAGTTTTGATGGGAAGATATTTCCTTTTTCAACATAGGCCTGAAAGCGCTCCAAATGTCCACTTCCAGATACTACAAAAAGAGTGTTTCAAATCTGCTCTATGAATGGGAATGTTCTACTCTGTGACTTGAATGCAACATCCCAAAGAAGTTTCTGAGAATGCTTCTGTCTAGAGTTTATCTGAAGACATACCCGTTTCCAACGAAATCCTCCAAGCTATCCAAATATCCTCTTGCAGATTCTACAAAAAGAGTGTTTCAAAGCTGCTCTTTGCAAAGAAAGGTTCAACTCTGTCAGTAGAGGGGACACATCAAGAACAAGTTTCTGAGAATGCTTCTGTCTAGTTTTTATGGGAAGATATTTCCTTTTTCACGTTAGGCCCTGAAAGCACGCCAAATGTTCACTTATAGACACTACAAAAAGAGTGTTTCAAACCTGCTCTGTGAAAGGGAATGTTCAACACTGTGACTTCAATTGAAACATCCCAAAGAAGTTTCTGAGAATGCTTCTGTCTAGAGTTTATCTGAAGACATTCCCGTTTCCCAAGAAATCCTCAAAGCTATCCAAATATCCTCTTGCAGATTCTACAAAAAGAGTGTTTCAAAACTGCTCTTTGCAAAGAAAGGTTCAACTCTGTCAGTAGAGGGCACACATCACAAACAAGTTTCTGAGAATGCTTCTGTCTAGTTTTTATGGGAAGATATTTCCTTTTTCACCTTAGGCCTGAAAGCAATCCAAATGTTCACTTACAGACACTACAAAAAGAGTGTTTCTAACCTGCTCTGTGAAAGGGAGTGTTCAATTCTGTGACTTGAATGCAAACATCACAAAGTAGTTTCTGACAATGCTGCTGTCTGCTTTTTATACGTATTCCCGTTTCCAACGAAATCCTCCAAGCTGGCCTAATACCCACTTGCATATTCCACAAAAAGAGTGTTTCAAAACTGCTCTCTCAAAAGAAAGGTTCAACTCTGTTTGCTGAGTAGATACATCATGAAAAAAGTTCTGACATTGCTTCTATCTAGTTTTTATTGGAAGATATCTCCTTTTTCACCGTAGACCTGAAAGCGCTCCAAATGTCCACTTCCAGATACTACAAAAAGAGTGTTTCAAACCTGCTCTATGAAAGGGAATGTTCAACACTGGGACTTCAATTGAAACATCCCAAAGCAGTTTCTGAGAATGCTTCTGTCTAGAGTTTACATGAAGACATTCCCGTTTCCAACGAAATCCTCAAAGCTATCCAAATATCCTCTTGCAGATTTTACAAAAAGTGTGTTTCAGAACTGCTCTATCAAAACAAAGGTTCAACACTGTCAGTTGAGGGCACACATCACAAATAAGTTTCTGAGAATGATTCTGTCTAGTTTTCATGGGAAGATATTTCCTTTTTCACCATAGGCCTGAAAGCGATCCAAATGTCCACATCCAGATACTACAAAAAGAGTGTTTCAAACCTGCTCTATGAAAGGGAATGTTCAACTCTGTGACTTGAATGCAAACATCACAAAGAAGTTTCTGAGAATGCTGCTGTCTCCTTTGTATATGTAATCCCGTTTCCAACGAAATCCTCAAAGCTAGCCAAATATCCACTTGCAGATTCCACGAAAACAGTGTTTCAAAACTGCTCCTTCAAAACGATGGTTCAATTCTGTTAGTTGAGCAAACACATCACAAGTAAGTTTCTGAGAATGCTTCCGTCTAGTTTTTATGGGAAGATATTTCCTTTTTCAACATAGGCCTGAAAGCGCTCCAAATGTCCACTTCCAGATACTACAAAAAGAGTGTTTCAAATCTGCTCTATGAATGGGAATGTTCTACTCTGTGACTTGAATGCAACATCCCAAAGAAGTTTCTGAGAATGCTTCTGTCTAGAGTTTATCTGAAGACATACCCGTTTCCAACGAAATCCTCCAAGCTATCCAAATATCCTCTTGCAGATTCTACAAAAAGAGTGTTTCAAAGCTGCTCTTTGCAAAGAAAGGTTCAACTCTGTCAGTAGAGGGCACACATCATGAACAAGTTTCTGAGAATGCTTCTGTCTAGTTTTTATGGGAAGATATTTCCTTTTTCACGTTAGGCCTGAAAGCACGCCAAATGTTCACTTATAGTCACTACAAAAAGAGTGTTTCAAACCTGCTCTGTGAAAGGGAATGTTCAACACTGTGACTTCAATTGAAACATCCCAAAGAAGTTTCTGAGAATGCTTCTGTCTAGAGTTTATCTGAAGACATACCCGTTTCCAACGAAATCCTCAAAGCTATCCACATATCCTCTTGCAGATTCTACAAAAAGAGTGTTTCAAAGCTGCTCTTTGCAAAGAAAGGTTCAACTCTGTCAGTAGAGGGCACACATCACGAACAAGTTTCTCAGAATGCTTCTGTCTAGTTTTTATGGGAAGATATTTCCTTTTTCACGTTAGGCCTGAAAGCACGCCAAATGTTCAATTATAGACACTACAAAAAGAGTGTTTGAAACCTGCTCTGTGAAAGGGAATGTTCAACACTGTGACTTCAATTGAAACATCCCAAAGAAGTTTCTGAGAATGCTTCTGTCTAGAGTTTATCTGAAGACATTCCCGTTTCCCAAGAAATCCTCAAAGCTATCCAAATATCCTCTTGCATATTCTACAAAAAGAGTGTTTCAAAACTGCTCTTTGCAAAGAAAGGTTCAACTCTGTCAGTAGAGGGCACACATCACAAACAAGTTTCTGAGAATGCTTCTGTCTAGTTTTTATGGGAAGATATTTCCTTTTTCACCTTAGGCCTGAAAGCAATCCATATGTTCACTTACAGACACTACAAAAAGAGTGTTTCAAACCTGCTCTGTGAAAGGGAGTGTTCAATTCTGTGACTTGAATGCAAACATCACAAAGTAGTTTCTGACAATGCTGCTGTCTGCTTTTTATACGTATTCCCGTTTCCAACGAAATCCTCCAAGCTGGCCTAATACCCACTTGCATATTCCACACAAAGAGTGTTTCAAAACTGCTCTCTCAAAAGAAAGGTTCAACTCTGTTAGCTGAGTAGATACATCATGAAAAAAGTTCTGACATTGCTTCTATCTAGTTTTTATTGGAAGATATCTCCTTTTTCACCGTAGACCTGAAAGCGCTCCAAATGTCCACTTCCAGATAGTACAAAAAGAGTGTTTCAAACCTGCTCTATGAATGGGAATGTTCAACACTGGGACTTCAATTGAAACATCCCAAAGCAGTTTCTGAGAATGCTTCTGTCTAGAGTTTACATGAAGACATTCCCGTTTCCAACGAAATCCTCAAAGCTATCCAAATATCCTCTTGCAGATTTTACAAAAAGTGTGTTTCAGAACTGCTCTATCAAAACAAAGGTTCAACACTGTCAGTTGAGGGCACACATCACAAATAAGTTTCTGAGAATGCTTCTGTCTAGTTTTCATGGGAAGATATTTCCTTTTTCACCATAGGCCTGAAAGCGATCCAAATGTCCACATCCAGATACTACAAAAAGAGTGTTTCAAACCTGCTCTATGAAAGGGAATGTTCAACTCTGTGACTTGAATGCAAACATCACAAAGAAGTTTCTGAGAATGCTGCTGTCTCCTTTTTATATGTAATCCCGTTTCCAACGAAATCCTCAAAGCTAGCCAAATATCCACTTGCAGATTCCACGAAAACAGTGTTTCAAAACTGCTCCTTCAAAACGATGGTTCAATACCTGTTAGTTGAGCAAACACATCACAAATAAGTTTCTGAGAATGCTTCCGTCTAGTTTTTATGGGAAGATATTTCCTTTTTCAACATAGGCCTGAAAGCGCTCCAAATGTCCACTTCCAGATACTACAAAAAGAGTGTTTCAAATCTGCTCTATGAATGGGAATGTTCTACTCTGTGACTTGAATGCAACATCCCAAAGAAGTTTCTGAGAATGGTTCTGTCTAGAGTTTATCTGAAGACATACCCGTTTCCAACGAAATCCTCCAAGCTATCCAAATATCCTCTTGCAGATTCTACAAAAAGAGTGTTTCAAAGCTGCTCTTTGCAAAGAAAGGTTCAACTCTGTCAGTAGAGGGGACACATCAAGAACAAGTTTCTGAGAATGCTTCTGTCTAGTTTTTATGGGAAGATATTTCCTTTTTCACGTTAGGCCTGAAAGCACGCCAAATGTTCACTTATAGACACTACAAAAAGAGTGTTTCAAACCTGCTCTGTGAAAGGGAATGTTCAACACTGTGACTTCAATTGAAACATCCCAAAGGAGTTTCTGAGAATGCTTCTGTCTAGAGTTTATCTGAAGACATTCCCGTTTCCCAAGAAATCCTCAAAGCTATCCAAATATCCTCTTGCAGATTCTACAAAAAGAGTGTTTCAAAACTGCTCTTTGCAAAGAAAGGTTCAACTCTGTCAGTAGAGGGCACACATCACAAACAAGTTTCTGAGAATGCTTCTGTCTAGTTTTTATGGGAAGATATTTCCTTTTTCACCTTAGGCCTGAAAGCAATCCAAATGTTCACTTACAGACACTACAAAAAGAGTGATTCAAACCTGCTCTGTGAAAGGGAGTGTTCAATTCTGTGACTTGAATGCAAACATCACAAAGTAGTTTCTGACAATGCTGCTGTCTGCTTTTTATACGTATTCCCGTTTCCAACGAAATCCTCCAAGCTGGCCTAATACCCACTTGCATATTCCACAAAAAGAGTGTTTCAAAACTGCTCTCTCAAAAGAAAGGTTCAACTCTGTTTGCTGAGTAGATACATCATGAAAAAAGTTCTGACATTGCTTCTATCTAGTTTTTATTGGAAGATATCTCCTTTTTCACCGTAGACCTGAAAGCGCTCCAAATGTCCACTTCCAGATAGTACAAAAAGAGTGTTTCAAACCTGCTCTATGAAACGGAATGTTCAACACTGGGACTTCAATTGAAACATCCCAAAGCAATTTCTGAGAATGCTTCTGTCTAGAGTTTACATGAAGACATTCCCGTTTCCAACGAAATCCTCAAAGCTATCCAAATATCCTCTTGCAGATTTTACAAAAAGTGTGTTTCAGAACTGCTCTATCAAAACAAAGGTTCAACACTGTCAGTTGAGGGCACACATCACAAATAAGTTTCTGAGAATGCTTCTGTCTAGTTTTCATGGGAAGATATTTCCTTTTTCACCATAGGCCTGAAAGCGATCCAAATGTCCACATCCAGATACTACAAAAAGAGTGTTTCAAACCTGCTCTATGAAAGGGAATGTTCAACTCTGTGACTTGAATGCAAACATCACAAAGAAGTTTTCTGAGAATGCTGCTGTCTGCTTTTTGTATGTAATCCCGTTTCCAACGAAATCCTCCCAGCTAGCCAAATATCCACTTGCAGATTCCGCAAAAAGAGTGTTTCAAAACTGCTCCTTCAAAACGATGGTTTAGTTCTGTTAGTTGAGTACATACATCACAGATAAGTTTCTGAGAATGCTTCTGTCTAGTTTTTATGGGAGGATATTTCCTTTTTCAACACAAGCCTGAATGCGCTCCGAATGGACACTTCCAGATATGACAAAAGGCGTGTTTCAAACCTGCTCTCTCAAAGGGAATGTTCAACTCTGTGACTTCAATGCAAACATCACAAAGAAGTTTCTGAGAATGCTGCTGTCTGCTTTTTACATGTATTCCCGTTTCCAACGAAATCCTCAAAGCTGCCCTAATATCCACTTGCATATTCCACAAAAAGAGTGTTGCAAAACTGCTCTCTCAAAAGAAAGGTTCAACTCTGTTAGCTGAGTAGATCCATCACATAAAAGTTTGCTGACATTGCTTCTATCTAGATTTTCTTGGAAGATATTTCCATTTTCACCGTCGTCCTGAAAGCGCTCCAAATGTCCACTTCCAGGGAATGCAGAAAGAGTGTTTCCAACCTGCTCTATAAAAGGGAATGTTCAACACTGGGACTTCAATCGAAACATCCCAACGAAGTTTCTGAGAATGCTTCTGTCTAGAGTTTATATGAAGCCATTCCCGTTTGCAACGAAATCCTCAAAGCTATCCAAATATCCTCTTGCAGATTTTACAAAAAGAGTGTTTCAAAACTGCTCTATCAAAAGAAAGGTTCAACTCTGTTAGTTGAGGGCACACATCACAAATAAATTTCTGAGAATGCTTCTGTCTAGTTTTTACGGGAAGATATTTCCTTTTTCACCATACGCCTGAAAGCGCTCCAAATGTCCTCATCCAGATACTACAAAAAGAGTGTTTCCAACCTGCTCTATGAAAGGGAATGCTCAACTCTGTGACTTGAATGCAGACAGCACAAAGAAGTTTCTGAGAATGGTGCTGTCTCCTTTTTATATGTAATCCCGTTTCCAACGAAATCCTCAAAGCTAGCCAAATATCCACTTGCAGATTCCACGAAAACAGTGTTTCAAAACTGCTCCTTCAAAACGATGGTTCAATCCTGTTAGTTGAGCAAACACATCACAAATAAGTTTCTGAGAATGCTTCCGTCTAGTTTTTATGGGAAGATATATCCTTTTTCAACATAGGCCTGAAAGCGCTCCAAATGTCCACTTCCAGATACTACAAAAAGAGTGTTTCAAATCTGCTCTATGAATGGGAATGTTCTACTCTGTGACTTGAATGCAACATCCCAAAGAAGTTTCTGAGAATGCTTCTGTCTAGAGTTTATCTGAAGACATACCCGTTTCCAACGAAATCCTCCAAGCTATCCAAATATCCTCTTGCAGATTCTACAAAAAGAGTGTTTCAAAGCTGCTCTTTGCAAAGAAAGGTTCAACTCTGTCAGTAGAGGGCACACATCACGAACAAGTGTCTGAGAATGCTTCTGTCTAGTTTTTATGGGAAGATATTTCCTTTTTCACGTTAGGCCTGAAAGCACGCCAAATGGTCACTTATAGACACTACAAAAAGAATGTTTCAAACCTGCTCTGTGAAAGGGAATGTTCAACACTGTGACTTCAATTGAAACATCCCAAAGAAGTTTCTGAGAATGCTTCCGTCTAGAGTTTATCTGAAGACATTCCCGTTTCCCAAGAAATCCTCAAAGCTATCCAAATATCCTCTTGCAGATTCTACAAAAAGAGTGTTTCAAAACTGCTCTTTGCAAAGAAAGGTTCAGCTCTGTCAGTAGAGGGCACACATCACAAACAAGTTTCTGAGAATGCTTCTGTCTAGTTTTTATGGGAAGATATTTCCTTTTTCACCTTAGGCCTGAAAGCAATCCAAATGTTCACTTACAGACACTACAAAAAGAGTGTTTCAAACCTGCTCTGTGAAAGGGAGTGTTCAATTCTGTGACTTGAATGCAAACATCACAAAGTAGTTTCTGACAATGCTGCTGTCTGCTTTTTATACGTATTCCCGTTTCCAACGAAATCCTCCAAGCTGGCCTAATACCCACTTACATATTCCACAAAAAGAGTGTTTCAAAACTGCTCTCTCAAAAGAAAGGTTCAACTCTGTTTGCTGAGTAGATACATCATGAAAAAAGTTCTGACATTGCTTCTATCTAGTTTTTATTGGAAGATATCTCCTTTTTCACCGTAGACCTGAAAGCGCTCCAAATGTCCACTTCCAGATAGTACAAAAAGAGTGTTTCAAACCTGCTCTATGAATGGGAATGTTCAACACTGGGACTTCAATTGAAACATCCCAAAGCAGTTTCTGAGAATGCTTCTGTCTAGAGTTTACATGAAGACATTCCCGTTTCCAACGAAATCCTCAAAGCTATCCAAATATCCTCTTGCAGATTTTACAAAAAGTGTGTTTCAGAACTGCTCTATCAAAACAAAGGTTCAACACTGTCAGTTGAGGGCACACATCACAAATAAGTTTCTGAGAATGCTTCTGTCTAGTTTTCATGGGAAGATATTTCCTTTTTCACCATAGGCCTGAAAGCGATCCAAATGTCCACATCCAGATACTACAAAAAGAGTGTTTCAAACCTGCTCTATGAAAGGGAATGTTCAACTCTGTGACTTGAATGCAAACATCACAAAGAAGTTTCTGAGAATGCTGCTGTCTGCTTTTTGTATGTAATCCCGTTTCCAACGAAATCCTCCCAGCTAGCCAAATATCCACTTGCAGATTCCGCAAAAAGAGTGTTTCAAAACTGCTCCTTCAAAACGATGGTTTAGTTCTGTTAGTTGAGTACATACATCACAGATAAGTTTGCTGAGAATGCTTCTGTCTAGTTTTTCTGGGAGGATATTTCCTTTTTCAACACAAGCCTGAATGCGCTCCGAATGGACACTTCCAGATATGACAAAAGGCGTGTTTCAAACCTGCTCTCTCAAAGGGAATGTTCAACTCTGTGACTTCAATGCAAACATCACAAAGAAGTTTCTGAGAATGCTGCTGTCTGCTTTTTACATGTATTCCCGTTTCCAACGAAATCCTCAAAGCTGCCCTAATATCCACTTGCATATTCCACAAAAAGAGTGTTGCAAAACTGCTCTCTCAAAAGAAAGGTTCAACTCTGTTAGCTGAGTAGATCCATCACATAAAAGTTTCTGACATTGCTTCTATCCAGATTTTATTGGAAGATATTTCCATTTTCACCGTCGTCCTGAAAGCGCTCCAAATGTCCACTTCCAGGGAATGCAGAAAGAGTGTTTCCAACCTGCTCTATAAAAGGGAATGTTCAACACTGGGACTTCAATCGAAACATCCCGACGAAGTTTCTGAGAATGCTTCTGTCTAGAGTTTATATGAAGCCATTCCCGTTTGCAACGAAATCCTCAAAGCTATCCAAATATCCTCTTGCAGATTTTACAAAAAGAGTGTTTCAAAACTGCTCTATCAAAAGAAAGGTTCAACTCTGTTAGTTGAGGGCACACATCAGAAATAAACTTCTGAGAATGCTTCTGTCTAGTTTTTACGGGAAGATATTTCCTTTTTCACCATACGCCTGAAAGCGCTCCAAATGTCCTCATCCAGATACTACAAAAAGAGTGTTTCCAACCTGCTCTATGAAAGGGAATGCTCAACTCTGTGAATTGAATGCAGACATCACAAAGAAGTTTCTGAGAATGCTTGCTGTCTCCTTTTTATATGTAATCCCGTTTCCAACGAAATCCTCCCAGCTAGCCAAATATCCACTTGCAGATTCCACGAAAACAGTGTTTCAAAACTGCTCCTTCAAAACGATGGTTCAATCCTGTTAGTTGAGCAAACACATCACAAATAAGTTTCTGAGAATGCTTCCGTCTAGTTTTTATGGGAAGATATTTCCTTTTTCAACATAGGCCTGAAAGCGCTCCAAATGTCCACTTCCAGATACTACAAAAAGAGTGTTTCAAATCTGCTCTATGAATGGGAATGTTCTACTCTGTGACTTGAATGCAACATCCCAAAGAAGTTTCTGAGAATGCTTCTGTCTAGAGTTTATCTGAAGACATACCCGTTTCCAACGAAATCCTCCAAGCTATCCAAATATCCTCTTGCAGATTCTACAAAAAGAGTGTTTCAAAGCTGCTCTTTGCAAAGAAAGGTTCAACTCTGTCAGTAGAGGGCACACATCATGAACAAGTTTCTGAGAATGCTTCTGTCTAGTTTTTATGGGAAGATATTTCCTTTTTCACGTTAGGCCTGAAAGCACGCCAAATGTTCACTTATAGACACTACAAAAAGAGTGTTTCAAACCTGCTCTGTGAAAGGGAATGTTCAACACTGTGACTTCAATTGAAACATCCCAAAGAAGTTTCTGAGAATGCTTCTGTCTAGAGTTTATCTGAAGACATTCCCGTTTCCCAAGAAATCTTCAAAGCTATCCAAATATCCTCTTGCAGATTCTACAAAAAGAGTGTTTCAAAACTGCTCTTTGCAAAGAAAGGTTCAACTCTGTCAGTAGAGGGCACACATCACAAACAAGTTTCTGAGAATGCTTCTGTCTAGTTTTTATGGGAAGATATTTCCTTTTTCACCTTAGGCCTGAAAGCAATCCATATGTTCACTTACAGACACTACAAAAAGAGTGTTTCAAACCTGCTCTGTGAAAGGGAGTGTTCAATTCTGTGACTTGAATGCAAACATCACAAAGTAGTTTCTGACAATGCTGCTGTCTGCTTTTTATACGTATTCCCGTTTCCAACGAAATCCTCCAAGCTGGCCTAATACCCACTTGCATATTCCACAAAAAGAGTGTTTCAAAACTGCTCTCTCAAAAGAAAGGTTCAACTGTGTTTGCTGAGTAGATACATCATGGAAAAAGTTCTGACATTGCTTCTATCTAGTTTTTATTGGAAGATATCTCCTTTTTCACCGTAGACCTGAAAGCGCTCCAAATGTCCACTTCCAGATAGTACAAAAAGAGTGTTTCAAACCTGCTCTATGAATGGGAATGTTCAACACTGGGACTTCAATTGAAACATCCCAAAGCAGTTTCTGAGAATGCTTCTGTCTAGAGTTTACATGAAGACATTCCCGTTTCCAACGAAATCCTCAAAGCTATCCAAATATCCTCTTGCAGATTTTACAAAAAGTGTGTTTCAGAACTGCTCTATCAAAACAAAGGTTCAACACTGTCAGTTGAGGGCACACATCACAAATAAGTTTCTGAGAATGCTGCTCTCTGCTTTTTGTATGTAATCCCGTTTCCAACGAAATCCTCCCAGCTAGCCAAATATCCACTTGCAGATTCCGCAAAAAGAGTGTTTCAAAACTGCTCCTTCAAAACGATGGTTTAGTTCTGTTAGTTGAGTACATACATCACAAATAAGTTTCTGAGAATGCTTCTGTCTAGTTTTTATGGGAGGATATTTCCTTTTTCAACACAAGCCTGAATGCGCTCCGAATGGACACTTCCAGATATGACAAAAGGCGTGTTTCAAACCTGCTCTCTCAAAGGGAATGTTCAACTCTGTGACTTCAATGCAAACATCACAAAGAAGTTTCTGAGAATGCTGCTGTCTGCTTTTTACATGTATTCCCGTTTCCAACGAAATCCTCAAAGCTGCCCTAATATCCACTTGCATATTCCACAAAAAGAGTGTTGCAAAACTGCTCTCTCAAAAGAAAGGTTCAACTCTGTTAGCTGAGTAGATCCATCACAGAAAAGTTTCTGACGTTGCTTCTATCTAGATTTTCTTGGAAGATATTTCCATTTTCACCGTCGTCCTGAAAGCGCTCCAAATGTCCACTTCCAGGGAATGCAGAAAGAGTGTTTCCAACCTGCTCTATAAAAGGGAATGTTCAACACTGGGACTTCAATCGAAACATCCCAACGAAGTTTCTGAGAATGCTTCTGTCTAGAGTTTATATGAAGCCATTCCCGTTTGCAACGAAATCCTCAAAGCTATCCAAATATCCTCTTGCAGATTTTACAAAAAGAGTGTTTCAAAACTGCTCTATCAAAAGAAAGGTTCAACTCTGTTAGTTGAGGGCACACATCACAAATAAATTTCTGAGAATGCTTCTGTCTAGTTTTTACGGGAAGATATTTCCTTTTTCACCATACGCCTGAAAGCGCTCCAAATGTCCTCATCCAGATACTACAAAAAGAGTGTTTCCAACCTGCTCTATGAAAGGGAATGCTCAACTCTGTGACTTGAATGCAGACAGCACAAAGAAGTTTCTGAGAATGGTGCTGTCTCCTTTTTATATGTAATCCCGTTTCCAACGAAATCCTCAAAGCTAGCCAAATATCCACTTGCAGATTCCACGAAAACAGTGTTTGAAAACTGCTCCTTCAAAACGATGGTTCAATTCTGTTAGTTGAGCAAACACATCACAAGTAAGTTTCTGAGAATGCTTCCGTCTAGTTTTTATGGGAAGATATATCCTTTTTCAACATAGGCCTGAAAGCGCTCCAAATGTCCACTTCCAGATACTACAAAAAGAGTGTTTCAAATCTGCTCTATGAATGGGAATGTTCTACTCTGTGACTTGAATGCAACATCCCAAAGAAGTTTCTGAGAATGCTTCTGTCTAGAGTTTATCTGAAGACATCCCCGTTTCCAACGAAATCCTCAAAGCTATCCAAATATCCTCTTGCAGATTCTACAAAAAGAGTGTTTCAAAGCTGCTCTTTGCAAAGAAAGGTTCAACTCTGTCAGTAGAGGGCACACATCACGAACAAGTTTCTGAGAATGCTTCTGTCTAGTTTTTATGGGAAGATATTTCCTTTTTCACGTTAGGCCTGAAAGCACGCCAAATGTTCACTTATAGACACTACAAAAAGAGTGTTTCAAACCTGCTCTGTGAAAGGGAATGTTCAACACTGTGACTTCAATTGAAACATCCCAAAGAAGTTTCTGAGAATGCTTCTGTCTAGAGTTTATCTGAAGACATTCCCGTTTCCCAAGAAATCCTCAAAGCTATCCAAATATCCTCTTGCAGATTCTACAAAAGGAGTGTTTCAAAACTGCTCTTTGCAAAGAAAGGTTCAACTCTGTCAGTAGAGGGCACACATCACAAACAAGTTTCTGAGAGTGCTTCTGTCTAGTTTTTATGGGAAGATATTTCCTTTTTCACCTTAGGCCTGAAGCAATCCAAATGTTCACTTACAGACACTACAAAAAGAGTGTTTCAAACCTGCTCTGTGAAAGGGAGTGTTCAATTCTGTGACTTGAATGCAAACATCACAAAGTAGTTTCTGACAATGCTGCTGTCTGCTTTTTATACGTATTCCCGTTTCCAACGAAATCCTCCAAGCTGGCCTAATACCCACTTGCATATTCCACAAAAAGAGTGTTTCAAAACTGCTCTCTCAAAAGAAAGGTTCAACTCTGTTTGCTGAGTAGATACATCATGAAAAAAGTTCTGACATTGCTTCTATCTAGTTTTTATTGGAAGATATCTCCTTTTTCACCGTAGACCTGAAAGCGCTCCAAATGTCCACTTCCAGATAGTACAAAAAGAGTGTTTCAAACCTGCTCTATGAATGGGAATGTTCAACACTGGGACTTCAATTGAAACATCCCAAAGCAGTTTCTGAGAATGCTTCTGTGTAGAGTTTACATGAAGACATTCCCGTTTCCAACGAAATCCTCAAAGCTATCCAAATATCCTCTTGCAGATTTTACAAAAAGTGTGTTTCAGAACTGCTCTATCAAAACAAAGGTTCAACACTGTCAGTTGAGGGCACACATCACAAATAAGTTTCTGAGAATGCTGCTGTCTGCTTTTTGTATGTAATCCCGTTTCCAACGAAATCCTCCCAGCTAGCCAAATACCCACTTGCAGATTCCGCAAAAAGAGTGTTTCAAAACTGCTCCTTCAAAACGATGGTTTAGTTCTGTTAGTTGAGTACATACATCACAGATAAGTTTCTGAGAATGCTTCTGTCTAGTTTTTATGGGAGGATATTTCCTTTTTCAACACAAGCCTGAATGCGCTCCGAATGGACACTTCCAGATATGACAAAAGGCGTGTTTCAAACCTGCTCTCTCAAAGGGAATGTTCAACTCTGTGACTTCAATGCAAACATCACAAAGAAGTTTCTGAGAATGCTGCTGTCTGCTTTTTACATGTATTCCCGTTTCCAACGAAATCCTCAAAGCTGCCCTAATATCCACTTGCATATTCCACAAAAAGAGTGTTGCAAAACTGCTCTCTCAAAAGAAAGGTTCAACTCTGTTAGCTGAGTAGATCCATCACAGAAAAGTTTCTGACGTTGCTTCTATCTAGATTTTCTTGGAAGATATTTCCATTTTCACCGTCGTCCTGAAAGCGCTCCAAATGTCCACTTCCAGGGAATGCAGAAAGAGTGTTTCCAACCTGCTCTATAAAAGGGAATGTTCAACACTGGGACTTCAATCGAAACATCCCAACGAGGTTTCTGAGAATGCTTCTGTCTAGAGTTTATATGAAGCCATTCCCGTTTGCAACGAAATCCTCAAAGCTATCCAAATATCCTCTTGCAGATTTTACAAAAAGAGTGTTTCAAAACTGCTCTATCAAAAGAAAGGTTCAACTCTGTTAGTTGAGGGCACACATCACAAATAAATTTCTGAGAATGCTTCTGTCTAGTTTTCATGGGGAAGATATTTCCTTTTTCACCATAGGCCTGAAAGCGATCCAAATGTCCACATCCAGATACTACAAAAAGAGTGTTTCAAACCTGCTCTATGAAAGGGAATGTTCAACTCTGTGACTTGAATGCAAACATCACAAAGAAGTTTCTGAGAATGCTGCTGTCTGCTTTTTGTATGTAATCCCGTTTCCAACGAAATCCTCCCAGCTAGCCAAATATCCACTTGCAGATTCCGCAAAAAGAGTGTTTCAAAACTGCTCCTTCAAAACGATGGTTTAGTTCTGTTAGTTGAGTACATACATCACAGATAAGTTTCTGAGAATGCTTCTGTCTAGTTTTTATGGGAGGATATTTCCTTTTTCAACACAAGCCTGAATGCGCTCCGAATGGACACTTCCAGATATGACAAAAGGCGTGTTTCAAACCTGCTCTCTCAAAGGGAATGTTCAACTCTGTGACTTCAATGCAAACATCACAAAGAAGTTTCTGAGAATGCTTGCTGTCTGCTTTTTACATGTATTCCCGTTTCCAACGAAATCCTCAAAGCTGCCCTAATATCCACTTGCGTATTCCACAAAAAGAGTGTTGCAAAACTGCTCTCTCAAAAGAAAGGTTCAACTCTGTTAGCTGAGTAGATCCATCACATAAAAGTTTCTGATGTTGCTTCTATCCAGATTTTATTGGAAGATATTTCCATTTTCACCGTCGTCCTGAAAGCGCTCCAATTGTCCACTTCCAGGGAATGCAGAAAGAGTGTTTCCAACCTGCTCTATAAAAGGGAATGTTCAACACTGGGACTTCAATCGAAACATCCCGACGAAGTTTCTGAGAATGCTTCTGTCTAGAGTTTATATGAAGCCATTCCCGTTTGCAACGAAATCCTCAAAGCTATCCAAATATCCTCTTGCAGATTTTACAAAATGAGTGTTTCAAAACTGCTCTATCAAAAGAAAGGTTCAAGTCTGTTAGTTCAGGGCACACATCGCAAATAAACTTCTGAGAATGCTTCTGTCTAGTTTTTACGGGAAGATATTTCCTTTTTCACCATACGCCTGAAAGCGCTCCAAATGTCCTCATCCAGATACTACAAAAAGAGTGTTTCCAACCTGCTCTATGAAAGGGAATGCTCAACTCTGTGAATTGAATGCAGACATCACAAAGAAGTTTCTGAGAATGCTGCTGTCTCCTTTTTATATGTAATCCCGTTTCCAACGAAATCCTCAAAGCTAGCCAAATATCCACTTGCAGATTCCACGAAAACAGTGTTTCAAAACTGCTCCTTCAAAACGATGGTTCAATCCTGTTAGTTGAGCAAACACATCACAAATAAGTTTCTGAGAATGCTTCCGTCTAGTTTTTATGGGAAGATATTTCCTTTTTCAACATAGGCCTGAAAGCGCTCCAAATGTCCACTTCCAGATAGTACAAAAAGAGTGTTTCAAATCTGCTCTATGAATGGGAATGTTCTACTCTGTGACTTGCATGCAACATCCCAAAGAAATTTCTGAGAATGCTTCTGTCTAGAGTTTATCTGAAGACATACCCGTTTCCAACGAAATCCTCAAAACTATCCAAATATCCTCTTGCAGATTCTACAAAAAGTGTGTTTCAAAGCTGCTCTTTGAAAAGAAAGGTTCAACTCTGTCAGTAGAGGGCACACATCACGAACAAGTTTCTGAGAATGCTTCTGTCTAGTTTTTATGGGAAGATATTTCCTTTTTCACGTTACGCCTGAAAGCACGCCAAATGTTCACTTATAGACACTACAAAAAGAGTGTTTCAAACCTGCTCTGTGAAAGGGAATGTTCAACACTGTGACTTCAATTGAAACATCCCAAAGAAGTTTCTGAGAATGCTTCTGTCTAGAGTTTATCTGAAGACATTCCCGTTTCCCAAGAAATCCTCAAAGCTATCCAAATATCCTCTTGCAGATTCTACAAAAAGAGTGTTTCAAAACTGCTCTTTGCAAAGAAAGGTTCAACTCTGTCAGTAGAGGGCACACATCACAAACAAGTTTCTGAGAATGCTTCTGTCTAGTTTTTATGGGAAGATATTTCCTTTTTCACCTCAGGCCTGAAATCAATCCAAATGTTCACTTACAGACACTACAAAAAGAGTGTTTCAAACCTGCTCTGTGAAAGGGAGTGTTCAATTCTGTGACTTGAATGCAAACATCACAAAGTAGTTTCTGACAATGCTGCTGTCTGCTTTTTATACGTATTCCCGTTTCCAACGAAATCCTCCAAGCTGGCCTAATACCCACTTGCATATTCCACAAAAAGAGTGTTTCAAAACTGCTCTCTCAAAAGAAAGGTTCAACTCTGTTTGCTGAGTAGATACATCATGAAAAAAGTTCTGACATTGCTTCTATCTAGTTTTTATTGGAAGATATCTCCTTTTTCACCGTAGGACCTGAAAGCGCTCCAAATGTCCACTTCCAGATAGTACAAAAAGAGTGTTTCAAACCTGCTCTATGAATGGGAATGTTCAACACTGGGACTTCAATTGAAACATCCCAAAGCAGTTTCTGAGAATGCTTCTGTGTAGAGTTTACATGAAGACATTCCCGTTTCCAACGAAATCCTCAAAGCTATCCAAATATCCTCTTGCAGATTTTACAAAAAGTGTGTTTCAGAACTGCTCTATCAAAACAAAGGTTCAACACTGTCAGTTGAGGGCACACATCACAAGTAAGTTTCTGAGAATGCTTCTGTCTAGTTTTCATGGGAAGATATTTCCTTTTTCACCATAGGCCTGAAAGCGATCCAAATGTCCACATCCAGATACTACAAAAAGAGTGTTTCAAACCTGCTCTATGAAAGGGAATGCTCAACTCTGTGAATTGAATGCAGACATCACAAAGAAGTTTCTCAGAATGCTGCTGTCTCCTTTTTATATGTAATCCCGTTTCCAACGAAATCCTCAAAGCTAGCCAAATATCCACTTGCAGATTCCACGAAAACAGTGTTTCAAAACTGCTCCTTCAAAACGATGGTTCAATCCTGTTAGTTGAGCAAACACATCACAAATAAGTTTCTGAGAATGCTTCCGTCTAGTTTTTATGGGAAGATATTTCCTTTTTCAACATAGGCCTGAAAGCGCTCCAAATGTCCACTTCCAGATACTACAAAAAGAGTGTTTCAAATCTGCTCTATGAATGGGAATGTTCTACTCTGTGACTTGAATGCAACATCCCAAAGAAGTTTCTGAGAATGCTTCTGTCTAGAGTTTATCTGAAGACATCCCCGTTTCCAACGAAATCCTCAAAGCTATCCAAATATCCTCTTGCAGATTCTACAAAAAGAGTGTTTCAAAGCTGCTCTTTGCAAAGAAAGGTTCAACTCTGTCAGTTAGAGGGCACACATCAGGAACAAGTTTCTGAGAATGCTTCTGTCTGGTTTTTATGGGAAGATATTTCCTTTTTCACGTTACGCCTGAAAGCACGCCAAATGTTCACTTATAGACACTACAAAAAGAGTGTTTCAAACCTGCTCTGTGAAAGGGAATGTTCAACACTGTGACTTCAATTGAAACATCCCAAAGAAGTTTCTGAGAATGCTTCTGTCTAGAGTTTATCTGAAGACATTCCCGTTTCCCAAGAAATCCTCAAAGCTATCCAAATATCCTCTTGCAGATTCTACAAAAAGAGTGTTTCAAAACTGCTCTTTGCAAAGAAAGGTTCAACTCTGTCAGTAGAGGGCACACATCACAAACAAGTTTCTGAGAATGCTTCTGTCTGGTTTTTATGGGAAGATATTTCCTTTTTCACCTTAGGCCTGAAAGCAATCCAAATGTTCACTTACAGACACTACAAAAAGAGTGTTTCAAACCTGCTCTGTGAAAGGGAGTGTTCAATTCTGTGACTTGAATGCAAACATCACAAAGTAGTTTCTGACAATGCTGCTGTCTGCTTTTTATACGTATTCCCGTTTCCAACGAAATCCTCCAAGCTGGCCTAATACCCACTTGCATATTCCACAAAAAGAGTGTTTCAAAACTGCTCTCTCAAAAGAAAGGTTCAACTCTGTTTGCTGAGTAGATACATCATGAAAAAAGTTCTGACATTGCTTCTATCTAGTTTTTATTGGAAGATATCTCCTTTTTCACCGTAGACCTGAAAGCGCTCCAAATGTCCACTTCCAGATAGTAGAAAAAGAGTGTTTCAAACCTGCTCTATGAATGGGAATGTTCAACACTGGGACTTCAATTGAAACATCCCAAAGCAGTTTCTGAGAATGCTTCTGTCTAGAGTTTACATGAAGACATTCCCGTTTCCAACGAAATCCTCAAAGCTATCCAAATATCCTCTTGCAGATTTTACAAAAAGTGTGTTTCAGAACTGCTCTATCAAAACAAAGGTTCAACACTGTCAGTTGAGGGCACACATCACAAATAAGTTTCTGAGAATGCTTCTGTCTAGTTTTCATGGGAAGATATTTCCTTTTTCACCATAGGCCTGAAAGCCATCCAAATGTCCACATCCAGATACTACAAAAAGAGTGTTTCCAACCTGCTCTATGAAAGGGAATGTTCAACTCTGTGACTTGAATGCAAACATCACAAAGAAGTTTCTGAGAATGCTGCTGTCTGCTTTTTGTATGTAATCCCGTTTCCAACGAAATCCTCCCAGCTAGCCAAATATCCACTTGCAGATTCCGCAAAAAGAGTGTTTCAAAACTGCTCCTTCAAAACGATGGTTTAGTTCTGTTAGTTGAGTACATACATCACAGATAAGTTTCTGAGAATGCTTCTGTCTAGTTTTTATGGGAGGATATTTCCTTTTTCAACACAAGCCTGAATGCGCTCCGAATGGACACTTCCAGATATGACAAAAGGCGTGTTTCAAACCTGCTCTCTCAAAGGGAATGTTCAACTCTGTGACTTCAATGCAAACATCACAAAGAAGTTTCTGAGAATGCTGCTGTCTGCTTTTTACATGTATTCCCGTTTCCAACGAAATCCTCAAAGCTGCCCTAATATCCACTTGCATATTCCACAAAAAGAGTGTTGCAAAACTGCTCTCTCAAAAGAAAGCTTCAACTCTGTTAGCTGAGTAGATCCATCACATAAAAGTTTCTGACGTTGCTTCTATCTAGATTTTCTTGGAAGATATTTCCATTTTCACCGTCGTCCTGAAAGCGCTCCAAATGTCCACTTCCAGGGAATGCAGAAAGAGTGTTTCCAACCTGCTCTATAAAAGGGAATGTTCAACACTGGGACTTCAATCGAAACATCCCAACGAAGTTTCTGAGAATGCTTCTGTCTAGAGTTTATATGAAGCCATTCCCGTTTGCAACGAAATCCTCAAAGCTATCCAAATATCCTCTTGCAGATTTTACAAAAAGAGTGTTTGAAAACTGTTCTATCAAAAGAAAGGTTCAACTCTGTTAGTTGAGGGCACACATCACAAATAAACTTCTGAGAATGCTTCTGTCTAGTTTTTACGGGAAGATATTTCCTTTTTCACCATACGCCTGAAAGCGCTCCAAATGTCCTCATCCAGATACTACAAAGAGAGTGTTTCCAACCTGCTCTATGAAAGGGAATGCTCAACTCTGTGAATTGAATGCAGACATCACAAAGAAGTTTCTGAGAATGCTGCTGTCTCCTTTTTATATGTAATCCCGTTTCCAACGAAATCCTCAAAGCTAGCCAAATATCCACTTGCAGATTCCACGAAAACAGTGTTTCAAAACTGCTCCTTCAAAACGATGGTTCAATCCTGTTAGTTGAGCAAACACATCACAAATAAGTTTCTGAGAATGCTTCCGTCTAGTTTTTATGGGAAGATATTTCCTTTTTCAACATAGGCCTGAAAGCGCTCCAAATGTCCACTTCCAGATACTACAAAAAGAGTGTTTCAAATCTGCTCTATGAATGGGAATGTTCTACTCTGTGACTTGAATGCAACATGCCAAAGAAGTTTCTGAGAATGCTTCTGTCTAGAGTTTATCTGAAGACATACCCGTTTCCAACGAAATCCTCAAAGCTATCCAAATATCCTCTTGCAGATTCTACAAAAAGTGTGTTTCAAAGCTGCTCTTTGCAAAGAAAGGTTCAACTCTGTCAGTAGAGGGCACACATCACGAACAAGTTTCTGAGAATGCTTCTGTCTAGTTTTTATGGGAAGATATTTCCTTTTTCACGTTAGGCCTGAAAGCACGCCAAATGTTCACTTATAGACACTACAAAAAGAGTGTTTCAAACCTGCTCTGTGAAGGGGAATGTTCAACACTGTGACTTCAATTGAAACATCCCAAAGAAGTTTCTGAGAATGCTTCTGTCTAGAGTTTATCTGAAGACATTCCCGTTTCCCAAGAAATCCTCAAAGCTATCCAAATATCCTCTTGCAGATTCTACAAAAAGAGTGTTTCAAAACTGCTCTTTGCAAAGAAAGGTTCAACTCTGTCAGTAGAGGGCACACATCACAAACAAGTTTCTGAGAATGCTTCTGTCTAGTTTTTATGGGAAGATATTTCCTTTTTCACCTTAGGCCTGAAAGCAATCCATATGTTCACTTACAGACACTACAAAAAGAGTGTTTCAAACCTGCTCTGTGAAAGGGAGTGTTCAATTCTGTGACTTGAATGCAAACATCACAAAGTAGTTTCTGACAATGCTGCTGTCTGCTTTTTATACGTATTCCCGTTTCCAACGAAATCCTCCAAGCTGGCCTAATACCCACTTGCATATTCCACAAAAAGAGTGTTTCAAAACTGCTCTCTCAAAAGAAAGGTTCAACTCTGTGTGCTGAGTAGATACATCATGAAAAAAGTTCTGACATTGCTTCTATCTAGTTTTTATTGGAAGATATCTCCTTTTTCACCGTAGACCTGAAAGCGCTCCAAATGTCCACTTCCAGATAGTACAAAAAGAGTGTTTCAAACCTGCTCTATGAAAGGGAATGTTCAACACTGGGACTTCAATTGAAACATCCCAAAGCAGTTTCTGAGAATGCTTCTGTCTAGAGTTTACATGAAGACATTCCCGTTTCCAACGAAATCCTCAAAGCTATCCAAATATCCTCTTGCAGATTTTACAAAAAGTGTGTTTCAGAACTGCTCTATCAAAACAAAGGTTCAACACTGTCAGTTGAGGGCACACATCACAAATAAGTTTCTGAGAATGCTTCTGTCTAGTTTTCATGGGAAGATATTTCCTTTTTCACCATACGCCTGAAAGCGATCCAAATGTCCACATCCAGATACTACAAAAAGAGTGTTTCAAACCTGCTCTATGAAAGGGAATGTTCAACTCTGTGACTTGAATGCAAACATCACAAAGAAGTTTCTGAGAATGCTGCTGTCTGCTTTTTGTATGTAATCCCGTTTCCAACGAAATCCTCCCAGCTAGCCAAATATCCACTTGCAGATTCCGCAAAAAGAGTGTTTCAAAACTGCTCCTTCAAAACGATGGTTTAGTTCTGTTAGTTGAGTACATACATCACAGATAAGTTTCTGAGAATGCTTCTGTCTAGTTTTTATGGGAGGATATTTCCTTTTTCAACACAAGCCTGAATGCGCTCCGAATGGACACTTCCAGATATGACAAAAGGCGTGTTTCAAACCTGCTCTCTCAAAGGGAATGTTCAACTCTGTGACTTCAATGCAAACATCACAAAGAAGTTTCTGAGAATGCTGCTGTCTGCTTTTTACATGTATTCCCGTTTCCAACGAAATCCTCAAAGCTGCCCTAATATCCACTTGCATATTCCACAAAAAGAGTGTTGCAAAACTGCTCTCTCAAAAGAAAGGTTCAACTCTGTTAGCTGAGTAGATCCATCACAGAAAAGTTTCTGACGTTGCTTCTATCTAGATTTTCTTGGAAGATATTTCCATTTTCACCGTCGTCCTGAAAGCGCTCCAAATGTCCACTTCCAGGGAATGCAGAAAGAGTGTTTCCAACCTGCTCTATAAAAGGGAATGTTCAACACTGGGACTTCAATTGAAACATCCCAACGAAGTTTCTGAGAATGCTTCTGTCTAGAGTTTATATGAAGCCATTCCCGTTTGCAACGAAATCCTCAAAGCTATCCAAATATCCTCTTGCAGATTTTACAAAAAGAGTGTTTCAAAACTGCTCTATCAAAAGAAAGGTTCAACTCTGTTAGTTGAGGGCACACATCACAAATAAATTTCTGAGAATGCTTTCTGTCTAGTTTTCATGGGAAGATATTTCCTTTTTCACCATACGCCAGAAAGCGATCCAAATGTCCACATCCAGATACTACAAAAAGAGTGTTTCCAACCTGCTCTATGAAAGGGAATGCTCAACTCTGTGACTTGAATGCAAACATCACAAAGAAGTTTCTGAGAATGCTGCTGTCTGCTTTTTGTATGTAATCCCGTTTCCAACGAAATCCTCCCAGCTAGCCAAATATCCACTTGCAGATTCCGCAAAAAGAGTGTTTCAAAACTGCTCCTTCAAAACGATGGTTTAGTTCTGTTAGTTGAGTACATACATCACAGATAAGTTTCTGAGAATGCTTCTGTCTAGTTTTTATGGGAGGATATTTCCTTTTTCAACACAAGCCTGAATGCGCTCCGAATGGACACTTCCAGATATGACAAAAGGCGTGTTTCAAACCTGCTCTCTCAAAGGGAATGTTCAACTCTGTGACTTCAATGCAAACATCACAAAGAAGTTTCTGAGAATGCTGCTGTCTGCTTTTTACATGTATTCCCGTTTCCAACGAAATCCTCAAAGCTGCCCTAATATCCACTTGCATATTCCACAAAAAGAGTGTTGCAAAACTGCTCTCTCAAAAGAAAGGTTCAACTCTGGTAGCTAAGTAGATCCATCACAGAAAAGTTTCTGACGTTGCTTCTATCTAGATTTTCTTGGAAGATATTTCCATTTTCACCGTCGTCCTGAAAGCGCTCCAAATGTCCACTTCCAGGGAATGCAGAAAGAGTGTTTCCAACCTGCTCTATAAAAGGGAATGTTCAACACTGGGACTTCAATCGAAACATCCCAACGAAGTTTCTGAGAATGCTTCTGTCTAGAGTTTATATGAAGCCATTCCCGTTTGCAACGAAATCCTCAAAGCTATCCAAATATCCTCTTGCAGATTTTACAAAAAGAGTGTTTCAAAACTGCTCTATCAAAAGAAAGGTTCAACTCTGTTAGTTGAGGGCACACATCACAAATAAATTTCTGAGAATGCTTCTGTCTAGTTTTTACGGGAAGATATTTCCTTTTTCACCATACGCCTGAAAGCGCTCCAAATGTCCTCATCCAGATACTACAAAAAGAGTGTTTCCAACCTGCTCTATGAAAGGGAATGCTCAACTCTGTGACTTGAATGCAGACATCACAAAGAAGTTTCTGAGAATGCTGCTGTCTCCTTTTTATATGTAATCCCGTTTCCAACGAAATCCTCAAAGCTAGCCAAATATCCACTTGCAGATTCCACGAAAACAGTGTTTCAAAACTGCTCCTTCAAAACGATGGTTCAATCCTGTTAGTTGAGCAAACACATCACAAATAAGTTTCTGAGAATGCTTCCGTCTAGTTTTTATGGGAAGATATTTCCTTTTTCAACATAGGCCTGAAAGCGCTCCAAATGTCCACTTCCAGATACTACAAAAAGAGTGTTTCAAATCTGCTCTATGAATGGGAATGTTCTACTCTGTGACTTGAATGCAACATCCCAAAGAAGTTTCTGAGAATGCTTCTGTCTAGAGTTTATCTGAAGACATACCCGTTTCCAACGAAATCCTCCAAGCTATCCAAATATCCTCTTGCAGATTCTACAAAAAGTGTGTTTCAAAGCTGCTCTTTGCAAAGAAAGGTTCAACTCTGTCAGTAGAGGGCACACATCACGAACAAGTTTCTGAGAATGCTTCTGTCTAGTTTTTATGGGAAGATATTTCCTTTTTCACGTTAGGCCTGAAAGCACGCCAAATGTTCAATTATAGACACTACAAAAAGAGTGTTTCAAACCTGCTCTGTGAAAGGGAATGTTCAACACTGTGACTTCAATTGAAACATCCCAAAGAAGTTTCTGAGAATGCTTCTGTCTAGAGTTTATCTGAAGACATTCCCGTTTCCCAAGAAATCCTCAAAGCTATCCAAATATCCTCTTGCAGATTCTACAAAAAGAGTGTTTCAAAACTGCTCTTTGCAAAGAAAGGTTCAACTCTGTCAGTAGAGGGCACACATCACAAACAAGTTTCTGAGAATGCTTCTGTCTAGTTTTTATGGGAAGATATTTCCTTTTTCACCTTAGGCCTGAAATCAATCCAAATGTTCACTTACAGACACTACAAAAAGAGAGTTTCAAACCTGCTCTGTGAAAGAGAGTGTTCAATTCTGTGACTTGAATGCAAACATCACAAAGTAGTTTCTGACAATGCTGCTGTCTGCTTTTTATACGTATTCCCGTTTCCAACGAAATCCTCCAAGCTGGCCTAATACCCACTTGCATATTCCACAAAAGGAGTGTTTCAAAACTGCTCTCTCAAAAGAAAGGTTCAACTCTGTTTGCTGAGTAGATACATCATGAAAAAAGTTCTGACATTGCTTCTATCTAGTTTTTACTGGAAGATATCTCCTTTTTCACCGTAGACCTGAAAGCGCTCAAAATGTCCACTTCCAGATAGTACAAAAAGAGTGTTTCAAACCTGCTCTATGAATGGGAAGGTTCAACACTGGGACTTCAATTGAAACATCCCAAAGCAGTTTCTGAGAATGCTTCTGTCTAGAGTTTACATGAAGACATTCCCGTTTCCAACGAAATCCTCAAAGCTATCCAAATATCCTCTTGCAGATTTTACAAAAAGTGTGTTTCAGAACTGCTCTATCAAAACAAAGGTTCAACACTGTCAGTTGAGGGCACACATCACAAATAAGTTTCTGAGAATGCTTCTGTCTAGTTTTCATGGGAAGATATTTCCTTTTTCACCATAGGCCTGAAAGCGATCCAAATGTCCACATCCAGATACTACAAAAAGAGTGTTTCAAACCTGCTCTATGAAAGGGAATGTTCAACTCTGTGACTTGAATGCAAACATCACAAAGAAGTTTCTGAGAATGCTGCTGTCTGCTTTTTGTATGTAATCCCGTTTCCAACGAAATCCTCCCAGCTAGCCAAATATCCACTTGCAGATTCCGCAAAAAGAGTGTTTCAAAACTGCTCCTTCAAAACGATGGTTTAGTTCTGTTAGTTGAGTACATACATCACAGATAAGTTTCTGAGAATGCTCTGTCTAGTTTTTATGGGAGGATATTTCCTTTTTCAACACAAGCCTGAATGCGCTCCGAATGGACACTTCCAGATATGACAAAAGGCGTGTTTCAAACCTGCTCTCTCAAAGGGAATGTTCAACTCTGTGACTTCAATGCAAACATCACAAAGAAGTTTCTGAGAATGCTGGCTGTCTGCTTTTTACATGTATTCCCGTTTCCAACGAAATCCTCAAAGCTGCCCTAATATCCACTTGCATATTCCACAAAAAGAGTGTTGCAAAACTGCTCTCTCAAAAGAAAGGTTCAACTCTGTTAGCTGAGTAGATCCATCACATAAAAGTTTCTGACATTGCTTCTATCTAGATTTTCTTGGAAGATATTTCCATTTTCACCGTCGTCCTGAAAGCGCTCCAAATGTCCACTTCCAGGGAATGCAGAAAGAGTGTTTCCAACCTGCTCTATAAAAGGGAATGTTCAACACTGGGACTTCAATCGAAACATCCCAACGAAGTTTCTGAGAATGCTTCTGTCTAGAGTTTATATGAAGCCATTCCCGTTTGCAACGAAATCCTCAAAGCTATCCAAATATCCTCTTGCAGATTTTACAAAAAGAGTGTTTCAAAACTGCTCTATCAAAAGAAAGGTTCAACTCTGTTAGTTGAGGGCACACATCTCAAATAAACTTCTGAGAATGCTTCTGTCTAGTTTTTACGGGAAGATATTTCCTTTTTCACCATACGCCTGAAAGCGCTCCAAATGTCCTCATCCAGATACTACAAAAAGAGTGTTTCCAACCTGCTCTATGAAAGGGAATGCTCAACTCTGTGAATTGAATGCAGACATCACAAAGAAGTTTCTGAGAATGCTGCTGTCTCCTTTTTATATGTAATCCCGTTTCCAACGAAATCCTCAAAGCTAGCCAAATATCCACTTGCAGATTCCACGAAAACAGTGTTTCAAAACTGCTCCTTCAAAACGATGGTTGAATCCTGTTAGTTGAGCAAACACATCACAAATAAGTTTCTGAGAATGCTTCCGTCTAGTTTTTATGGGAAGATATTTCCTTTTTCAACATAGGCCTGAAAGCGCTCCAAATGTCCACTTCCAGATACTACAAAAAGAGTGTTTCAAATCTGCTCTATGAATGGGAATGTTCTACTCTGTGACTTGCATGCAACATCCCAAAGAAATTTCTGAGAATGCTTCTGTCTAGAGTTTATCTGAAGACATACCCGTTTCCAACGAAATCCTCAAAGCTATCCAAATATCCTCTTGCAGATTCTACAAAAAGAGTGTTTCAAAGCTGCTCTTTGCAAAGAAAGGTTCAACTCTGTCAGTAGAGGGCACACATCACGAACAAGTTTCTGAGAATGCTTCTGTCTAGTTTTTATGGGAAGATATTTCCTTTTTCACGTTAGGCCTGAAAGCACGCCAAATGTTCAATTATAGACACTACAAAAAGAGTGTTTCAAACCTGCTCTGTGAAAGGGAATGTTCAACACTGTGACTTCAATTGAAACATCCCAAAGAAGTTTCTGAGAATGCTTCTGTCTAGAGTTTATCTGAAGACATTCCCGTTTCCCAAGAAATCCTCAAAGCTATCCAAATATCCTCTTGCAGATTCTAAAAAAAGAGTGTTTCAAAACTGCTCTTTGCAAAGAAAGGTTCAACTCTGTCAGTAGAGGGCACACATCACAAACAAGTTTCTGAGAATGCTTCTGTCTAGTTTTTATGGGAAGATATTTCCTTTTTCACCTTAGGCCTGAAAGCAATCCAAATGTTCACTTACAGACACTACAAAAAGAGTGTTTCAAACCTGCTCTGTGAAAGGGAGTGTTCAGTTCTGTGACTTGAATGCAAACATCACAAAGTAGTTTCTGACAATGCTGCTGTCTGCTTTTTATACGTATTCCCGTTTCCAACGAAATCCTCCAAGCTGGCCTAATACCCACTTTCATATTCCACAAAAAGAGTGTTTCAAAACTGCTCTCTCAAAAGAAAGGTTCAACTCTGTTTGCTGAGTAGATACATCATGAAAAAAGTTCTGACATTGCTTCTATCTAGTTTTTATTGGAAGATATCTCCTTTTTCACCGTAGACCTGAAAGCGCTCCAAATGTCCACTTCCAGATAGTACAAAAAGAGTGTTTCAAACCTGCTCTATGAATGGGAATGTTCAACACTGGGACTTCAATTGAAACATCCCAAAGCAGTTTCTGAGAATGCTTCTGTGTAGAGTTTACATGAAGACATTCCCGTTTCCAACGAAATCCTCAAAGCTATCCAAATATCCTCTTGCAGATTTTACAAAAAGTGTGTTTCAGAACTGCTCTATCAAAACAAAGGTTCAACACTGTCAGTTGAGGGCACACATCACAAATAAGTTTCTGAGAATGCTTCTGTCTAGTTTTCATGGGAAGATATTTCCTTTTTCACCATAGGCCTGAAAGCGATCCAAATGTCCACATCCAGATACTACAAAAAGAGTGTTTCCAACCTGCTCTATGAAAGGGAATGCTCAACTCTGTGACTTGAAAGCAAACATCACAAAGAAGTTTCTGAGAATGCTGCTGTCTGCTTTTTGTATGTAATCCCGTTTCCAACGAAATCCTCCCAGCTAGCCAAATATCCACTTGCAGATTCCGCAAAAAGAGTGTTTCAAAACTGCTCCTTCAAAACGATGGTTTAGTTCTGTTAGTTGAGTACATACATCACAGATAAGTTTCTGAGAATGCTTCTGTCTAGTTTTTATGGGAGGATATTTCCTTTTTCAACACAAGCCTGAATGCGCTCCGAATGGACACTTCCAGATATGACAAAAGGCGTGTTTCAAACCTGCTCTCTCAAAGGGAATGTTCAACTCTGTGACTTCAATGCAAACATCACAAAGAAGTTTCTGAGAATGCTGCTGTCTGCTTTTTACATGTATTCCCGTTTCCAACGAAATCCTCAAAGCTGCCCTAATATCCACTTGCATATTCCACAAAAAGAGTGTTGCAAAACTGCTCTCTCAAAAGAAAGGTTCAACTCTGTTAGCTGAGTAGATCCATCACATAAAAGTTTCTGACATTGCTTCTATCTAGATTTTCTTGGAAGATATTTCCATTTTCACCGTCGTCCTGAAAGCGCTCCAAATGTCCACTTCCAGGGAATGCAGAAAGAGTGTTTCCAACCTGCTCTATAAAAGGGAATGTTCAACACTGGGACTTCAATCGAAACATCCCAACGAAGTTTCTGAGAATGCTTCTGTCTAGAGTTTATATGAAGCCATTCCCGTTTGCAACGAAATCCTCAAAGCTATCCAAATATCCTCTTGCAGATTTTACAAAAAGAGTGTTTCAAAACTGCTCTATCAAAAGAAAGGTTCAACTCTGTTAGTTGAGGGCACACATCACAAATAAACTTCTGAGAATGCTTCTGTCTAGTTTTTACGGGAAGATATTTCCTTTTTCACCATACGCCTGAAAGCGCTCCAAATGTCCTCATCCAGATACTACAAAAAGAGTGTTTCCAACGTGCTCTAGGAAAGGGAATGCTCAACTCTGTGAATTGAATGCAGACATCACAAAGAAGTTTCTGAGAATGCTGCTGTCTCCTTTGTATATGTAATCCCGTTTCCAACGAAATCCTCAAAGCTAGCCAAATATCCACTTGCAGATTCCACGAAAACAGTGTTTCAAAACTGCTCCTTCAAAACGATGGTTCAATCCTGTTAGTTGAGCAAACACATCACAAATAAGTTTCTGAGAATGCTTCCGTCTAGTTTTTATGGGAAGATATTTCCTTTTTCAACATAGGCCTGAAAGCGCTCCAAATGTCCACTTCCAGATACTACAAAAAGAGTGTTTCAAATCTGCTCTATGAATGGGAATGTTCTACTCTGTGACTTGAATGCAACATCCCAAAGAAGTTTCTGAGAATGCTTCTGTCTAGCAGTTTATCTGAAGACATACCCGTTTCCAACGAAATCCTCCAAGCTATCCAAATATCCTCTTGCAGATTCTACAAAAAGAGTGTTTCAAAGCTGCTCTTTGCAAAGAAAGGTTCAACTCTGTCAGTAGAGGGCACACATCACGAACAAGTTTCTGAGAATGCTTCTGTCTAGTTTTTATGGGAAGATATTTCCTTTTTCACGTTAGGCCTGAAAGCACGCCAAATGTTCACTTATAGACACTACAAAAAGAGTGTTTCAAACCTGCTCTGTGAAAGGGAATGTTCAACACTGTGACTTCAATTGAAACATCCCAAAGAAGTTTCTGAGAATGCTTCTGTCTAGAGTTTATCTGAAGACATTCCCGTTTCCCAAGAAATCCTCAAAGCTATCCAAATATCCTCTTGCAGATTCTACAAAAAGAGTGTTTCAAAACTGCTCTTTGCAAAGAAAGGTTCAACTCTGTCAGTAGAGGGCACACATCACAAACAAGTTTCTGAGAATGCTTCTATCTAGTTTTTATGGGAGGATATTTCCTTTTTCAACACAAGCCGGAATGCGATCCAAATGGACAACCTCCAGATATGACAAATGGCGTCTTTCAAACCTGCTCTAAGAAAGGGAATGTTCAAATCTGGGACTTCAATGCAAACATCACAAAGAAGTTTCTGAGAATGCTGCTGTCTGCTTTTTATATGCATTCCCGTTTCCAACGAAATCCTCCAAGCTGGCTTAATATCCACTTGCATATTCCACAAAAAGACTGTTTTAAAACTTCTCTCTCAAAAGAAAGGTTGAACTCTGTTAGCTGAGTAGATATATCATGAAAAAGTTTCTGACATTCCTTCTATCTAGTATTTATTGGAAGATATCTCCTTTTTCACCGTAGACCTGAAAGCGCTCCAAATGTCCACTTCCAGATAGTACAAAAAGAGTGTTTCAAACCTGCTCTATGAATGGGAATGTTCAACACTGGGACTTCAATTGAAACATCCCAAAGCAGTTTCTGAGAATGCTTCTGTCTAGAGTTTACATGAAGACATTCCCGTTTCCAACGAAATCCTCAAAGCTATCCAAATATCCTCTTGCAGATTTTACAAAAAGTGTGTTTCAGAACTGCTCTATCAAAACAAAGGTTCAACACTGTCAGTTGAGGGCACACATCACAAATAAGTTTCTGAGAATGCTGCTCTCTGCTTTTTGTATGTAATCCCGTTTCCAACGAAATCCTCCCAGCTAGCCAAATATCCACTTGCAGATTCCGCAAAAAGAGTGTTTCAAAACTGCTCCTTCAAAACGATGGTTTAGTTCCTGTTAGTTGAGTACATACATCACAGATAAGTTTCTGAGAATGCTTATCTGTCTAGTTTTTCTGGGAGGATATTTCCTTTTTCAACACAAGCCTGAATGCGCTCCGAATGGACACTTCCAGATATGACAAAAGGCGTGTTTCAAACCTGCTCTCTCAAAGGGAATGTTCAACTCTGTGACTTCAATGCAAACATCACAAAGAAGTTTCTGAGAATGCTGCTGTCTGCTTTTTACATGTATTCCCGTTTCCAACGAAATCCTCAAAGCTGCCCTAATATCCACTTGCATATTCCACAAAAAGAGTGTTGCAAAACTGCTCTCTCAAAAGAAAGGTTCAACTCTGTTAGCTGAGTAGATCCATCACAGAAAAGTTTCTGACGTTGCTTCTATCTAGATTTTCTTGGAAGATATTTCCATTTTCACCGTCGTCCTGAAAGCGCTCCAAATGTCCACTTCCAGGGAATGCAGAAAGAGTGTTTCCAACCTGCTCTATAAAAGGGAATGTTCAACACTGGGACTTCAATCGAAACATCCCAACGAAGTTTCTGAGAATGCTTCTGTCTAGAGTTTATATGAAGCCATTCCCGTTTGCAACGAAATCCTCAAAGCTATCCAAATATCCTCTTGCAGATTTTACAAAAAGAGTGTTTCAAAACTGCTCTATCAAAAGAAAGGTTCAACTCTGTTAGTTGAGGGCACACATCACAAATAAATTTCTGAGAATGCTTCTGTCTAGTTTTTACGGGAAGATATTTCCTTTTTCACCATACGCCTGAAAGCGCTCCAAATGTCCTCATCCAGATACTACAAAAAGAGTGTTTCCAACCTGCTCTATGAAAGGGAATGCTCAACTCTGTGAATTGAATGCAGACATCACAAAGAAGTTTCTGAGAATGCTGCTGTCTCCTTTTTATATGTAATCCCGTTTCCAACGAAATCCTCAAAGCTAGCCAAATATCCACTTGCAGATTCCACGAAAACAGTGTTTCAAAACTGCTCCTTCAAAACGATGGTTCAATCCTGTTAGTTGAGCAAACACATCACAAATAAGTTTCTGAGAATGCTTCCGTCTAGTTTTTATGGGAAGATATTTCCTTTTTCAACATAGGCCTGAAAGCGCTCCAAATGTCCACTTCCAGATACTACAAAAAGAGTGTTTCAAATCTGCTCTATGAATGGGAATGTTCTACTCTGTGACTTGAATGCAACATCCCAAAGAAGTTTCTGAGAATGCTTCTGTCTAGAGTTTATCTGAAGACATACCCGTTTCCAACGAAATCCTCCAAGCTATCCAAATATCCTCTTGCAGATTCTACAAAAAGTGTGTTTCAAAGCTGCTCTTTGCAAAGAAAGGTTCAACTCTGTCAGTAGAGGGCACACATCACGAACAAGTTTCTGAGAATGCTTCTGTCTAGTTTTTATGGGAAGATATTTCCTTTTTCACGTTAGGCCTGAAAGCACGCCAAATGTTCACTTATAGACACTACAAAAAGAGTGTTTCAAACCTGCTCTGTGAAAGGGAATGTTCAACACTGTGACTTCAATTGAAACATCCCAAAGAAGTTTCTGAGAATGCTTCTGTCTAGAGTTTATCTGAAGACATTCCCGTTTCCCAAGAAATCCTCAAAGCTATCCAAATATCCTCTTGCAGATTCTACAAAAGAGTGTTTCAAAACTGCTCTTTGCAAAGAAAGGTTCAACTCTGTCAGTAGAGGGCACACATCACAAACAAGTTTCTGAGAATGCTTCTGTCTAGTTTTTATGGGAAGATATTTCCTTTTTCACCTTAGGCCTGAAAGCAATCCAAATGTTCACTTACAGACACTACAAAAAGAGTGTTTCAAACCTGCTCTGTGAAAGGGAGTGTTCAATTCTGTGACTTGAATGCAAACATCACAAAGTAGTTTCTGACAATGCTGCTGTCTGCTTTTTATACGTATTCCCGTTTCCAACGAAATCCTCCAAGCTGGCCTAATACCCACTTGCATATTCCACAAAAAGAGTGTTTCAAAACTGCTCTCTCAAAAGAAAGGTTCAACTACTGTTTGCTGAGTAGATACATCATGAAAAAAGTTCTGACATTGCTTTCTATCTAGTTTTTATTGGAAGATATCTCCTTTTTCACCGTAGACCTGAAAGCGCTCCAAATGTCCACTTCCAGATAGTACAAAAAGAGTGTTTCAAACCTGCTCTATGAAAGGGAATGTTCAACACTGGGACTTCAATTGAAACATCCCAAAGCAGTTTCTGAGAATGCTTCTGTCTAGAGTTTACATGAAGACATTCCCGTTTCCAACGAAATCCTCAAAGCTATCCAAATATCCTCTTGCAGATTTTACAAAAAGTGTGTTTCAGAACTGCTCTATCAAAACAAAGGTTCAACACTGTCAGTTGAGTGCACACATCACAAATAAGTTTCTGAGAATGCTGCTGTCTCCTTTTTGTATGTAATCCCGTTTCCAACGAAATCCTCCCAGCTAGCCAAATATCCACTTGCAGATTCCGCAAAAAGAGTGTTTCAAAACTGCTCCTTCAAAAGGATGGTTTAGTTCTGTTAGTTGAGTACATACATCACAGATAAGTTTCTGAGAATGCTTCTGTCTAGTTTTTATGGGAGGATATTTCCTTTTTCAACACAAGCCTGAATGCGCTCCGAATGGACACTTCCAGATATGACAAAAGGCGTGTTTCAAACCTGCTCTCTCAAAGGGAATGTTCAACTCTGTGACTTCAATGCAAACATCACAAAGAAGTTTCTGAGAATGCTGCTGTCTGCTTTTTACATGTATTCCCGTTTCCAACGAAATCCTCAAAGCTGCCCTAATATCCACTTGCATATTCCACAAAAAGAGTGTTGCAAAACTGCTCTCTCAAAAGAAAGGTTCAACTCTGTTAGCTGAGTAGATCCATCACAGAAAAGTTTCTGACGTTGCTTCTATCTAGATTTTCTTGGAAGATATTTCCATTTTCACCGTCGTCCTGAAAGTGCTCCAAATGTCCACTTCCAGGGAATGCAGAAAGAGTGTTTCCAACCTGCTCTATAAAAGGGAATGTTCAACACTGGGACTTCAATCGAAACATCCCAACGAGGTTTCTGAGAATGCTTCTGTCTAGAGTTTATATGAAGCCATTCCCGTTTGCAACGAAATCCTCAAAGCTATCCAAATATCCTCTTGCAGATTTTACAAAAAGAGTGTTTCAAAACTGCTCTATCAAAAGAAAGGTTCAACTCTGTTAGTTGAGGGCACACATCACAAATAAATTTCTGAGAATGCTTCTGTCTAGTTTTTACGGGAAGATATTTCCTTTTTCACCATACGCCTGAAAGCGCTCCAAATGTCCTCATCCAGATACTACAAAAAGAGTGTTTCCAACCTGCTCTATGAAAGGGAATGCTCAAGTCTGTGAATTGAATGCAGACATCACAAAGAAGTTTCTGAGAATGCTGCTGTCTCCTTTTTATATGTAATCCCGTTTCCAACGAAATCCTCAAAGCTAGCCAAATATCCACTTGCAGATTCCACGAAAACAGTGTTTCAAAACTGCTCCTTCAAAACGATGGTTCAATTCTGTTAGTTGAGCAAACACATCACAAGTAAGTTTCTGAGAATGCTTCCGTCTAGTTTTTATGGGAAGATATTTCCTTTTTCAACATAGGCCTGAAAGCGCTCCAAATGTCCACTTCCAGATACTACAAAAAGAGTGTTTCAAATCTGCTCTATGAATGGGAATGTTCTACTCTGTGACTTGAATGCAACATCCCAAAGAAGTTTCTGAGAATGCTTCTGTCTAGAGTTTATCTGAAGACATACCCGTTTCCAACGAAATCCTCAAAGCTATCCAAATATCCTCTTGCAGATTCTACAAAAAGAGTGTTTCAAAGCTGCTCTTTGCAAAGAAAGGTTCAACTCTGTCAGTAGAGGGCACACATCACGAACAAGTTTCTGAGAATGCTTCTGTCTAGTTTTTATGGGAAGATATTTCCTTTTTCACGTTAGGCCTGAAAGCACGCCAAATGTTCACTTATAGACACTACAAAAAGAGTGTTTCAAACCTGCTCTGTGAAAGGGAATGTTCAACACTGTGACTTCAATTGAAATATCCCAAGAAGTTTCTGAGAATGCTTCTGTCTAGAGTTTATCTGAAGACATTCCCGTTTCCCAAGAAATCCTCAAAGCTATCCAAATATCCTCTTGCAGATTCTACAAAAGGAGTGTTTCAAAACTGCTCTTTGCAAAGAAAGGTTCAACTCTGTCAGTAGAGGGCACACATCACAAACAAGTTTCTGAGAGTGCTTCTGTCTAGTTTTTATGGGAAGATATTTCCTTTTTCACCTTAGGCCTGAAAGCAATCCATATGTTCACTTACAGACACTACAAAAAGAGTGTTTCAAACCTGCTCTGTGAAAGGGAGTGTTCAATTCTGTGACTTGAATGCAAACATCACAAAGTAGTTTCTGACAATGCTGCTGTCTGCTTTTTATACATATTCCCGTTTCCAACGAAATCCTCCAAGCTGGCCTAATACCCACTTGCATATTCCACAAAAAGAGTGTTTCAAAACTGCTCTCTCAAAAGAAAGGTTCAACTCTGTGTGCTGAGTAGATACATCATGAAAAAAGTTCTGACATTGCTTCTATCTAGTTTTTATTGGAAGATATCTCCTTTTTCACCGTAGACCTGAAAGCGCTCCAAATGTCCACTTCCAGATAGTACAAAAAGAGTGTTTCAAACCTGCTCTATGAATGGGAATGTTCAACACTGGGACTTCAATTGAAACATCCCAATGCAGTTTCTGAGAATGCTTCTGTGTAGAGTTTACATGAAGACATTCCCGTTTCCAACGAAATCCTCAAAGCTATCCAAATATCCTCTTGCAGATTTTACAAAAAGTGTGTTTCAGAACTGCTCTATCAAAACAAAGGTTCAACACTGTCAGTTGAGGGCACACATCACAAATAAGTTTCTGAGAATGCTTCTGTCTAGTTTTCATGGGAAGATATTTCCTTTTTCACCATAGGCCTGAAAGCGATCCAAATGTCCACATCCAGATACTACAAAAAGAGTGTTTCAAACCTGCTCTATGAAAGGGAATGTTCAACTCTGTGACTTGAATGCAAACATCACAAAGAAGTTTCTGAGAATGCTGCTGTCTGCTTTTTGGATGTAATCCCGTTTCCAACGAAATCCTCCCAGCTAGCCAAATATCCACTTGCAGATTCCGCAAAAAGAGTTTTTCAAAACTACTCCTTCAAAACGATGGTTTAGTTCTGTTAGTTGAGTACATACATCACAGATAAGTTTCTGAGAATGCTTCTGTCTAGTTTTTCTGGGAGGATATTTCCTTTTTCAACACAAGCCTGAATGCGCTCCGAATGGACACTTCCAGATATGACAAAAGGCGTGTTTCAAACCTGCTCTCTCAAAGGGAATGTTCAACTCTGTGACTTCAATGCAAACATCACAAAGAAGTTTCTGAGAATGCTGCTGTCTGCTTTTTACATGTATTCCCGTTTCCAACGAAATCCTCAAAGCTGCCCTAATATCCACTTGCATATTCCACAAAAAGAGTGTTGCAAAACTGCTCTCTCAAAAGAAAGGTTCAACTCTGTTAGCTGAGTAGATCCATCACATAAAAGTTTCTGACATTGCTCTATCCAGATTTTATTGGAAGATATTTCCATTTTCACCGTCGTCCTGAAAGCGCTCCAATTGTCCACTTCCAGGGAATGCAGAAAGAGTGTTTCCAACCTGCTCTATAAAAGGGAATGTTCAACACTGGGACTTCAATCGAAACATCCCGACGAAGTTTCTGAGAATGCTTTCTGTCTAGAGTTTATATGAAGCCATTCCCGTTTGCAACGAAATCCTCAAAGCTATCCAAATATCCTCTTGCAGATTTTACAAAAAGAGTGTTTCAAAACTGCTCTATCAAAAGAAAGGTTCAACTCTGTTATTTGAGGGCACACATCACAAATAAACTTCTGAGAATGCTTCTGTCTAGTTTTTACGGGAAGATATTTCCTTTTTCACCATACGCCTGAAAGCGCTCCAAATGTCCTCATCCAGATACTACAAAAAGAGTGTTTCCAACCTTCTCTATGAAAGGGAATGCTCAACTCTGTGACTTGAATGCAGACATCACAAAGAAGTTTCTGAGAATGCTGCTGTCTCCTTTTTATATGTAATCCCGTTTCCAACGAAATCCTCAAAGCTAGCCAAATATCCACTTGCAGATTCCACGAAAACAGTGTTTCAAAACTGCTCCTTTAAAACGATGGTTCAATTCTGTTAGTTGAGCAAACACATCACAAGTAAGTTTCTGAGAATGCTTCCGTCTAGTTTTTATGGGAAGATATTTCCTTTTTCAACATAGGCCTGAAAGCGCTCCAAATGTCCACTTCCAGATACTACAAAAAGAGTGTTTGAAATCTGCTCTATGAATGGGAATGTTCTACTCTGTGACTTGAATGCAACATCCCAAAGAAGTTTCTGAGAATGCTTCTGTCTAGAGTTTATCTGAAGACATACCCGTTTCCAACGAAATCCTCAAAGCTATCCAAATATCCTCTTGCAGATTCTACAAAAAGAGTGTTTCAAAGCTGCTCTTTGCAAAGAAAGGTTCAACTCTGTCAGTAGAGGGCACACATCACGAACAAGTTTCTGAGAATGCTTCTGTCTAGTTTTTATGGGAAGATATTTCCTTTTTCACGTTAGGCCTGAAAGCACGCCAAATGTTCAATTATAGACACTACAAAAAGAGTGTTTCAAACCTGCTCTGTGAAAGGGAATGTTCAACACTGTGACTTCAATTGAAACATCCCAAAGAAGTTTCTGAGAATGCTTCTGTCTAGAGTTTATCTGAAGACATTCCCGTTTCCCAAGAAATCCTCAAAGCTATCCAAATATCCTCTTGCAGATTCTACAAAAAGAGTGTTTCAAAACTGCTCTTTGCAAAGAAAGGTTCAACTCTGTCAGTAGAGGGCACACATCACGAACAAGTTTCTGAGAATGCTTCTGTCTAGTTTTTATGGGAAGATATTTCCTTTTTCACCTTAGGCCTGAAAGCAATCCAAATGTTCACTTACAGACACTACAAAAAGAGTGTTTCAAACCTGCTCTGTGAAAGGGAGTGTTCAGTTCTTTGACTTGAATGCAAACATCACAAAGTAGTTTCTGACAATGCTGCTGTCTGCTTTTTATACGTATTCCCGTTTCCAACGAAATCCTCCAAGCTGGCCTAATACCCACTTTCATATTCCACAAAAAGAGTGTTTCAAAACTGCTCTCTCAAAAGAAAGGTTCAACTCTGTTTGCTGAGTAGATACATCATGAAAAAAGTTCTGACATTGCTTCTATCTAGTTTTTATTGGAAGATATCTCCTTTTTCACCGTAGACCTGAAAGCGCTCCAAATGTCCACTTCCAGATAGTACAAAAAGAGTGTTTCAAACCTGCTCTATGAAAGGGAATATTCAACACTGGGACTTCAATTGAAACATCCCAAAGCAGTTTCTGAGAATGCTTCTGTGTAGAGTTTACATGAAGACATTCCCGTTTCCAACGAAATCCTCAAAGCTATCCAAATATCCTCTTGCAGATTTTACAAAAGGTGTGTTTCAGAACTGCTCTATCAAAACAAAGGTTCAACACTGTCAGTTGAGGGCACACATCACAAATAAGTTTCTGAGAATGCTGCTGTCTCCTTTTTGTATGTAATCCCGTTTCCAACGAAATCCTCCCAGCTAGCCAAATATCCACTTGCAGATTCCGCAAAAAGAGTGTTTCAAAACTGCTCCTTCAAAACGATGGTTTAGTTCTGTTAGTTGAGTACATACATCACAGATAAGTTTCTGAGAATGCTTCTGTCTAGTTTTTATGGGAGGATATTTCCTTTTTCAACACAAGCCTGAATGCGCTCCGAATGGACACTTCCAGATATGACAAAAGGCGTGTTTCAAACCTGCTCTCTCAAAGGGAATGTTCAACTCTGTGACTTCAATGCAAACATCACAAAGAAGTTTCTGAGAATGCTGCTGTCTGCTTTTTACATGTATTCCCGTTTCCAACGAAATCCTCAAAGCTGCCCTAATATCCACTTGCATATTCCACAAAAAGAGTGTTGCAAAACTGCTCTCTCAAAAGAAAGGTTCAACTCTGTTAGCTGAGTAGATCCATCACAGAAAAGTTTCTGACGTTGCTTCTATCTAGATTTTCTTGGAAGATATTTCCATTTTCACCGTCGTCCTGAAAGCGCTCCAAATGTCCACTTCCAGGGAATGCAGAAAGAGTGTTTCCAACCTGCTCTATAAAAGGGAATGTTCAACACTGGGACTTCAATCGAAACATCCCAACGAGGTTTCTGAGAATGCTTCTGTCTAGAGTTTATATGAAGCCATTCCCGTTTGCAACGAAATCCTCAAAGCTATCCAAATATCCTCTTGCAGATTTTACAAAAAGAGTGTTTCAAAACTGCTCTATCAAAAGAAAGGTTCAACTCTGTTAGTTGAGGGCACACATCACAAATAAACTTCTGAGAATGCTTCTGTCTAGTTTTTACGGGAAGATATTTCCTTTTTCACCATAGGCCTGAAAGCGCTCCAAATGTCCTCATCCAGATACTACAAAAAGAGTGTTTCCAACCTGCTCTATGAAAGGGAATGCTCAACTCTGTGACTTGAATGCAGACATCACAAAGAAGTTTCTGAGAATGCTGCTGTCTCCTTTTTATATGTAATCCCGTTTCCAACGAAATCCTCAAAGCTAGCCAAATATCCACTTGCAGATTCCACGAAAACAGTGTTTCAAAACTGCTCCTTCAAAACGATGGTTCAATCCTGTTAGTTGAGCAAACACATCACAAATAAGTTTCTGAGAATGCTTCCGTCTAGTTTTTATGGGAAGATATTTCCTTTTTCAACATAGGCCTGAAAGGGCTCCAAATGTCCACTTCCAGATACTACAAAAAGAGTGTTTCAAATCTGCTCTATGAATGGGAATGTTCTACTCTGTGACTTGAATGCAACATCCCAAAGAAGTTTCTGAGAATGCTTCTGTCTAGAGTTTATCTGAAGACATACCCGTTTCCAACGAAATCCTCAAAGCTATCCACATATCCTCTTGCAGATTCTACAAAAAGAGTGTTTCAAAGCTGCTCTTTGCAAAGAAAGGTTCAACTCTGTCAGTGGAGGGCACACATCACGAACAAGTTTCTGAGAATGCTTCTGTCTAGTTTTTATGGGAAGATATTTCCTTTTTCACGTTAGGCCTGAAAGCACGCCAAATGTTCACTTATAGACACTACAAAAAGAGTGTTTGAAACCTGCTCTGTGAAAGGGAATGTTCAACACTGTGACTTCAATTGAAACATCCCAAAGAAGTTTCTGAGAATGCTTCTGTCTAGAGTTTATCTGAAGACATTCCCGTTTCCCAAGAAATCCTCAAAGCTATCCAAATATCCTCTTGCAGATTCTACAAAAAGACTGTTTCAAAACTGCTCTTTGCAAAGAAAGGTTCAACTCTGTCAGTAGAGGGCACACATCACAAACAAGTTTCTGAGAATGCTTCTGTCTAGTTTTTATGGGAAGATATTTCCTTTTTCACCTTAGGCCTGAAAGCAATCCATATGTTCACTTACAGACACTACAAAAAGAGTGTTTCAAACCTGCTCTGTGAAAGGGAGTGTTCAATTCTGTGACTTGAATGCAAACATCACAAAGTAGTTTCTGACAATGCTGCTGTCTGCTTTTTATACGTATTCCCGTTTCCAACGAAATCCTCCAAGCTGGCCTAATACCCACTTGCATATTCCACAAAAAGAGTGTTTCAAAACTGCTCTCTCAAAAGAAAGGTTCAACTCTGTTTGCTGAGTAGATACATCATGAAAAAAGTTCTGACATTGCTTCTATCTAGTTTTTATTGGAAGATATCTCCTTTTTCACCGTAGACCTGAAAGCGCTCCAAATGTCCACTTCCAGATAGTACAAAAAGAGTGTTTCAAACCTGCTCTATGAATGGGAATGTTCAACACTGGGACTTCAATCGAAACATCCCAACGAAGTTTCTGAGAATGCTTCTGTCTAGAGTTTATATGAAGCCATTCCCGTTTGCAACGAAATCCTCAAAGCTATCCAAATATCCTCTTGCAGATTTTACAAAAAGAGTGTTTCAAAACTGCTCTATCAAAAGAAAGGTTCAACTCTGTTAGTTGAGGGCACACATCACAAATAAATTTCTGAGAATGCTTCTGTCTGGTTTTTACGGGAAGATATTTCCTTTTTCACCATACGCCTGAAAGCGCTCCAAATGTCCTCATCCAGATACTACAAAAAGAGTGTTTCCAACCTGCTCTATGAAAGGGAATGCTCAACTCTGTGAATTGAATGCAGACATCACAAAGAAGTTTCTGAGAATGCTGCTGTCTCCTTTTTATATGTAATCCCGTTTCCAACGAAATCCTCAAAGCTAGCCAAATATCCACTTGCAGATTCCACGAAAACAGTGTTTCAAAACTGCTCCTTCAAAACGATGGTTCAATCCTGTTAGTTGAGCAAACACATCACAAATAAGTTTCTGAGAATGCTTCCGTCTAGTTTTTATGGGAAGATATTTCCTTTTTCAACATAGGCCTGAAAGCGCTCCAAATGTCCACTTCCAGATACTACAAAAAGAGTGTTTCAAATCTGCTCTATGAATGGGAATGTTCTACTCTGTGACTTGAATGCAACATCCCAAAGAAGTTTCTGAGAATGCTTCTGTCTAGAGTTTATCTGAAGTCATACCCGTTTCCAACGAAATCCTCCAAGCTATCCAAATATCCTCTTGCAGATTCTACAAAAAGAGTGTTTCAAAGCTGCTCTTTGCAAAGAAAGGTTCAACTCTGTCAGTAGAGGGGACACATCAAGAACAAGTTTCTGAGAATGCTTCTGTCTAGTTTTTATGGGAAGATATTTCCTTTTTCACGTTACGCCTGAAAGCACGCCAAATGTTCACTTATAGACACTACAAAAAGAGTGTTTCAAACCTGCTCTGTGAAAGGGAATGTTCAACACTGTGACTTCAATTGAAACATCCCAAAGAAGTTTCTGAGAATGCTTCTGTCTAGAGTTTATCTGAAGACATTCCCGTTTCCCAAGAAATCCTCAAAGCTATCCAAATATCCTCTTGCAGATTCTACAAAAAGAGTGTTTCAAAACTGCTCTTTGCAAAGAAAGGTTCAACTCTGTCAGTAGAGGGCACACATCACAAACAAGTTTCTGAGAATGCTTCTGTCTAGTTTTTATGGGAAGATATTTCCTTTTTCACCATACGCCTGAAAGCGCTCCAAATGTCCTCATCCAGATACTACAAAAAGAGTGTTTCCAACCTGCTCTATGAAAGGGAATGCTCAACTCTGTGACTTGAATGCAGACATCACAAAGAAGTTTCTGAGAATGCTGCTGTCTCCTTTTTATATGTAATCCCGTTTCCAACGAAATCCTCAAAGCTAGCCAAATATCCACTTGCAGATTCCACGAAAACAGTGTTTCAAAACTGCTCCTTCAAAACGATGGTTCAATTCTGTTAGTTGAGCAAACACATCACAAGTAAGTTTCTGAGAATGCTTCTGTCTAGTTTTTATGGGAAGATATTTCCTTTTTCAACATAGGCCTGAAAGCGCTCCAAATGTCCACTTCCAGATACTACAAAAAGAGTGTTTCAAATCTGCTCTATGAATGGGAATGTTCTACTCTGTGACTTGAATGCAACATCCCAAAGAAGTTTCTGAGAATGCTTCTGTCTAGAGTTTATCTGAAGACATACCCGTTTCCAACGAAATCCTCAAAGCTATCCAAATATCCTCTTGCAGATTCTACAAAAAGAGTGTTTCAAAGCTGCTCTTTGCAAAGAAAGGTTCAACTCTGTCAGTAGAGGGCACACATCACGAACAAGTTTCTGAGAATGCTTCTGTCTAGTTTTTATGGGAAGATATTTCCTTTTTCACGTTAGGCCTGAAAGCACGCCAAATGTTCACTTATAGACACTACAAAAAGAGTGTTTCAAACCTGCTCTGTGAAAGGGAGTGTTCAATTCTGTGACTTGAATGCAAACATCACAAAGTAGTTTCTGACAATGCTGCTGTCTGCTTTTTATACGTATTCCCGTTTCCAACGAAATCCTCCAAGCTGGCCTAATACCCACTTGCATATTCCACAAAAAGAGTGTTTCAAAACTGCTCTGTCAAAAGAAAGGTTCAGCTCTGTTTCCTGAGTAGATACATCATGAAAAAAGTTCTGACATTGCTTCTATCTAGTTTTTATTGGAGGATATCTCCTTTTTCACCGTAGACCTGAAAGCGCTCCAAATGTCCACTTCCAGATACTCCAAAAAGAGTGTTTCAAACCTGCTCTATGAAAGGGAATGTTCAACACTGGGACTTCAGTTGAAACATCCCAAAGCAGTTTCTGAGAATGCTTCTGTCTAGAGTTTACATGAAGACATTCCCGTTTCCAACGAAATCCTCAAAGCTATCCAAATATCCTCTTGCAGATTTTACAAAAAGTGTGTTTCAGAACTGCTCTATCAAAACAAAGGTTCAACACTGTCAGTTGAGGGCACACATCACAAATAAGTTTCTGAGAATGCTTCTGTCTAGTTTTCATGGGAAGATATTTCCTTTTTCACCATAGGCCTGAAAGCGATCCAAATGTCCACATCCAGATACTACAAAAAGAGTGTTTCAAACCTGCTCTATGAAAGGGAATGTTCAACTCTGCGACTTGAATGCAAACATCACAAAGAAGTTTCTGAGAATGCTGCTGTCTGCTTTTTGTATGTAATCCCGTTTCCAACGAAATCCTCCAAGCTAGCCAAATATCCAGTTGCAGATTCCGCAAAAAGAGTGTTTCAAAACTGCTCCTTCAAAACGATGGTTTAGTTCTGTTAGTTGAGTACATACATCACAAATAGGTTTCTGAGAATGCTTCTGTCTAGTTTTTATGGGAGGATATTTCCTTTTTCAACACAAGCCTGAATGCGCTCCGAATGGACACTTCCAGATATGACAAAAGGCGTGTTTCAAACCTGCTCTCTCAAAGGGAATGTTCAACTCTGTGACTTCAATGCAAACATCACAAAGAAGTTTCTGAGAATGCTGCTGTCTGCTTTTTACATGTATTCCCGTTTCCAACGAAATCCTCAAAGCTGCCCTAATATCCACTTGCATATTCCACAAAAAGAGTGTTGCAAAACTGCTCTCTCAAAAGAAAGGTTCAACTCTGTTAGCTGAGTAGATCCATCACAGAATAGTTTCTGACATTGCTTCTATCCAGATTTTATTGGAAGATATTTCCATTTTCACCGTCGTCCTGAAAGCGCTCCAAATGTCCACTTCCAGGGAATGCAGAAAGAGTGTTTCCAACCTGCTCTATAAAAGGGAATGTTCAACACTGGGACTTCAATCGAAACATCCCGACGAAGTTTCTGAGAATGCTTCTGTCTAGAGTTTATATGAAGCCATTCCCGTTTGCAATGAAATCCTCAAAGCTATCCAAATATCCTCTTGCAGATTTTACAAAAAGAGTGTTTCAAAACTGCTCTATCAAAAGAAAGGTTCAACTCTGTTAGTTGAGGGCACACATCACAAATAAATTTCTGAGAATGCTTCTGTCTAGTTTTTACGGGAAGATATTTCCTTTTTCACCATACGCCTGAAAGCGCTCCAAATGTCCTCATCCAGATACTACAAAAAGAGTGTTTCCAACCTTCTCTATGAAAGGGAATGCTCAACTCTGTGACTTGAATGCAGACATCACAAAGAAGTTTCTGAGAATGCTGCTGTCTCCTTTTTATATGTAATCCCGTTTCCAACGAAATCCTCAAAGCTAGCCAAATATCCACTTGCAGATTCCACGAAAACAGTGTTTCAAAACTGCTCCTTCAAAACGATGGTTCAATTCTGTTAGTTGAGCAAACACATCACAAGTAAGTTTCTGAGAATGCTTCCGTCTAGTTTTTATGGGAAGATATTTCCTTTTTCAACATAGGCCTGAAAGCGCTCCAAATGTCCACTTCCAGATACTACAAAAAGAGTGTTTCAAATCTGCTCTATGAATGGGAATGTTCTACTCTGTGACTTGAATGCAACATCCCAAAGAAGTTTCTGAGAATGCTTCTGTCTAGAGTTTATCTGAAGACATACCCGTTTCCAACGAAATCCTCAAAGCTATCCACATATCCTCTTGCAGATTCTACAAAAAGAGTGTTTCAAAGCTGCTCTTTGCAAAGAAAGGTTCAACTCTGTCAGTAGAGGGCACACATCACAAACAAGTTTACTGAGAATGCTTCTGTCTAGTTTTTATGGGAAGATATTTCCTTTTTCACGTTAGGCCTGAAAGCACGCCAAATGTTCAATTATAGACACTACAAAAAGAGTGTTTCAAACCTGCTCTGTGAAAGGGAATGTTCAACACTGTGACTTCAATTGAAACATCCCAAAGAAGTTTCTGAGAATGCTTCTGTCTAGAGTTTATCTGAAGACATTCCCGTTTCCCAAGAAATCCTCAAAGCTATCCAAATATCCTCTTGCAGATTCTACAAAAAGAGTGTTTCAAAACTGCTCTTTGCAAAGAAAGGTTCAACTCTGTCAGTAGAGGGCACACATCACAAACAAGTTTCTGAGAATGCTTCTGTCTAGTTTTTATGGGAAGATATTTCCTTTTTCACCTTAGGCCTGAATGCAATCCAAATGTTCACTTACAGACACTACAAAAAGAGTGTTTCAAACCTGCTCTGTGAAAGGGAGTGTTCAATTCTGTGACTTGAATGCAAACATCACAAAGTAGTTTCTGACAATGCTGCTGTCTGCTTTTTATACGTATTCCCGTTTCCAACGAAATCCTCCAAGCTGGCCTAATACCCACTTGCATATTCCACAAAAAGAGTGTTTCAAAACTGCTCTCTCAAAAGAAAGGTTCAACTCTGTTTGCTGAGTAGATACATCATGAAAAAAGTTCTGACATTGCTTCTATCTAGTTTTTATTGGAAGATATCTCCTTTTTCACCGTAGACCTGAAAGCGCTCCAAATGTCCACTTCCAGATAGTACAAAAAGAGTGTTTCAAACCTGCTCTATGAAAGGGAATGTTCAACACTGGGACTTCAATTGAAACATCCCAAAGCAGTTTCTGAGAATGCTTCTGTCCAGAGTTTACATGAAGACATTCCCGTTTCCAACGAAATCCTCAAAGCTATCCAAATATCCTCTTGCAGATTTTACAAAAAGTGTGTTTCAGAACTGCTCTATCAAAACAAAGGTTCAACACTGTCAGTTGAGGGCACACATCGCAAATAAGTTTCTGAGAATGCTTCTGTCTAGTTTTCATGGGAAGATATTTCCTTTTTCACCATAGGCCTGAAAGCGATCCAAATGTCCACATCCAGATACTACAAAAAGAGTGTTTCAAACCTGCTCTATGAAAGGGAATGTTCAACTCTGTGACTTGAATGCAAACATCACAAAGAAGTTTCTGAGAATGCTGCTGTCTGCTTTTTGTATGTAATCCCGTTTCCAACGAAATCCTCCCAGCTAGCCAAATATCCACTTGCAGATTCCGCAAAAAGAGTGTTTCAAAACTGCTCCTTCAAAACGATGGTTTAGTTCTGTTAGTTGAGTACATACATCACAGATAAGTTTCTGAGAATGCTTCTGTCTAGTTTTTATGGGAGGATATTTCCTTTTTCAACACAAGCCTGAATGCGCTCCGAATGGACACTTCCAGATATGACAAAAGGCGTGTTTCAAACCTGCTCTCTCAAAGGGAATGTTCAACTCTGTGACTTCAATGCAAACATCACAAAGAAGTTTCTGAGAATGCTGCTGTCTGCTTTTTACATGTATTCCCGTTTCCAACGAAATCCTCAAAGCTGCCCTAATATCCACTTGCATATTCCACAAAAAGAGTGTTGCAAAACTGCTCTCTCAAAAGAAAGGTTCAACTCTGTTAGCTGAGTAGATCCATCACATAAAAGTTTCTGACGTTGCTTCTATCTAGATTTTATTGGAAGATATTTCCATTTTCACAGTCGTCCTGAAAGCGCACCAAATGTCCACTTCCAGGGAATGCAGAAAGAGTGTTTCCAACCTGCTCTATAAAAGGGAATGTTCAACACTGGGACTTCAATCGAAACATCCCAACGAAGTTTCTGAGAATGCTTCTGTCTAGAGTTTATATGAAGCCATTCCCGTTTGCAACGAAATCCTCAAAGCTATCCAAATATCCTCTTGCAGATTTTACAAAAAGAGTGTTTCAAAACTGCTCTATCAAAAGAAAGGTTCAACTCTGTTAGTTGAGGGCACACATCACAAATAAATTTCTGAGAATGCTTCTGTCTAGTTTTTACGGGAAGATATTTCCTTTTTCACCATACGCCTGAAAGCGCTCCAAATGTCCTCATCCAGATACTACAAAAAGAGTGTTTCCAACCTGCTCTATGAAAGGGAATGCTCAACTCTGTGAATTGAATGCAGAAATCACAAAGAAGTTTCTGAGAATGCTGCTGTCTCCTTTTTATATGTAATCCCGTTTCCAACGAAATCCTCAAAGCTAGCCAAATATCCACTTGCAGATTCCACGAAAACAGTGTTTCAAAACTGCTCCTTCAAAAGGATGGTTCAATCCTGTTAGTTGAGCAAACACATCACAAATAAGTTTCTGAGAATGCTTCCGTCTAGTTTTTATGGGAAGATATTTCCTTTTTCAACATAGGCCTGAAAGCGCTCCAAATGTCCACTTCCAGATACTACAAAAAGAGTGTTTCAAATCTGCTCTATGAATGGGAATGTTCTACTCTGTGACTTGCATGCAACATCCCAAAGAAGTTTCTGAGAATGCTTCTGTCTAGAGTTTATCTGAAGACATACCCGTTTCCAAGGAAATCCTCAAAGCTATCCAAATATCCTCATGCAGATTCTACAAAAAGTGTGTTTCAAAGCTGCTCTTTGCAAAGAAAGGTTCAACTCTGTCAGTAGAGGGCACACATCACGAACAAGTTTCTGAGAATGCTTCTGTCTAGTTTTTATGGGAAGATATTTCCTTTTTCACGTTACGCCTGAAAGCACGCCAAATGTTCACTTATAGACACTACAAAAAGAGTGTTTCAAACCTGCTCTGTGAAAGGGAATGTTCAACACTGTGACTTCAATTGAAACATCCCAAAGAAGTTTCTGAGAATGCTTCTGTCTAGAGTTTATCTGAAGACATTCCCGTTTCCCAAGAAATCCTCAAAGCTATCCAAATATCCTCTTGCAGATTCTACAAAAAGAGTGTTTCAAAACTGCTCTTTGCAAAGAAAGGTTCAACTCTGTCAGTAGAGGGCACACATCACAAACAAGTTTCTGAGAATGCTTCTGTCTAGTTTTTATGGGAAGATATTTCCTTTTTCACCTTAGGCCTGAAAGCAATCCAAATGTTCACTTACAGACACTACAAAAAGAGTGTTTCAAACCTGCTCTGTGAAAGGGAGTGTTCAGTTCTGTGACTTGAATGCAAACATCACAAAGTAGTTTCTGACAATGCTGCTGTCTGCTTTTTATACGTATTCCCGTTTCCAACGAAATCCTCCAAGCTGGCCTAATACCCACTTGCATATTCCACAAAAAGAGTGTTTCAAAACTGCTCTCTCAAAAGAAAGGTTCAACTCTGTTTGCTGAGTAGATACATCATGAAAAAAGTTCTGACATTGCTTCTATCTGGTTGTTATTGGAAGATATCTCCTTTTTCACCGTAGACCTGAAAGCGCTCCAAATGTCCACTTCCAGATAGTACAAAAAGAGTGTTTCAAACCTGCTCTATGAAAGGGAATGTTCAACACTGGGACTTCAATTGAAACATCCCAAAGCAGTTTCTGAGAATGCTTCTGTCTAGAGTTTACATGAAGACATTCCCGTTTCCAACGAAATCCTCAAAGCTATCCAAATATCCTCTTGCAGATTTTACAAAAAGTGTGTTTCAGAACTGCTCTATCAAAACAAAGGTTCAACACTGTCAGTTGAGGGCACACATCACAAATAAGTTTCTGAGAATGCTTCTGTCTAGTTTTCATGGGAAGATATTTCCTTTTTCACCATAGGCCTGAAAGCGATCCAAATGTCCGCATCCAGATACTACAAAAAGAGTGTTTCAAACCTGCTCTATGAAAGGGAATGTTCAACTCTGTGACTTGAATGCAGACATCACAAAGAAGTTTACTGAGAATGCTGCTGTCTGCTTTTTGTATGTAATCCCGTTTCCAACGAAATCCTCCCAGCTAGCCAAATATCCACTTGCAGATTCCGCAAAAAGAGTGTTTCAAAACTGCTCCTTCAAAACGATGGTTTAGTTCTGTTAGTTGAGTACATACATCACAGATAAGTTTCTGAGAATGCTTCTGTCTAGTTTTTATGGGAGGATATTTCCTTTTTCAACACAAGCCTGAATGCGCTCCGAATGGACACTTCCAGATATGACAAAAGGCGTGTTTCAAACCTGCTCTCTCAAAGGGAATGTTCAACTCTGTGACTTCAATGCAAACATCACAAAGAAGTTTCTGAGAATGCTGCTGTCTGCTTTTTACATGTATTCCCGTTTCCAACGAAATCCTCAAAGCTGCCCTAATATCCACTTGCATATTCCACAAAAAGAGTGTTGCAAAACTGCTCTCTCAAAAAAAAGGTTCAACTCTGTTAGCTGAGTAGATCCATCACATAAAAGTTTCTGACATTGCTTCTATCTAGATTTTCTTGGAAGATATTTCCATTTTCACCGTCGTCCTGAAAGCGCTCCAAATGTCCACTTCCAGGGAATGCAGAAAGAGTGTTTCCAACCTGCTCTATAAAAGGGAATGTTCAACACTGGGACTTCAATCGAAACATCCCAACGAAGTTTCTGAGAATGCTTCTGTCTAGAGTTTATATGAAGCCATTCCCGTTTGCAACGAAATCCTCAAAGCTATCCAAATATCCTCTTGCAGATTTTACAAAAAGAGTGTTTCAAAACTGCTCTATCAAAAGAAAGGTTCAACTCTGTTAGTTGAGGGCACACATCACAAATAAACTTCTGAGAATGCTTCTGTCTAGTTTTTACGGGAAGATATTTCCTTTTTCACCATACGCCTGAAAGCGCTCCAAATGTCCTCATCCAGATACTACAAAAAGAGTGTTTCCAACGTGCTCTAGGAAAGGGAATGCTCAACTCTGTGAATTGAATGCAGACATCACAAAGAAGTTTCTGAGAATGCTGCTGTCTCCTTTTTATATGTAATCCCGTTTCCAACGAAATCCTCAAAGCTAGCCAAATATCCACTTGCAGATTCCACGAAAACAGTGTTTCAAAACTGCTCCTTCAAAACGATGGTTCAATCCTGTTAGTTGAGCAAACACATCACAAATAAGTTTCTGAGAATGCTTCCGTCTAGTTTTTATGGGAAGATATTTCCTTTTTCAACATAGGCCTGAAAGCGCTCCAAATGTCCACTTCCAGATACTACAAAAAGAGTGTTTCAAATCTGCTCTATGAATGGGAATGTTCTACTCTGTGACTTGAATACAACATCCCAAAGAAGTTTCTGAGAATGCTTCTGTCTAGAGTTTATCTGAAGACATACCCGTTTCCAACGAAATCCTCCAAGCTATCCAAATATCCTCTTGCAGATTCTACAAAAAGAGTGTTTCAAAGCTGCTCTTTGCAAAGAAAGGTTCAACTCTGTCAGTAGAGGGGACACATCAAGAACAAGTTTCTGAGAATGCTTCTGTCTAGTTTTTATGGGAAGACATTTCCTTTTTCACGTTAGGCCTGAAAGCACGCCAAATGTTCACTTATAGACACTACAAAAAGAGTGTTTCAAACCTGCTCTGTGAAAGGGAATGTTCAACACTGTGACTTCAATTGAAACATCCCAAAGAAGTTTCTGAGAATGCTTCTGTCTAGAGTTTATCTGAAGACATACCCGTTTCCAACGAAATCCTCAAAGCTATCCACATATCCTCTTGCAGATTCTACAAAAAGAGTGTTTCAAAGCTGCTCTTTGCAAAGAAAGGTTCAACTCTGTCAGTAGAGGGCACACATCACGAACAAGTTTCTGAGAATGCTTCTGTCTAGTTTTTATGGGAAGATATTTCCTTTTTCACCTTAGGCCTGAAAGCAATCCATATGTTCACTTACAGACACTACAAAAAGAGTGTTTCAAACCTGCTCTGTGAAAGGGAGTGTTCAATTCTGTGACTTGAATGCAAACATCACAAAGTAGTTTCTGACAATGCTGCTGTCTGCTTTTTATACGTATTCCCGTTTCCAACGAAATCCTCCAAGCTGGCCTAATACCCACTTGCATATTCCACAAAAAGAGTGTTTCAAAACTGCTCTCTCAAAAGAAAGGTTCAACTCTGTTAGCTGAGTAGATACATCATGAAAAAAGTTCTGACATTGCTTCTATCTAGTTTTTATTGGAAGATATCTCCTTTTTCACCGTAGACCTGAAAGCGCTCCAAATGTCCACTTCCAGATAGTACAAAAAGAGTGTTTCAAACCTGCTCTATGAATGGGAATGTTCAACACTGGGACTTCAATTGAAACATCCCAAAGCAGTTTCTGAGAATGCTCTGTCTAGAGTTTACATGAAGACATTCCCGTTTCCAACGAAATCCTCAAAGCTATCCAAATATCCTCTTGCAGATTTTACAAAAAGTGTGTTTCAGAACTGCTCTATCAAAACAAAGGTTCAACACTGTCAGTTGAGGGCACACATCACAAATAAGTTTCTGAGAATGCTAGCTCTCTGCTTTTTGTATGTAATCCCGTTTCCAACGAAATCCTCCCAGCTAGCCAAATATCCACTTGCAGATTCCGCAAAAAGAGTGTTTCAAAACTGCTCCTTCAAAACGATGGTTTAGTTCTGTTAGTTGAGTACATACATCACAGATAAGTTTCTGAGAATGCTTCTGTCTAGTTTTTATGGGAGGATATTTCCTTTTTCAACACAAGCCTGAATGCGCTCCGAATGGACACTTCCAGATATGACAAAAGGCGTGTTTCAAACCTGCTCTCTCAAAGGGAATGTTCAACTCTGTGACTTCAATGCAAACATCACAAAGAAGTTTCTGAGAATGCTGCTGTCTGCTTTTTACATGTATTCCCGTTTCCAACGAAATCCTCAAAGCTGCCCTAATATCCACTTGCATATTCCACAAAAAGAGTGTTGCAAAACTGCTCTCTCAAAAGAAAGGTTCAACTCTGTTAGCTGAGTAGATCCATCACATAAAAGTTTCTGACGTTGCTTCTATCTAGATTTTCTTGGAAGATATTTCCATTTTCACCGTCGTCCTGAAAGCGCTCCAAATGTCCACTTCCAGGGAATGCAGAAAGAGTGTTTCCAACCTGCTCTATAAAAGGGAATGTTCAACACTGGGACTTCAATCGCAACATCCCAACGAAGTTTCTGAGAATGCTTCTGTCTAGAGTTTATATGAAGCCATTTCCGTTTGCAACGAAATCCTCAAAGCTATCCAAATATCCTCTTGCAGATTTAACAAAAAGAGTGTTTCAAAACTGCTCTATCAAAAGAAAGGTTCAACTCTGTTAGTTGAGGGCACACATCACAAATAAATTTCTGAGAATGCTTCTGTCTAGTTTTTACGGGAAGATATTTCCCTTTTCACCATACGCCTGAAAGCGCTCCAAATGTCCTCATCCAGATACTACAAAAAGAGTGTTTCCAACCTGCTCTATGAAAGGGAATGCTCAACTCTGTGAATTAAATGCAGACATCACAAAGAAGTTTCTGAGAATGCTGCTGTCTCCTTTTTATATGTAATCCCGTTTCCAACGAAATCCTCAAAGCTAGCCAAATATCCACTTGCAGATTCCACGAAAACAGTGTTTCAAAACTGCTCCTTCAAAAGGATGGTTCAATCCTGTTAGTTGAGCAAACTCATCACAATTAAGTTTCTGAGAATGCTTCCGTCTAGTTTTTATGGGAAGATATTTCCTTTTTCAACATAGGCCTGAAAGCGCTCCAAATGTCCACTTCCAGATACTACAAAAAGAGTGTTTCAAATCTGCTCTATGAATGGGAATGTTCTACTCTGTGACTTGCATGCAACATCCCAAAGAAATTTCTGAGAATGCTTCTGTCTAGAGTATATCTGAAGACATACCCGTTTCCAACGAAATCCTCAAAGCTATCCAAATATCCTCTTGCAGATTCTACAAAAAGTGTGTTTCAAAGCTGCTCTTTGCAAAGAAAGGTTCAACTCTGTCAGTAGAGGGCACACATCACGAACAAGTTTCTGAGAATGCTTCTGTCTGGTTTTTATGGGAAGATATTTCCTTTTTCACGTTACGCCTGAAAGCACGCCAAATGTTCACTTATAGACACTACAAAAAGAGTGTTTCAAACCTGCTCTGTGAAAGGGAATGTTCAACACTGTGACTTCAATTGAAACATCCCAAAGAAGTTTCTGAGAATGCTTCTGTCTAGAGTTTATCTGAAGACATTCCCGTTTCCCAAGAAATCCTCAAAGCTATCCAAATATCCTCTTGCAGATTCTACAAAAAGAGGGTTTCAAAACTGCTCTTTGCAAAGAAAGGTTCAACTCTGTCAGTAGAGGGCACACATCACAAACAAGTTTCTGAGAATGCTTCTGTCTAGTTTTTATGGGAAGATATTTCCTTTTTCACCTTAGGCCTGAAAGCAATCCAAATGTTCACTTACAGACACTACAAAAAGAGTGTTTCAAACCTGCTCTGTGAAAGGGAGTGTTCAATTCTGTGACTTGAATGCAAACATCACAAAGTAGTTTCTGACAATGCTGCTGTCTGCTTTTTATACATATTCCCGTTTCCAACGAAATCCTCCAAGCTGGCCTAATACCCACTTGCATATTCCACAAAAAGAGTGTTTCAAAACTGCTCTCTCAAAAGAAAGGTTCAACTCTGTTTGCTGAGTAGATACATCATGGAAAAATTTCTGACATTGCTTCTATCTAGTTTTTATTGGAAGATATCTCCTTTTTCACCGTAGACCTGAAAGCGCTCCAAATGTCCACTTCCAGATAGTACAAAAAGAGTGTTTCAAACCTGCTCTATGAATGGGAATGTTCAACACTGGGACTTCAATTGAAACATCCCAAAGCAGTTTCTGAGAATGCTTCTGTCTAGAGTTTACATGAAGACATTCCCGTTTCCAACGAAATCCTCAAAGCTATCCAAATATCCTCTTGCAGATTTTACAAAAAGTGTGTTTCAGAACTGCTCTATCAAAACAAAGGTTCAACACTGTCAGTTGAGTGCACACATCACAAATAAGTTTCTGAGAATGCTTCTGTCTAGTTTTCATGGGAAGATATTTCCTTTTTCACCATAGGCCTGAAAGCGATCCAAATGTCCACATCCAGATACTACAAAAAGAGTGTTTCCAACCTGCTCTATGAAAGGGAATGCTCAACTCTGTGAATTGAATGCAGACATCACAAAGAAGTTTCTGAGAATGCTGCTGTCTCCTTTTTATATGTAATCCCGTTTCCAACGAAATCCTCAAAGCTAGCCAAATATCCACTTGCAGATTCCACGAAAACAGTGTTTCAAAACTGCTCCTTCAAAACGATGGTTCAATCCTGTTAGTTGAGCAAACACATCACAAATAAGTTTCTGAGAATGCTTCCGTCTAGTTTTTATGGGAAGATATTTCCTTTTTCAACATAGGCCTGAAAGCGCTCCAAATGTCCACTTCCAGATACTACAAAAAGAGTGTTTCAAATCTGCTCTATGAATGGGAATGTTCTACTCTGTGACTTGAATGCAACATCCCAAAGAAGTTTCTGAGAATGCTTCTGTCTAGAGTTTATCTGAAGACATACCCGTTTCCAACGAAATCCTCCAAGCTATCCAAATATCCTCTTGCAGATTCTACAAAAAGAGTGTTTCAAAGCTGCTCTTTGCAAAGAAAGGTTCAACTCTGTCAGTAGAGGGGACACATCAAGAACAAGTTTCTGAGAATGCTTCTGTCTAGTTTTTATGGGAAGATATTTCCTTTTTCACGTTAGGCCTGAAAGCACGCCAAATGTTCACTTATAGACACTACAAAAAGAGTGTTTCAAACCTGCTCTGTGAAAGGGAATGTTCAACACTGTGACTTCAATTGAAACATCCCAAAGAAGTTTCTGAGAATGCTTCTGTCTAGAGTTTATCTGAAGACATTCCCGTTTCCCAAGAAATCCTCAAAGCTATCCAAACATCCTCTTGCAGATTCTACAAAAAGAGTGTTTCAAAACTGCTCTTTGCAAAGAAAGGTTCAACTCTGTCAGTAGAGGGCACACATCACAAACAAGTTTCTGAGAATGCTTCTGTCTAGTTTTTATGGGAAGATATTTCCTTTTTCACCTTAGGCCTGAAAGCAATCCATATGTTCACTTACAGACACTACAAAAAGAGTGTTTCAAACCTGCTCTGTGAAAGGGAGTGTTCAATTCTGTGACTTGAATGCAAACATCACAAAGTAGTTTCTGACAATGCTGCTGTCTGCTTTTTATACGTATTCCCGTTTCCAACGAAATCCTCCAAGCTGGCCTAATACCCACTTGCATATTCCACAAAAAGAGTGTTTCAAAACTGCTCTCTCAAAAGAAAGGTTCAACTCTGTTTGCTGAGTAGATACATCATGAAAAAAGTTCTGACATTGCTTCTATCTAGTTTTTATTGGAAGATATCTCCTTTTTCACCGTAGACCTGAAAGCGCTCCAAATGTCCACTTCCAGATAGTACAAAAAGAGTGTTTCAAACCTGCTCTATGAAAGGGAATGTTCAACACTGGGACTTCAATTGAAACATCCCAAAGCAGTTTCTGAGAATGCTTCTGTCTAGAGTTTACATGAAGACATTCCCGTTTCCAACGAAATCCTCAAAGCTATGCAAATATCCTCTTGCAGATTTTACAAAAAGTGTGTTTCAGAACTGCTCTATCAAAACAAAGGTTCAACACTGTCAGTTGAGGGCACACATCACAAATAAGTTTCTGAGAATGCTGCTGTCTGCTTTTTGTATGTAATCCCGTTTCCAACGAAATCCTCCCAGCTAGCCAAATATCCACTTGCAGATTCCGCACAAAGAGTGTTTCAAAACTGCTCCTTCAAAACGATGGTTTAGTTCTGTTAGTTGAGTACATACATCACAGATAAGTTTCTGAGAATGCTTCTGTCTAGTTTTTATGGGAGGATATTTCCTTTTCCAACACAAGCCTGAATGCGCTCCGAATGGACACTTCCAGATATGACAAAAGGCGTGTTTCAAACCTGCTCTCTCAAAGGGAATGTTCAACTCTGTGACTTCAATGCAAACATCACAAAGAAGTTTCTGAGAATGCTGCTGTCTGCTTTTTACATGTATTCCCGTTTCCAACGAAATCCTCAAAGCTGCCCTAATATCCACTTGCATATTCCACAAAAAGAGTGTTGCAAAACTGCTCTCTCAAAAGAAAGGTTCAACTCTGTTAGCTGAGTAGATCCATCACAGAAAAGTTTCTGACATTGCTTCTATCTAGATTTTCTTGGAAGATATTTCCATTTTCACCGTCCTCCTGAAAGCGCTCCAAATGTCCACTTCCAGGGAATGCAGAAAGAGTGTTTCCAACCTGCTCTATAAAAGGGAATGTTCAACACTGGGACTTCAATCGAAACATCCCAACGAAGTTTCTGAGAATGCTTCTGTCTAGAGTTTATATGAAGCCATTCCCGTTTGCAACGAAATCCTCAAAGCTATCCAAATATCCTCTTGCAGATTTTACAAAAAGAGTGTTTCAAAACTGCTCTATCAAAAGAAAGGTTCAACTCTGTTAGTTGAGGGCACACATCACAAATAAATTTCTGAGAATGCTTCTGTCTAGTTTTCATGGGAAGATATTTCCTTTTTCACCATAGGCCTGAAAGCGATCCAAATGTCCACATCCAGATACTACAAAAAGAGTGTTTCAAACCTGCTCTATGAAAGGGAATGTTCAACTCTTTGACTTGAATGCAAACATCACAAAGAAGTTTCTGAGAATGCTGCTGTCTGCTTTTTGTATGTAATCCCGTTTCCAACGAAATCCTCCCAGCTAGCCAAATATCCACTTGCAGATTCCGCAAAAAGAGTGTTTCAAAACTGCTCCTTCAAAACGATGGTTTAGTTCTGTTAGTTGAGTACATACATCACAGATAAGTTTCTGAGAATGCTTCTGTCTAGTTTTTATGGGAGGATATTTCCTTTTTCAACTCAAGCCTGAATGCGCTCCGAATGGACACTTCCAGATATGACAAAAGGCGTGTTTCAAACCTGCTCTCTCAAAGGGAATGTTCAACTCTGTGACTTCAATGCAAACATCACAAAGAAGTTTCTGAGAATGCTGCTGTCTGCTTTTTACATGTATTCCCGTTTCCAACGAAATCCTCAAAGCTGCCCTAATATCCACTTGCATATTCCACAAAAAGAGTGTTGCAAAACTGCTCTCTCAAAAGAAAGGTTCAACTCTGTTAGCTGAGTAGATCCATCACAGAAAAGTTTCTGACGTTGCTTCTATCTAGATTTTCTTGGAAGATATTTCCATTTTCACCGTCGTCCTGAAAGCGCTCCAAATGTCCACTTCCAGGGAATGCAGAAAGAGTGTTTCCAACCTGCTCTATAAAAGGGAATGTTCAACACTGGGACTTCAATCGAAACATCCCAACGAAGTTTCTGAGAATGCTTCTGTCTAGAGTTTATATGAAGCCATTCCCGTTTGCAACGAAATCCTCAAAGCTATCCAAATATCCTCTTGCAGATTTTACAAAAAGAGTGTTTCAAAACTGCTCTATCAAAAGAAAGGTTCAACTCTGTTAGTTGAGGGCACACATCACAAATAAACTTCTGAGAATGCTTCTGTCTGGTTTTTATGGGAAGATATTTCCTTTTTCACCATAGGCCACAAAGCGCTCCAAATGTCCACTTCCAGATACTACAAAAAGAGTGTTTCAAACCTGCTCTATGAAAGGGAATGTTCAACTCTGTGACCTGAATGCAAACATCACAAAGAAATTTCTGAGAATGCTTCTGTCTAGAGTTTATATGAAGCCATTCCCGTTTGCAAAGAAATCCTCAAAGCTATCCAAATATCCTCTTGCAGATTTTACAAAAAGAGTGTTTCAAAACTGCTCTATCAAAAGAAAGGTTCAACTCTGTTATTTGAGGGCACACATCACAAATAAATTTCTGAGAATGCTTCTGTCTAGTTTTTATGGGAAGATATTTCCTTTTTCACCTTAGGCCTCAATGCGCTCCAAATGTGCACTTCCAGATACTACAAAAAGAGTGTTTCAAACCTGCTCTATGAAAGGGAATGTTCAACTCTGTGACTTGAATGCAAACATCACAGAGATGTTTCTGAGAATGCTTCTGTCTAGATTTTATATGAAGATATTCCCGTTTCCAACGAAATCCTCAAAGCTATCCAAATATCCACTTGCAGATTCTACAAAAAGAGTGTTTCAAAACTGCTCTATCAAAAGAATGGTTCAACTCTGTTACTTGAGTACACACATCACAAACTGGTCTCTGAGAATGCTTCCGTCTAGTTTTTATGGGAAGATATTTCCTTTTTCAACATAGGCCTGAAAGCGCTCCAAATGTCCACTTCCAGATACTACAAAAAGAGTGTTTCAAATCTGCTCTATGAATGGGAATGTTCTACTCTGTGACTTGAATGCAACATCCCAAAGAAGTTTCTGAGAATGCTTCTGTCTAGAGTTTATCTGAAGACATACCCGTTTCCAACGAAATCCTCCAAGCTATCCAAATATCCTCTTGCAGATTCTACAAAAAGAGTGTTTCAAAGCTGCTCTTTGCAAAGAAAGGTTCAACTCTGTCAGTAGAGGGGACACATCAAGAACAAGTTTCTGAGAATGCTTCTGTCTAGTTTTTATGGGAAGATATTTCCTTTTTCACGTTAGGCCTGAAAGCACGCCAAATGTTCACTTATAGACACTACAAAAAGAGTGTTTCAAACCTGCTCTGTGAAAGGGAATGTTCAACACTGTGACTTCAATTGAAACATCCCAAAGAAGTTTCTGAGAATGCTTCTGTCTAGAGTTTATCTGAAGACATTCCCGTTTCCCAAGAAATCCTCAAAGCTATCCAAATATCCTCTTGCAGATTCTACAAAAAGAGTGTTTCAAAACTGCTCTTTGCAAAGAAAGGTTCAACTCTGTCAGTAGAGGGCACATATCACAAACAAGTTTCTGAGAATGCTTCTGTCTAGTTTTTATGGGAAGATATTTCCTTTTTCACCTTAGGCCTGAAAGCAATCCAAATGTTCACTTACAGACACTACAAAAAGAGTGTTTCAAACCTGCTCTGTGAAAGGGAGTGTTCAATTCTGTGACTTGAATGCAAACATCACAAAGTAGTTTCTGACAATGCTGCTGTCTGCTTTTTATACGTATTCCCGTTTCCAACGAAATCCTCCAAGCTGGCCTAATACCCACTTGCATATTCCACAAAAAGAGTGTTTCAAAACTGCTCTCTCAAAAGTAAGGTTCAACTCTGTTTGCTGAGTAGATACATCATGAAAAAAGTTCTGACATTGCTTCTATCTAGTTTTTATTGGAAGATATCTCCTTTTTCACCGTAGACCTGAAAGCGCTCCAAATGTCCACTTCCAGATAGTACAAAAAGAGTGTTTCAAACCTGCTCTATGAAAGGGAATGTTCAACACTGGGACTTCAATTGAAACATCCCAAAGCAGTTTCTGAGAATGCTTCTGTCTAGAGTTTACATGAAGACATTCCCGTTTCCAACGAAATCCTCAAAGCTATCCAAATATCCTCTTGCAGATTTTACAAAAAGTGTGTTTCAGAACTGCTCTATCAAAACAAAGGTTCAACACTGTCAGTTGAGGGCACACATCACAAATAAGTTTCTGAGAATGCTGCTGTCTGCTTTTTGTATGTAATCCCGTTTCCAACGAAATCCTCCAAGCTAGCCAAATATCCAGTTGCAGATTCCGCAAAAAGAGTGTTTCAAAACTGCTCCTTCAAAACGATGGTTTAGTTCTGTTAGTTGAGTACATACATCACAAATAAGTTTCTGAGAATGCTTCTGTCTAGTTTTTATGGGAGGATATTTCCTTTTTCAACACAAGCCTGAATGCGCTCCGAATGGACACTTCCAGATATGACAAAAGGCGTGTTTCAAACCTGCTCTCTCAAAGGGAATGTTCAACTCTGTGACTTCAATGCAAACATCACAAAGAAGTTTCTGAGAATGCTGCTGTCTGCTTTTTACATGTATTCCCGTTTCCAACGAAATCCTCAAAGCTGCCCTAATATCCACTTGCATATTCCACAAAAAGAGTGTTGCAAAACTGCTCTCTCAAAAGAAAGGTTCAACTCTGTTAGCTGAGTAGATCCATCACATAAAAGTTTCTGACGTTGCTTCTATCTAGATTTTCTTGGAAGATATTTCCATTTTCACCGTCGTCCTGAAAGCGCTCCAAATGTCCACTTCCAGGGAATGCAGAAAGAGTGTTTCCAACCTGCTCTATAAAAGGGAATGTTCAACACTGGGACTTCAATCGAAACATCCCAACGAAGTTTCTGAGAATGCTTTCTGTCTAGAGTTTATATGAAGCCATTCCCGTTTGCAACGAAATCCTCAAAGCTATCCAAATATCCTCTTGCAGATTTTACAAAAAGAGTGTTTCAAAACTGCTCTATCAAAAGAAAGGTTCAACTCTGTTAGTTGAGGGCACACATCACAAATAAACTTCTGAGAATGCTTCTGTCTAGTTTTTACGGGAAGATATTTCCTTTTTCACCATACGCCTGAAAGCGCTCCAAATGTCCTCATCCAGATACTACAAAAAGAGTGTTTCCAACCTGCTGCTATGAAAGGGAATGCTCAACTCTGTGACTTGAATGCAGACATCACAAAGAAGTTTCTGAGAATGCTGCTGTCTCCTTTTTATATGTAATCCCGTTTCCAACGAAATCCTCAAAGCTAGCCAAATATCCACTTGCAGATTCCACGAAAACAGTGTTTCAAAACTGCTCCTTCAAAACGATGGTTCAATTCTGTTAGTTGAGCAAACACAGTCACAAGTAAGTTTCTGAGAATGCTTCCGTCTAGTTTTTATGGGAAGATATTTCCTTTTTCAACATAGGCCTGAAAGCGCTCCAAATGTCCACTTCCAGATACTACAAAAAGAGTGTTTCAAATCTGCTCTATGAATGGGAATGTTCTACTCTGTGACTTGAATGCAACATCCCAAAGAAGTTTCTGAGAATGCTTCTGTCTAGAGTTTATCTGAAGACATACCCGTTTCCAACGAAATCCTCAAAGCTATCCAAATATCCTCTTGCAGATTCTACAAAAAGAGTGTTTCAAAGCTGCTCTTTGCAAAGAAAGGTTCAACTCTGTCAGTAGAGGGCACACATCACGAACAAGTTTCTGAGAATGCTTCTGTCTAGTTTTTATGGGAAGATATTTCCTTTTTCACCTTAGGCCTGAAAGCACGACAAATGTTCACTTATAGACACTACAAAAAGAGTGTTTCAAACCTGCTCTGTGAAAGGGAATGTTCAACACTGTGACTTCAATTGAAATATCCCAAAGAAGTTTCTGAGAATGCTTCTGTCTAGAGTTTATCTGAAGACATTCCCGTTTCCCAAGAAATCCTCAAAGCTATCCAAATATCCTCTTGCAGATTCTACAAAAAGAGTGTTTCAAAACTGCTCTTTGCAAAGAAAGGTTCAACTCTGTCAGTAGAGGGCACACATCACAAACAAGTTTCTGAGAATGCTTCTGTCTAGTTTTTATGGGAAGATATTTCCTTTTTCACCTTAGGCCTGAAAGCAATCCAAATGTTCACTTACAGACACTACAAAAAGAGTGTTTCAAACCTGCTCTGTGAAAGGGAGTGTTCAATTCTGTGACTTGAATGCAAATATCACAAAGTAGTTTCTGACAATGCTGCTGTCTGCTTTTTATACGTATTCCCGTTTCCAAGGAAATCCTCCAAGCTGGCCTAATACCCACTTGCATATTCCACAAAAAGAGTGTTTCAAAACTGCTCTCTCAAAAGAAAGGTTCAACTCTGTTTGCTGAGTAGATACATCATGAAAAAAGTTCTGACATTGCTTCTATCTAGTTTTTATTGGAAGATATCTCCTTTTTCACCGTAGACCTGAAAGCGCTCCAAATGTCCACTTCCAGATAGTACAAAAAGAGTGTTTCAAACCTGCTCTATGAATGGGAATGTTCAACACTGGGACTTCAATCGAAACATCCCAACGAAGTTTCTGAGAATGCTTCTGTCTAGAGTTTATATGAAGCCATTCCCGTTTGCAACGAAATCCTCAAAGCTATCCAAATATCATCTTGCAGATTTTACAAAAAGAGTGTTTCAAAACTGCTCTATCAAAAGAAAGGTTCAACTCTGTTAGTTGAGGGCACACATCAGAAATAAACTTCTGAGAATGCTTCTATCTAGTTTTCACGGGAAGATATTTCCTTTTTCACCATACGCCTGAAAGCGCTCCAAATGTCCTCATCCAGATACTACAAAAAGAGTGTTTCAAACCTGCTCTATGAAAGGGAATGTTCAACACTGGGACTTCAATTGAAACATCCCAAAGCAGTTTCTGAGAATGCTTCTGTCTAGAGTTTACATGAAGACATTCCCGTTTCCAACGAAATCCTCAAAGCTATCCAAATATCCTCTTGCAGATTTTACAAAAAGTGTGTTTCAGAACTGCTCTATCAAAACAAAGGTTCAACACTGTCAGTTGAGGGCACACATCACAAATAAGTTTCTGAGAATGCTTCTGTCTAGTTTTCATGGGAAGATATTTCCTTTTTCACCATAGGCCTGAAAGCGATCCAAATGTCCACATCCAGATACTACAAAAAGAGTGTTTCAAACCTGCTCTATGAAAGGGAATGTTCAACTCTGTGACTTGAATGCAAACATCACAAAGAAGTTTCTGAGAATGCTGCTGTCTGCTTTTTGTATGTAATCCCGTTTCCAACGAAATCCTCCCAGCTAGCCAAATATCCACTTGCAGATTCCGCAAAAAGAGTGTTTCAAAACTGCTCCTTCAAAACGATGGTTTAGTTCTGTTAGTTGAGTACATACATCACAGATAAGTTTCTGAGAATGCTTCTGTCTAGTTTTTCTGGGAGGATATTTCCTTTTTCAACACAAGCCTGAATGCGCTCCGAATGGACACTTCCAGATATGACAAAAGGCGTGTTTCAAACCTGCTCTCTCAAAGGGAATGTTCAACTCTGTGACTTCAATGTAAACATCACAAAGAAGTTTCTGAGAATGCTGCTGTCTGCTTTTTACATGTATTCCCGTTTCCAACGAAATCCTCAAAGCTGCCCTAATATCCACTTGCATATTCCACAAAAAGAGTGTTGCAAAACTGCTCTCTCAAAAGAAAGGTTCAACTCTGTTAGCTGAGTAGATCCATCACAGAAAAGTTTCTGACGTTGCTTCTATCTAGATTTTCTTGGAAGATATTTCCATTTTCACCGTCGTCCTGAAAGCGCTCCAAATGTCCACTTCCAGGGAATGCAGAAAGAGTGTTTCCAACCTGCTCTATAAAAGGGAATGTTCAACACTGGGACTTCAATCGAAACATCCCAACGAAGTTTCTGAGAATGCTTCTGTCTAGAGTTTATATGAAGCCATTCCCGTTTGCAACGAAATCCTCAAAGCTATCCAAATATCCTCTTGCAGATTTTACAAAAAGAGTGTTTCAAAACTGCTCTATCAAAAGAAAGGTTCAACTCTGTTAGTTGAGGGCACACATCACAAATAAACTTCTGAGAATGCTTCTGTCTAGTTTTTACGGGAAGATATTTCCTTTTTCACCATATGCCTGAAAGCGCTCCAAATGTCCTCATCCAGATACTACAAAAAGAGTGTTTCCAACTTGCTCTATGAAAGGGAATGCTCAACTCTGTGAATTGAATGCAGACATCACAAAGAAGTTTCTGAGAATGCTGCTGTCTCCTTTTTATATGTAATCCCGTTTCCAACGAAATCCTCAAAGCTAGCCAAATATCCACTTGCAGATTCCACGAAAACAGTGTTTCAAAACTGCTCCTTCAAAACGATGGTTCAATCCTGTTAGTTGAGCAAACACATCACAAATAAGTTTCTGAGAATGCTTCCGTCTAGTTTTTATGGGAAGATATTTCCTTTTTCAACATAGGCCTGAAAGCGCTCCAAATGTCCACTTCCAGATACTACAAAAAGAGTGTTTCAAATCTGCTCTATGAATGGGAATGTTCTACTCTGTGACTTGAATGCAACATCCCAAAGAAGTTTCTGAGAATGCTTCTGTCTAGAGTTTATCTGAAGACATACCCGTTTCCAACGAAATCCTCCAAGCTATCCAAATATCCTCTTGCAGATTCTACAAAAAGAGTGTTTCAAAGCTGCTCTTTGCAAAGAAAGGTTCAACTCTGTCAGTAGAGGGGACACATCAAGAACAAGTTTCTGAGAATGCTTCTGTCTAGTTTTTATGGGAAGATATTTCCTTTTTCACGTTAGGCCTGAAAGCACGCCAAATGTTCACTTATAGACACTACAAAAAGAGTGTTTCAAACCTGCTCCTGTGAAAGGGAATGTTCAACACTGTGACTTCAATTGAAACATCCCAAAGAAGTTTCTGAGAATGCTTCTGTCTAGAGTTTATCTGAAGACATTCCCGTTTCCCAGGAAATCCTCAAAGCTATCCAAATATCCTCTTGCAGATTCTACAAAAAGAGTGTTTCAAAACTGCTCTTTGCAAAGAAAGGTTTAACTCTGTCAGTAGAGGGCACACATCACAAACAAGTTTCTGAGAATGCTTCTGTCTAGTTTTTATGGGAAGATATTTCCTTTTTCACCTTAGGCCTGAAGCAATCCAAATGTTCACTTACAGACACTACAAAAAGAGTGTTTCAAACCTGCTCTGTGAAAGGGAGTGTTCAATTCTGTGACTTGAATGCAAACATCACAAAGTAGTTTCTGACAATGCTGCTGTCTTCTTTTTATACGTATTCCCGTTTCCAACGAAATCCTCCAAGCTGGCCTAATACCCACTTGCATATTCCACAAAAAGAGTGTTTCAAAACTGCTCTCTCAAAAGAAAGGTTCAACTCTGTTTGCTGAGTAGATACATCATGAAAAAAGTTCTGACATTGCTTCTATCTAGTTTTTATTGGAAGATATCTCCTTTTTCACCGTAGACCTGAAAGCGCTCCAAATGTCCACTTCCAGATAGTACAAAAAGAGTGTTTCAAACCTGCTCTATGAAAGGGAATGTTCAACACTGGGACTTCAATTGAAACATCCCAAAGCAGTTTCTGAGAATGCTTCTGTGTAGAGTTTACATGAAGACATTCCCGTTTCCAACGAAATCCTCAAAGCTATCCAAATATCCTCTTGCAGATTTTACAAAAAGTGTGTTTCAGAACTGCTCTATCAAAACAAAGGTTCAACACTGTCAGTTGAGGGCACACATCACCAATAAGTTTCTGAGAATGCTGCTCTCTGCTTTTTGTATGTAATCCCGTTTCCAACGAAATCCTCCCAGCTAGCCAAATATCCACTTGCAGATTCCGCAAAAAGAGTGTTTCAAAACTGCTCCTTCAAAACGATGGTTTAGTTCTGTTAGTTGAGTACATACATCACAGATAAGTTTCTGAGAATGCTTCTGTCTAGTTTTTATGGGAGGATATTTCCTTTTTCAACACAAGCCTGAATGCGCTCCGAATGGACACTTCCAGATATGACAAAAGGCGTGTTTCAAACCTGCTCTCTCAAAGGGAATGTTCAACTCTGTGACTTCAATGCAAACATCACAAAGAAGTTTCTGAGAATGCTGCTGTCTGCTTTTTACATGTATTCCCGTTTCCAACGAAATCCTCAAAGCTGCCCTAATATCCACTTGCATATTCCACAAAAAGAGTGTTGCAAAACTGCTCTCTCAAAAGAAAGTTTCAACTCTGTTAGCTGAGTAGATCCATCACAGAAAAGTTTCTGACATTGCTTCTATCTAGATTTTCTTGGAAGATATTTCCATTTTCACCGTCGTCCTGAAAGCGCTCCAAATGTCCACTTCCAGGGAATGCAGAAAGAGTGTTTCCAACCTGCTCTATAAAAGGGAATGTTCAACACTGGGACTTCAATCGAAACATCCCAACGAAGTTTCTGAGAATGCTTCTGTCTAGAGTTTATGTGAAGCCATTCTCGTTTGCAACGAAATCCTCAAAGCTATCCAAATATCCTCTTGCAGATTTTACAAAAAGAGTGTTTCAAAACTGCTCTATCAAAAGAAAGGTTCAACTCTGTTAGTTGAGGGCACACATCACAAATAAACTTCTGAGAATGCTTCTGTCTAGTTTTTACGGGAAGATATTTCCTTTTTCACCATAGGCCTGAAAGCGCTCCAAATGTCCTCATCCACATACTACAAAAAGAGTGTTTCCAACCTGCTCTATGAAAGGGAATGCTCAACTCTGTGAATTGAATGCAGACATCACAAAGAAGTTTCTGAGAATGCTGCTGTCTCCTTTTTATATGTAATCCCGTTTCCAACGAAATCCTCAAAGCTAGCCAAATATCCACTTGCAGATTCCACGAAAACAGTGTTTCAAAACTGCTCCTTCAAAACGATGGTTCAATCCTGTTAGTTGAGCAAACACATCACAAATAAGTTTCTGAGAATGCTTCCGTCTAGTTTTTATGGGAAGATATTTCCTTTTTCAACATAGGCCTGAAAGCGCTCCAAATGTCCACTTCCAGATACTACAAAAAGAGTGTTTCAAATCTGCTCTATGAATGGGAATGTTCTACTCTGTGACTTGAATGCAACATCCCAAAGAAGTTTCTGAGAATGCTTCTGTCTAGAGTTTATCTGAAGACATACCCGTTTCCAACGAAATCCTCCAAGCTATCCAAATATCCTCTTGCAGATTCTACAAAAAGTGTGTTTCAAAGCTGCTCTTTGCAAAGAAAGGTTCAACTCTGTCAGTAGAGGGCACACATCACGAACAAGTTTCTGAGAATGCTTCTGTCTAGTTTTTATGGGAAGATATTTCCTTTTTCACGTTAGGCCTGAAAGCACGCCAAATGTTCACTTATAGACACTACAAAAAGAGTGTTTCAAACCTGCTCTGTGAAAGGGAATGTTCAACACTGTGACTTCAATTGAAATATCCCAAAGAAGTTTCTGAGAATGCTTCTGTCTAGAGTTTATCTGAAGACATTCCCGTTTCCCAAGAAATCCTCAAAGCTATCCAAATATCCTCTTGCAGATTCTACAAAAGGAGTGTTTCAAAACTGCTCTTTGCAAAGAAAGGTTCAACTCTGTCAGTAGAGGGCACACATCACAAACAAGTTTCTGAGAGTGCTTCTGTCTAGTTTTTATGGGAAGATATTTCCTTTTTCACCTTAGGCCTGAAAGCAATCCATATGTTCACTTACAGACACTACAAAAAGAGTGTTTCAAACCTGCTCTGTGAAAGGGAGTGTTCAATTCTGTGACTTGAATGCAAACATCACAAAGTAGTTTCTGACAATGCTGCTGTCTGCTTTTTATACGTATTCCCGTTTCCAACGAAATCCTCCAAGCTGGCCTAATACCCACTTGCATATTCCACAAAAAGAGTGTTTCAAAACTGCTCTCTCAAAAGAAAGGTTCAACTCTGTTTGCTGAGTAGATACATCATGAAAAAAGTTCTGACATTGCTTCTATCTAGTTTTTATTGGAAGATATCTCCTTTTTCACCGTAGACCTGAAAGCGCTCTAAATGTCCACTTCCAGATAGTACAAAAAGAGTGTTTCAAACCTGCTCTATGAAAGGGAATGTTCAACACTGGGACTTCAATTGAAACATCCCAAAGCAGTTTCTGAGAATGCTTCTGTCTAGAGTTTACATGAAGACATTCCCGTTTCCAACGAAATCCTCAAAGCTATCCAAATATCCTCTTGCAGATTTTACAAAAAGTGTGTTTCAGAACTGCTCTATCAAAACAAAGGTTCAACACTGTCAGTTGAGGGCACACATCACAAATAAGTTTCTGAGAATGCTTCTGTCTAGTTTTCATGGGAAGATATTTCCTTTTTCACCATAGGCCTGAAAGCGATCCAAATGTCCACATCCAGATACTACAAAAAGAGTGTTTCAAACCTGCTCTATGAAAGGGAATGTTCAACTCTGTGACTTGAATGCAAACATCACAAAGAAGTTTCTGAGAATGCTGCTCTCTGCTTTTTGTATGTAATCCCGTTTCCAACGAAATCCTCCCAGCTAGCCAAATATCCACTTGCAGATTCCGCAAAAAGAGTGTTTCAAAACTGCTCCTTCAAAACGATGGTTTAGTTCTGTTAGTTGAGTACATACATCACAGATAAGTTTCTGAGAATGCTTTCTGTCTAGTTTTTATGGGAGGATATTTCCTTTTTCAACACAAGCCTGAATGCGCTCCGAATGGACACTTCCAGATATGACAAAAGGCGTGTTTCAAACCTGCTCTCTCAAAGGGAATGTTCAACTCTGTGACTTCAATGCAAACATCACAAAGAAGTTTCTGAGAATGCTGCTGTCTGCTTTTTACATGTATTCCCGTTTCCAACGAAATCCTCAAAGCTGCCCTAATATCCACTTGCATATTCCACAAAAAGAGTGTTGCAAAACTGCTCTCTCAAAAGAAAGGTTCAACTCTGTTAGCTGAGTAGATCCATCACATAAAAGTTTCTGACGTTGCTTCTATCCAGATTTTATTGGAAGATATTTCCATTTTCACCGTCGTCCTGAAAGCGCTCCAATTGTCCACTTCCAGGGAATGCAGAAAGAGTGTTTCCAACCTGCTCTATAAAAGGGAATGTTCAACACTGGGACTTCAATCGAAACATCCCGACGAAGTTTCTGAGAATGCTTCTGTCTAGAGTTTATATGAAGCCATTCCCGTTTGCAACGAAATCCTCAAAGCTATCCAAATATCCTCTTGCAGATTTTACAAAATGAGTGTTTCAAAACTGCTCTATCAAAAGAAAGGTTCAACTCTGTTAGTTGAGGGCACACATCACAAATAAACTTCTGAGAATGCTTCTGTCTAGTTTTCATGGGAAGATATTTCCTTTTTCACCATAGGCCTGAAAGCGATCCAAATGTCCACATCCAGATACTACAAAAAGAGTGTTTCAAACCTGCTCTATGAAAGGGAATGCTCAACTCTGTGACTTGAATGCAAACATCACAAAGAAGTTTCTGAGAATGCTGCTGTCTGCTTTTTGTATGTAATCCCGTTTCCAACGAAATCCTCCCAGCTAGCCAAATATCCACTTGCAGATTCCGCAAAAAGAGTGTTTCAAAACTGCTCCTTCAAAACGATGGTTTAGTTCTGTTAGTTGAGTACATACATCACAGATAAGTTTCTGAGAATGCTTCTGTCTAGTTTTTATGGGAGGATATTTCCTTTTTCAACACAAGCCTGAATGCGCTCCGAATGGACACTTCCAGATATGACAAAAGGCGTGTTTCAAACCTGCTCTCTCAAAGGGAATGTTCAACTCTGTGACTTCAATGCAAACATCACAAAGAAGTTTCTGAGAATGCTGCTGTCTGCTTTTTACATGTATTCCCGTTTCCAACGAAATCCTCAAAGCTGCCCTAATATCCACTTGCATATTCCACAAAAAGAGTGTTGCAAAACTGCTCTCTCAAAAGAAAGGTTCAACTCTGTTAGCTGAGTAGATCCATCACAGAAAAGTTTCTGACGTTGCTTCTATCTAGATTTTCTTGGAAGATATTTCCATTTTCACCGTCGTCCTGAAAGCGCTCCAAATGTCCACTTCCAGGGAATGCAGAAAGAGTGTTTCCAACCTGCTCTATAAAAGGGAATGTTCAACACTGGGACTTCAATCGAAACATCCCAACGAAGTTTCTGAGAATGCTTCTGTCTAGAGTTTATATGAAGCCATTCCCGTTTGCAACGAAATCCTCAAAGCTATCCAAATATCCTCTTGCAGATTTTACAAAAAGAGTGTTTCAAAACTGCTCTATCAAAAGAAAGGTTCAACTCTGTTAGTTGAGGGCACACATCACAAATAAACTTCTGAGAATGCTTCTGTCTAGTTTTTACGGGAAGATATTTCCTTTTTCACCATACGCCTGAAAGCGCTCCAAATGTCCTCATCCAGATACTACACAAAGAGTGTTTCCAACCTGCTCTATGAAAGGGAATGCTCAACTCTGTGACTTGAATGCAGACATCACAAAGAAGTTTCTGAGAATGCTGCTGTCTCCTTTTTATATGTAATCCCGTTTCCAACGAAATCCTCAAAGCTAGCCAAATATCCACTTGCAGATTCCACGAAAACAGTGTTTCAAAACTGCTCCTTCAAAACGATGGTTCAATTCTGTTAGTTGAGCAAACACATCACAAGTAAGTTTCTGAGAATGCTTCCGTCTAGTTTTTATGGGAAGGTATTTCCTTTTTCAACATAGGCCTGAAAGCGCTCCAAATGTCCACTTCCAGATACTACAAAAAGAGTGTTTCAAATCTGCTCTATGAATGGGAATGTTCTACTCTGTGACTTGAATGCAACATCCCAAAGAAGTTTCTGAGAATGCTTCTGTCTAGAGTTTATCTGAAGACATACCCGTTTCCAACGAAATCCTCAAAGCTATCCAAATATCCTCTTGCAGATTCTACAAAAAGAGTGTTTCAAAGCTACTCTTTGCAAAGAAAGGTTCAACTCTGTCAGTAGAGGGCACACATCACGAACAAGTTTCTGAGAATGCTTCTGTCTAGTTTTTATGGGAAGATATTTCCTTTTTCACGTTAGGCCTGAAAGCACGCCAAATGTTCACTTATAGACACTACAAAAAGAGTGTTTCAAACCTGCTCTGTGAAAGGGAATGTTCAACACTGTGACTTCAATTGAAATATCCCAAAGAAGTTTCTGAGAATGCTTCTGTCTAGAGTTTATCTGAAGACATTCCCGTTTCCCAAGAAATCCTCAAAGCTATCCAAATATCCTCTTGCAGATTCTACAAAAAGAGTGTTTCAAAACTGCTCTTTGCAAAGAAAGGTTCAACTCTGTCAGTAGAGGGCACACATCACAAACAAGTTTCTGAGAATGCTTTCTGTCTAGTTTTTATGGGAAGATATTTCCTTTTTCACCTTAGGCCTGAAAGCAATCCATATGTTCACTTACAGACACTACAAAAAGAGTGTTTCAAACCTGCTCTGTGAAAGGGAGTGTTCAATTCTGTGACTTGAATGCAAACATCACAAAGTAGTTTCTGACAATGCTGCTGTCTACTTTTTATACGTATTCCCGTTTCCAACGAAATCCTCCATGCTGGCCTAATACCCACTTGCATATTCCACAAAAAGAGTGTTTCAAAACTGCTCTCTCAAAAGAAAGGTTCAACTCTGTTTGCTGAGTAGATACATCATGAAAAAAGTTCTGACATTGCTTCTATCTAGTTTTTATTGGAAGATATCTCCTTTTTCACCGTAGACCTGAAAGCGCTCCAAATGTCCACTTCCAGATAGTACAAAAAGAGTGTTTCAAACCTGCTCTATGAAAGGGAATGTTCAACACTGGGACTTCAATTGAAACATCCCAAAGCAGTTTCTGAGAATGCTTCTGTCTAGAGTTTACATGAAGACATTCCCGTTTCCAACGAAATCCTCAAAGCTATCCAAATATCCTCTTGCAGATTTTACAAAAAGTGTGTTTCAGAACTGCTCTATCAAAACAAAGGTTCAACACTGTCAGTTGAGGGCACACATCACAAATAAGTTTACTGAGAATGCTTGCTGTCTGCTTTTTGTATGTAATCCCGTTTCCAACGAAATCCTCCAAGCTAGCCAAATATCCAGTTGCAGATTCCGCAAAAAGGGTGTTTCAAAACTGCTCCTTCAAAACGATGGTTTAGTTCTGTTAGTTGAGTACATACATCACAAATGAGTTTCTGAGAATGCTTCTGTCTAGTTTTTATGGGAGGATATTTCCTTCTTCAACACAAGCCTGAATGCGCTCCGAATGGACACTTCCAGATATGACAAAAGGCGTGTTTCAAACCTGCTCTCTCAAAGGGAATGTTCAACTCTGTGACTTCAATGAAAAGATCACAAAGAAGTTTCTGAGAATGCTGCTGTCTGCTTTTTACATGTATTCCCGTTTCCAACGAAATCCTCAAAGCTGCCCTAATATCCACTTGCATATTCCACAAAAAGAGTGTTGCAAAACTGCTCTCTCAAAAGAAAGGTTCAACTCTGTTAGCTGAGTAGATCCATCACAGAAAAGTTTCTGACGTTGCTTCTATCCAGATTTTATTGGAAGATATTTCCATTTTCACCGTCGTCCTGAAAGCGCTCCAATTGTCCACTTCCAGGGAATGCAGAAAGAGTGTTTCCAACCTGCTCTATAAAAGGGAATGTTCAACACTGGGACTTCAATCGAAACATCCCAACGAAGTTTCTGAGAATGCTTCTGTCTAGAGTTTATATGAAGCCATTCCCGTTTGCAACGAAATCCTCAAAGCTATCCAAATATCCTCTTGCAGATTTTACAAAAAGAGTGTTTCAAAACTGCTCTATCAAAAGAAAGGTTCAACTCTGTTAGTTGAGGGCACACATCACAAATAAATTTCTGAGAATGCTTCTGTCTAGTTTTTACGGGAAGATATTTCCTTTTTCACCATACGCCTGAAAGCGCTCCAAATGTCCTCATCCAGATACTACAAAAAGAGTGTTTCCAACCTTCTCTATGAAAGGGAATGCTCAACTCTGTGACTTGAATGCAGACATCACAAAGAAGTTTCTGAGAATGCTGCTGTCTCCTTTTTATATGTAATCCCGTTTCCAACGAAATCCTCAAAGCTAGCCAAATATCCACTTGCAGATTCCACGAAAACAGTGTTTCAAAACTGCTCCTTCAAAACGATGGTTCAATTCTGTTAGTTGAGCAAACACATCACAAGTAAGTTTCTGAGAATGCTTCCGTCTAGTTTTTATGGGAAGATATTTCCTTTTTCAACATAGGCCTGAAAGCGCTCCAAATGTCCACTTCCAGATACTACAAAAAGAGTGTTTCAAATCTGCTCTATGAATGGGAATGTTCTACTCTGTGACTTGAATGCAACATCCCAAAGAAGTTTCTGAGAATGCTTCTGTCTAGAGTTTATCTGAAGACATACCCGTTTCCAACGAAATCCTCAAAGCTATCCAAATATCCTCTTGCAGATTCTACAAAAAGAGTGTTTCAAAGCTGCTCTTTGCAAAGAAAGGTTCAACTCTGTCAGTAGAGGGCACACATCACGAACAAGTTTCTGAGAATGCTTCTGTCTAGTTTTTATGGGAAGATATTTCCTTTTTCACGTTAGGCCTGAAAGCACGCCAAATGTTCACTTATAAACACTACAAAAAGAGTGTTTCAAACCTGCTCTGTGAAAGGGAATGTTCAACACTGTGACTTTAATTGAAATATCCCAAGAAGTTTCTGAGAATGCTTCTGTCTAGAGTTTATCTGAAGACATTCCCGTTTCCCAAGAAATCCTCAAAGCTATCCAAATATCCTCTTGCAGATTCTACAAAAAGAGTGTTTCAAAACTGCTCTTTGCAAAGAAAGGTTCAACTCTGTCAGTAGAGGGCACACATCACAAACAAGTTTCTGAGAATGCTTCTGTCTAGTTTTTATGGGAAGATATTTCCTTTTTCACCTTAGGCCTGAAAGCAATCCAAATGTTCACTTACAGACACTACAAAAAGAGTGTTTCAAACCTGCTCTGTGAAAGGGAGTGTTCAATTCTGTGACTTGAATGCAAACATCACAAAGTAGTTTCTGACAATGCTGCTGTCTGATTTTTATACGTATTCCCGTTTCCAACGAAATCCTCCAAGCTGGCCTAATACCCACTTGCATATTCCACAAAAAGAGTGTTTCAAAACGGCTCTCTCAAAAGAAAGGTTCAACTCTGTTTGCTGAGTAGATACATCATGAAAAAAGTTCTGACATTGCTTCTATCTAGTTTTTATTGGAAGATATCTCCTTTTTCACCGTAGACCTGAAAGCGCTCCAAATGTCCACTTCCAGATAGTACAAAAAGAGTGTTTCAAACCTGCTCTATGAAAGGGAATGTTCAACACTGGGACTTCAATTGAAACATCCCAAAGCAGTTTCTGAGAATGCTTCTGTCTAGAGTTTACATGAAGACATTCCCGTTTCCAACGAAATCCTCAAAGCTATCCAAATATCCTCTTGCAGATTTTACAAAAGGTGTGTTTCAGAACTGCTCTATCAAAACAAAGGTTCAACACTGTCAGTTGAGGGCACACCTCACAAATAAGTTTCTGAGAATGCTTCTGTCTAGTTTTCATGGGAAGATATTTCCTTTTTCACCATAGGCCTGAAAGCGATCCAAATGTCCACATCCAGATACTACAAAAAGAGTGTTTCAAACCTGCTCTATGAAAGGGAATGTTCAACTCTGTGACTTGAATGCAAACATCACAAAGAAGTTTCTGAGAATGCTGCTGTCTGCTTTTTGTATGTAATCCCGTTTCCAACGAAATCCTCCCAGCTAGCCAAATATCCACTTGCAGATTCCGCAAAAAGAGTGTTTCAAAACTGCTCCTTCAAAACGATGGTTTAGTTCTGTTAGTTGAGTACATACATCACAGATAAGTTTCTGAGAATGCTTCTGTCTAGTTTTTCTGGGAGGATATTTCCTTTTTCAACACAAGCCTGAATGCGCTCCGAATGGACACTTCCAGATATGACAAAAGGCGTGTTTCAAACCTGCTCTCTCAAAGGGAATGTTCAACTCTGTGACTTCAATGCAAACATCACAAAGAAGTTTTCTGAGAATGCTGCTGTCTGCTTTTTACATGTATTCCCGTTTCCAACGAAAACCTCAAAGCTGCCCTAATATCCACTTGCATATTCCACAAAAAGAGTGTTGCAAAACTGCTCTCTCAAAAGAAAGGTTCAACTCTGTTAGCTGAGTAGATCCATCACAGAAAAGTTTCTGACATTGCTTCTATCTAGATTTTCTTGGAAGATATTTCCATTTTCACCGTCGTCCTGAAAGCGCTCCAAATGTCCACTTCCAGGGAATGCAGAAAGAGTGTTTCCAACCTGCTCTATAAAAGGGAATGTTCAACACTGGGACTTCAATCGAAACATCCCAACGAAGTTTCTGAGAATGCTTCTGTCTAGAGTTTATATGAAGCCATTCCCGTTTGCAACGAAATCCTCAAAGCTATCCAAATATCCTCTTGCAGATTTTACAAAAAGAGTGTTTCAAAACTGCTCTATCAAAAGAAAGGTTCAACTCTGTTAGTTGAGGGCACACATCACAAATAAATTTCTGAGAATCTTCTGTCTAGTTTTTACGGGAAGATATTTCCTTTTTCACCATACGCCTGAAAGCGCTCCAAATGTCCTCATACAGATACTACAAAAAGAGTGTTTCCAACCTGCTCTATGAAAGGGAATGCTCAACTCTGTGACTTGAATGCAGACATCACAAAGAAGTTTCTGAGAATGCTGCTGTCTCCTTTTTATATGTAATCCCGTTTCCAACGAAATCCTCAAAGCTAGCCAAATATCCACTTGCAGATTCCACGAAAACAGTGTTTCAAAACTGCTCCTTCAAAACGATGGTTCAATTCTGTTAGTTGAGCAAACACATCACAAGTAAGTTTCTGAGAATGCTTCCGTCTAGTTTTTATGGGAAGATATTTCCTTTTTCAACATAGGCCTGAAAGCGCTCCAAATGTCCACTTCCAGATACTACACAAAGAGTGTTTCAAATCTGCTCTATGAAAGGGAATGTTCTACTCTGTGACTTGAATGCAACATCCCAAAGAAGTTTCTGAGAATGCTTCTGTCTAGAGTTTATCTGAAGACATACCCGTTTCCAACGAAATCCTCAAAGCTATCCAAATATCCTCTTGCAGATTCTACAAAAAGAGTGTTTCAAAGCTGCTCTTTGCAAAGAAAGGTTCAACTCTGTCAGTAGAGGGCACACATCACAAACAAGTTTCTGAGAATGCTTCTGTCTAGTTTTTATGGGAAGATATTTCCTTTTTCACGTTAGGCCTGAAAGCACGCCAAATGTTCACTTATAGACACTACAAAAAGAGTGTTTCAAACCTGCTCTGTGAAAGGGAATGTTCAACACTGTGACTTCAATTGAAACATCCCAAAGAAGTTTCTGAGAATGCTTCTGTCTAGAGCTTATCTGAAGACATACCCGTTTCCAACGAAATCCTCAAATCTATCCACATATCCTCTTGCAGATTCTACAAAAAGAGTGTTTCAAAGCTGCTCTTTGCAAAGAAAGGTTCAACTCTGTCAGTAGAGGGCACACATCACGAACAAGTTTCTGAGAATGCTTCTGTCTAGTTTTTATGGGAAGATATTTCCTTTTTCACGTTAGGCCTGAAAGCACGCCAAATGTTCAATTATAGACACTACAAAAAGAGTGTTTCAAACCTGCTCTGTGAAAGGGAATGTTCAACACTGTGACTTCAATTGAAACATCCCAAAGAAGTTTCTGAGAATGCTTCTGTCTAGAGTTTATCTGAAGACATTCCCGTTTCCCAAGAAATCCTCAAAGCTATCCAAATATCCTCTTGCAGATTCTACAAAAAGAGTGTTTCAAAACTGCTCTTTGCAAAGAAAGGTTCAACTCTGTCAGTAGAGGACACACATCACAAACAAGTTTCTGAGAATGCTTCTGTCTAGTTTTTATGGGAAGATATTTCCTTTTTCACCTTAGGCCTGAAAGCAATCCAAATGTTCACTTACAGACACTACAAAAAGAGTGTTTCAAACCTGCTCTGTGAAAGGGAGTGTTCAATTCTGTGACTTGAATGCAAACATCACAAAGTAGTTTCTGACAATGCTGCTGTCTGCTTTTTATACGTATTCCCGTTTCCAACGAAATCCTCCAAGCTGGCCTAATACCCACTTGCATATTCCACAAAAAGAGTGTTTCAAAACTGCTCTCTCAAAAGAAAGGTTCAACTCTGTTTGCTGAGTAGATACATCATGGAAAAAGTTCTGACATTGCTTCTATCTAGTTTTTATTGGAAGATATCTCCTTTTTCACCGTAGACCTGAAAGCGCTCCAAATGTCCACTTCCAGATAGTACAAAAAGAGTGTTTCAAACCTGCTCTATGAATGGGAATGTTCAACACTGGGACTTCAATTGAAACATCCCAAAGCAGTTTCTGAGAATGCTTCTGTGTAGAGTTTACATGAAGACATTTCCGTTTCCAACGAAATCCTCAAAGCTATCCAAATATCCTCTTGCAGATTTTACAAAAAGTGTGTTTCAGAACTGCTCTATCAAAACAAAGGTTCAACACTGTCAGTTGAGGGCACACATCACAAACAAGTTTCTGAGAATGCTTCTGTCTAGTTTTCATGGGAAGAAATTTCCTTTTTCACCATAGGCCTGAAAGCAATCCAAATGTCCACATCCAGATACTACAAAAAGAGTGTTTCAAACCTGCTCTATGAAAGGGAATGTTCAACTCTGTGACTTGAATGCAAACATCACAAAGAAGTTTACTGAGAATGCTGCTGTCTCCTTTTTATAGGTAATCCCGTTTCCAACGAAATCCTCAAAGCTAGCCAAATATCCACTTGCAGATTCCACGAAAACAGTATTTCAAAACTGCTCCTTCAAAACGATGGTTCAATTCTGTTAGTTGAGCAAACACATCAGAAATAAGTTTCTGAGAATGCTTCCGTCTAGTTTTTATGGGAAGATATTTCCTTTTTCAACATATGCCTGAAAGCGCTCCAAATGTCCACTTCCAGATACTACAAAAAGAGTGTTTCAAATCTGCTCTATGAATGGGAATGTTCTACTCTGTGACTTGAATGCAACATCCCAAAGAAGTTTCTGAGAATGCTTCTGTCTAGAGTTTATCTGAAGACATACCCGTTTCCAACGAAATCCTCAAAGCTATCCAAATATCCTCTTGCAGATCCTACAAAAAGAGTGTTTCAAAGCTGCTCTTTGCAAAGAAAGGTTCAACTCTGTCAGTAGAGGGCACACATCACAAACAAGTTTCTGAGAATGCTTCTGTCTAGTTTTTATGGGAAGATATTTCCTTTTTCACGTTAGGCCTGAAATCACGCCAAATGTTCACTTATAGACACTACAAAAAGAGTGTTTCAAACCTGCTCTGTGAAAGGGAATGTTCAACACTGTGACTTCAATTGAAACATCCCAAAGAAGTTTCTGAGAATGCTTCTGTCTAGAGTTTATCTGAAGACATTCCCGTTTCCCAAGAAATCCTCAAAGCTATCCAAATATCCTCTTGCAGATTCTACAAAAAGAGTGTTTCAAAACTGCTCTTTGCAAAGAAAGGTTCAACTCTGTCAGTAGAGGGCACACATCACAAACAAGTTTCTGAGAATGCTTCTGTCTAGTTTTTATGGGAAGATATTTCCTTTTTCACCTTAGGCCTGAAAGCAATCCAAATGTTCACTTACAGACACTACAAAAAGAGTGTTTCAAACCTGCTCTCTGAAAGGGAGTGTTCAATTCTGTGACTTGAATGCAAACATCACAAAGTAGTTTCTGACAATGCTGCTGTCTGCTTTTTATACGTATTCCCGTTTCCAACGAAATCCTCCAAGCTGGCCTAATACCCACTTGCATATTCCACAAAAAGAGTGTTTCAAAACTGCTCTCTCAAAAGAAAGGTTCAACTCTGTTTGCTGAGTAGATACATCATGAAAAAAGTTCTGACATTGCTTCTATCTAGTTTTTATTGGAAGATATCTCCTTTTTCACCGTAGACCTGAAAGCGCTCTAAATGTCCACTTCCAGATAGTACAAAAAGAATGTTTCAAACCTGCTCTATGAAAGGGAATGTTCAACACTGGGACTTCAATTGAAACATCCCAAAGCAGTTTCTGAGAATGCTTCTGTCTAGAGTTTACATGAAGACATTCCCGTTTCCAACGAAATCCTCAAAGCTATCCAAATATCCTCTTGCAGATTTTACAAAAAGTGTGTTTCAGAACTGCTCTATCAAAACAAAGGTTCAACACTGTCAGTTGAGGGCACACATCACAAATAAGTTTCTGAGAATGCTTCTGTCTAGTTTTCATGGGAAGATATTTCCTTTTTCACCATAGGCCTGAAAGCGATCCAAATGTCCACATCCAGATACTACAAAAAGAGTGTTTCAAACCTGCTCTATGAAAGGGAATGTTCAACTCTGCGACTTGAATGCAAACATCACAAAGAAGTTTCTGAGAATGCTGCTGTCTGCTTTTTGTATGTAATCCCGTTTCCAACGAAATCCTCCCAGCTAGCCAAATATCCACTTGCAGATTCCGCAAAAAGAGTGTTTCAAAACTGCTCCTTCAAAACGATGGTTTAGTTCTGTTAGTTGAGTACATACATCACAGATAAGTTTCTGAGAATGCTTCTGTCTAGTTTTTATGGGAGGATATTTCCTTTTCCAACACAAGCCTGAATGCGCTCCGAATGGACACTTCCAGATATGACAAAAGGCGTGTTTCAAACCTGCTCTCTCAAAGGGAATGTTCAACTCTGTGACTTCAATGCAAACATCACAAAGAAGTTTCTGAGAATGCTGCTGTCTGCTTTTTACATGTATTCCCGTTTCCAACGAAATCCTCAAAGCTGCCCTAATATCCACTTGCATATTCCACAAAAAGAGTGTTGCAAAACTGCTCTCTCAAAAGAAAGGTTCAACTCTGTTAGCTGAGTAGATCCATCACATAAAAGTTTCTGACATTGCTTCTATCTAGATTTTCTTGGAAGATATTTCCATTTTCACCGTCGTCCTGAAAGCGCTCCAAATGTCCACTTCCAGGGAATGCAGAAAGAGTGTTTCCAACCTGCTCTATAAAAGGGAATGTTCAACACTGGGACTTCAATCGAAACATCCCAACGAAGTTTCTGAGAATGCTTCTGTCTAGAGTTTATATGAAGCCATTCCCGTTTGCAACGAAATCCTCAAAGCTATCCAAATATCCTCTTGCAGATTTTACAAAAAGAGTGTTTCAAAACTGCTCTATCAAAAGAAAGGTTCAACTCTGTTAGTTGAGGGCACACATCACAAATAAACTTCTGAGAATGCTTCTGTCTAGTTTTTACGGGAAGATATTTCCTTTTTCACCATAGGCCTGAAAGCGCTCCAAATGTCCTCATCCAGATACTACAAAAAGAGTGTTTCCAACGTGCTCTATGAAAGGGAATGCTCAACTCTGTGAATTGAATGCAGACATCACAAAGAAGTTTCTGAGAATGCTGCTGTCTCCTTTTTATAGGTAATCCCGTTTCCAACGAAATCCTCAAAGCTAGCCAAATATCCACTTGCAGATTCCACGAAAACAGGGTTTCAAAACTGCTCCTTCAAAACGATGGTTCAATTCTGTTAGTTGAGCAAACACATCAGAAATAAGTTTCTGAGAATGCTTCCGTCTAGTTTTTATGGGAAGATATTTCCTTTTTCAACATAGGCCTGAAAGCGCTCCAAATGTCCACTTCCAGATACTACAAAAAGAGTGTTTCAAATCTGCTCTATGAATGGGAATGTTCTACTCTGTGACTTGAATGCAACATCCCAAAGAAGTTTCTGAGAATGCTTCTGTCTAGAGTTTATCTGAAGACATACCCGTTTCCAACGAAATCCTCCAAGCTATCCAAATATCCTCTTGCAGATTCTACAAAAAGAGTGTTTCAAAGCTGCTCTTTGCAAAGAAAGGTTCAACTCTGTCTGTAGAGGGCACACATCACGAACAAGTTTCTGAGAATGCTTCTGTCTAGTTTTTATGGGAAGATATTTCCTTTTTCACGTTAGGCCTGAAAGCACGCCAAATGTTCACTTATAGACACTACAAAGAGAGTGTTTCAAACCTGCTCTGTGAAAGGGAATGTTCAAAACTGTGACTTCAATTGAAACATCCCAAAGAAGTTTCTGAGAATGCTTCTGTCTAGAGTTTATCTGAAGACATTCCCGTTTCCCAAGAAATCCTCAAAGCTATCCAAATATCCTCTTGCAGATTCTACAAAAAGAGTGTTTCAAAACTGCTCTTTGCAAAGAAAGGTTCAACTCTGTCAGTAGAGGGCACACATCACAAACAAGTTTCTGAGAATGCTTCTGTCTAGTTTTTATGGGAAGATATTTCCTTTTTCACCTTAGGCCTGAAAGCAATCCAAATGTTCACTTACAGACACTACAAAAAGAGTGTTTCAAACCTGCTCTGTGAAAGGGAGTGTTCAATTCTGTGACTTGAATGCAAACATCACAAAGTAGATTCTGACAATGCTGCTGTCTGCTTTTTATACGTATTCCCGTTTCCAACGAAATCCTCCAAGCTGGCCTAATACCCACTTGCATATTCCACAAAAATAGTGTTTCAAAACTGCTCCCTCAAAAGAAAGGTTCAACTCTGTTTGCTGAGTAGATACATCATGAAAAAAGTTCTGACATTGCTTCTATCTAGTTTTTATTGGAAGATATCTCCTTTTTCACCGTAGACCTGAAAGCGCTCCAAATGTCCACTTCCAGATAGTACAAAAAGAGTGTTTCAAACCTGCTCTATGAAAGGGAATGTTCAACACTGGGACTTCAATTGAAACATCCCAAAGCAGTTTCTGAGAATGCTTCTGTCCAGAGTTTACATGAAGACATTCCCGTTTCCAACGAAATCCTCAAAGCTATCCAAATATCCTCTTGCAGATTTTACAAAAAGTGTGTTTCAGAACTGCTCTATCAAAACAAAGGTTCAACACTGTCAGTTGAGGGCACACATCACAAATAAGTTTCTGAGAATGCTTCTGTCTAGTTTTCATGGGAAGATATTTCCTTTTTCACCATAGGCCTGAAAGCGATCCAAATGTCCACATCCAGATACTACAAAAAGAGTGTTTCAAACCTGCTCTATGAAAGGGAATGTTCAACTCTGTGACTTGAATGCACACATCACAAAGAAGTTTCTGAGAATGCTTGCTGTCTCCTTTTTATATGTAATCCCGTTTCCAACGAAATCCTCAAAGCTAGCCAAATATCCACTTGCAGATTCCACGAAAACAGTGTTTCAAAACTGCTCCTTCAAAACGATGGTTCAATCCTGTTTGTTGAGCAAACACATCACAAATAAGTTTCTGAGAATGCTTCCGTCTAGTTTTTATGGGAAGATATTTCCTTTTTCAACATAGGCCTGAAAGCGCTCCAAATGTCCACTTCCAGATACTACAAAAAGAGTGTTTCAAATCTGCTCTATGAATGGGAATGTTCTACTCTGTGACTTGAATGCAACATCCCAAAGAAGTTTCTGAGAATGCTTCTGTCTAGAGTTTATCTGAAGACATACCCGTTTCCAACGAAATCCTACAAGCTATCCAAATATCCTCTTGCAGATTCTACAAAAAGAGTGTTTCAAAGCTGCTCTTTGCAAAGAAAGGTTCAACTCTGTCAGTAGAGGGCACACATCACGAACAAGTTTCTGAGAATGCTTCTGTCTAGTTTTTATGGGAAGATATTTCCTTTTTCACGTTAGGCCTGAAAGCACGCCAAATGTTCACTTATAGACACTACAAAAAGAGTGTTTCAAACCTGCTCTGTGAAAGGGAATGTTCAACACTGTGACTTCAATTGAAATATCCCAAAGAAGTTTCTGAGAATGCTTCTGTCTAGAGTTTATCTGAAGACATTCCCGTTTCCCAAGTAAATCCTCAAAGCTATCCAAATATCCTCTTGCAGATTCTACAAAAAGAGTGTTTCAAAACTGGTCTTTGCAAAGAAAGGTTCAACTCTGTCAGTAGAGGGCACACATCACAAACAAGTTTCTGAGAATGCTTCTGTCTAGTTTTTATGGGAAGATATTTCCTTTTTCACGTTAGGCCTGAAAGCACGCCAAATGTTCACTTATAGACACTACAAAAAGAGTGTTTCAAACCTGCTCTGTGAAAGGGAGTGTTCAATTCTGTGACTTGAATGCAAACATCACAAAGTAGTTTCTGACAATGCTGCTGTCTGCTTTTTATACGTATTCCCGTTTCCAACGAAATCCTCCAAGCTGGCCTAATACCCACTTGCATATTCCACAAAAAGAGTGTTTCAAAACTGCTCTCTCAAAAGAAAGGTTCAACTCTGTTAGCTGAGTAGATACATCATGAAAAAAGTTCTGACATTGCTTCTATCTAGTTTTTATTGGAAGATATCTCCTTTTTCACCGTAGACCTGAAAGCGCTCCAAATGTCCACTTCCAGATAGTACAAAAAGAGTGTTTCAAACCTGCTCTATGAATGGGAATGTTCAACACTGGGACTTCAATTGAAACATCCCAAAGCAGTTTCTGAGAATGCTTCTGTGTAGAGTTTACATGAAGACATTCCCGTTTCCAACGAAATCCTCAAAGCTATCCAAATATCCTCTTGCAGATTTTACAAAAAGTGTGTTTCAGAACTGCTCTATCAAAACAAAGGTTCAACACTGTCAGTTGAGGGCACACATCACAAATAAGTTTCTGAGAATGCTGCTGTCTGCTTTTTGTATGTAATCCCGTTTCCAACGAAATCCTCCAAGCTAGCCAAATATCCACTTGCAGATTCCGCAAAAAGAGTGTTTCAAAACTGCTCCTTCAAAACGATGGTTTAGTTCTGTTAGTTGAGTACATACATCACAAATCAGTTTCTGAGAATGCTTCTGTCTAGTTTTTATGGGAGGATATTTCCTTTTTCAACACAAGCCTGAATGCGCTCCGAATGGACACTTCCAGATATGACAAAAGGCGTGTTTCAAACCTGCTCTCTCAAAGGGAATGTTCAACTCTGTGACTTCAATGCAAACATCACAAAGAAGTTTCTGAGAATGCTGCTGTCTGCTTTTTACATGTATTCCCGTTTCCAACGAAATCCTCAAAGCTGCCCTAATATCCACTTGCATATTCCACAAAAAGAGTGTTGCAAAACTGCTCTCTCAAAAGAAAGGTTCAACTCTGTTAGCTGAGTAGATCCATCACATAAAAGTTTCTGACATTGCTTCTATCTAGATTTTCTTGGAAGATATTTCCATTTTCACCGTCGTCCTGAAAGCGCTCCAAATGTCCACTTCCAGGGAATGCAGAAAGAGTGTTTCCAACCTGCTCTATAAAAGGGAATGTTCAACACTGGGACTTCAATCGAAACATCCCAACGAAGTTTCTGAGAATGCTTCTGTCTAGAGTTTATATGAAGCCATTCCCGTTTGCAACGAAATCCTCAAAGCTATCCAAATATCCTCTTGCAGATTTTACAAAAAGAGTGTTTCAAAACTGCTCTATCAAAAGAAAGGTTCAACTCTGTTAGTTGAGGGCACACATCACAAATAAATTTCTGAGAATGCTTCTGTCTAGTTTTCATGGGAAGATATTTCCTTTTTCACCATAGGCCTGAAAGCGATCCAAATGTCCACATCCAGATACTACAAAAAGAGTGTTTCAAACCTGCTCTATGAAAGGGAATGTTCAACTCTGTGACTTGAATGCTAACATCACAAAGAAGTTTCTGAGAATGCTGCTGTCTGCTTTTTGTATGTAATCCCGTTTCCAACGAAATCCTCCCAGCTAGCCAAATATCCACGTGCAGATTCCGCAAAAAGAGTGTTTCAAAACTGCTCCTTCAAAACGATGGTTTAGTTCTGTTAGTTGAGTACATACATCACAGATAAGTTTCTGAGAATGCTTCTGTCTAGTTTTTATGGGAGGATATTTCCTTTTTCAACACAAGCCTGAATGCGCTCCGAATGGACACTTCCAGATATGACAAAAGGCGTGTTTCAAACCTGCTCTCTCAAAGGGAATGTTCAACTCTGTGACTTCAATGCAAACATCACAAAGAAGTTTCTGAGAATGCTGCTGTCTGTTTTTTACATGTATTCCCGTTTCCAACGAAATCCTCAAAGCTGCCCTAATATCCACTTGCATATTCCACAAAAAGAGTGTTGCAAAACTGCTCTCTCAAAAGAAAGGTTCAACTCTGTTAGCTGAGTAGATCCATCACATAAAAGTTTCTGACGTTGCTTCTATCTAGATTTTATTGGAAGATATTTCCATTTTCACCGTCGTCCTGAAAGCGCTCCAAATGTCCACTTCCAGGGAATGCAGAAAGAGTGTTTCCAACCTGCTCTATAAAAGGGAATGTTCAACACTGGGACTTCAATCGAAACATCCCAACGAAGTTTCTGAGAATGCTTCTGTCTAGAGTTTATATGATGCCATTCCCGTTTGCAATGAAATCCTCAAAGCTATCCAAATATCCTCTTGCAGATTTTACAAAAAGAGTGTTTCAAAACTGCTCTATCAAAAGAAAGGTTCAACTCTGTTAGTTGAGGGCACACATCACAAATAAATTTCTGAGAATGCTTCTGTCTAGTTTTTACGGGAAGATATTTCCTTTTTCACCATAGGCCTGAAAGCGCTCCAAATGTCCTCATCCAGATACTACAAAAAGAGTGTTTCCAACCTGCTCTATGAAAGGGAATGCTCAACTCTGTGAATTGAATGCAGACATCACAAAGAAGTTTCTGAGAATGCTGCTGTCTCCTTTTTATATGTAATCCCGTTTCCAACGAAATCCTCAAAGCTAGCCAAATATCCACTTGCAGATTCCACGAAAACAGTGTTTCAAAACTGCTCCTTCAAAACGATGGTTCAATTCTGTTAGTTGAGCAAACACATCACAAGTAAGTTTCTGAGAATGCTTCCGTCTAGTTTTTATGGGAAGATATTTGCTTTTTCAACATAGGCCTGAAAGCGCTCCAAATGTCCACTTCCAGATACTACAAAAAGAGTGTTTCAAATCTGCTGTATGAATGGGAATGTTCTACTCTGTGACTTGAATGCAACATCCCAAAGAAGTTTCTGAGAATGCTTCTGTCTAGAGTTTATCTGAAGACATACCCGTTTCCAACGAAATCATCAAAGCTATCCAAATATCCTCTTGCAGATTCTACAAAAAGTGTGTTTCAAAGCTGCTCTTTGCAAAGAAAGGTTCAACTCTGTCAGTAGAGGGCACACATCACGAACAAGTTTCTGAGAATGCTTCTGTCTAGTTTTTATGGGAAGATATTTCCTTTTTCACGTTACGCCTGAAAGCACGCCAAATGTTCACTTATAGACACTACAAAAAGAGTGTTTCAAACCTGCTCTGTGAAAGGGAATGTTCAACACTGTGACTTCAATTGAAACATCCCAAAGAAGTTTCTGAGAATGCTTCTGTCTAGAGTTTATCTGAAGACATTCCCGTTTCCCAAGAAATCCTCAAAGCTATCCAAATATCCTCTTGCAGATTCTACAAAAAGAGTGTTTCAAAACTGCTCTTTGCAAAGAAAGGTTCAACTCTGTCAGTAGAGGGCACACATCACAAACAAGTTTCTGAGAATGCTTCTGTCTAGTTTTTATGGGAAGATATTTCCTTTTTCACCTTAGGCCTGAAAGCAATCCAAATGTTCACTTACAGACACTACAAAAAGAGTGTTTCAAACCTGCTACTGTGAAAGGGAGTGTTCAATTCTGTGACTTGAATGCAAACATCACAAAGTAGTTTCTGACAATGCTGCTGTCTGCTTTTTATACGTAATCCCGTTTCCAACGAAATCCTTCAAGCTGGCCTAATACCCACTTGCATATTCCACAAAAAGAGTGTTTCAAAACTGCTCTCTCAAAAGAAAGGTTCAACTCTGTTTGCTGAGTAGATACATCATGAAAAAAGTTCTGACATTGCTTCTATCTAGTTTTTATTGGAAGATATCTCCTTTTTCACCGTAGACCTGAAAGCGCTCCAAATGTCCACTTCCAGATAGTACAAAAAGAGTGTTTCAAACCTGCTCTATGAAAGGGAATGTTCAACACTGGGACTTCAATTGAAACATCCCAAAGCAGTTTCTGAGAATGCTTCTGTCTAGAGTTTACATGAAGACATTCCCGTTTCCAACGAAATCCTCAAAGCTATCCAAATATCCTCTTGCAGATTTTACAAAAAGTGTGTTTCAGAACTGCTCTATCAAAACAAAGGTTCAACACTGTCAGTTGAGGGCACACATCACAAATAAGTTTCTGAGAATGCTTCTGTCTAGTTTTCATGGGAAGATATTTCCTTTTTCACCATAGGCCTGAAAGCAATCCAAATGTCCACATCCAGATACTACAAAAAGAGTGTTTCAAACCTGCTCTATGAAAGGGAATGTTCAACTCTGTGACTTGAATGCAAACATCACAAAGAAGTTTCTGAGAATGCTGCTGTCTGCTTTTTGTATGTAATCCCGTTTCCAACGAAATCCTCCCAGCTAGCCAAATATCCACTTGCAGATTCCGCAAAAAGAGTGTTTCAAAACTGCTCCTTCAAAACAATGGTTTAGTTCTGTTAGTTGAGTACATACATCACAGATAAGTTTCTGAGAATGCTTCTGTCTAGTTTTTCTGGGAGGATATTTCCTTTTTCAACACAAGCCTGAATGCGCTCCGAATGGACACTTCCAGATATGACAAAAGGCGTGTTTCAAACCTGCTCTCTCAAAGGGAATGTTCAACTCTGTGACTTCAATGCAAACATCACAAAGAAGTTTCTGAGAATGCTGCTGTCTGCTTTTTACATGTATTCCCGTTTCCAACGAAATCCTCAAAGCTGCCCTAATATCCACTTGCATATTCCACAAAAAGAGTGTTGCAAAACTGCTCTCTCAAAAGAAAGGTTCAACTCTGTTAGCTGAGTAGATCCATCACATAAAAGTTTCTGACATTGCTTCTATCTAGATTTTCTTGGAAGATATTTCCATTTTCACCGTCGTCCTGAAAGCGCTCCAAATGTCCACTTCCAGGGAATGCAGAAAGAGTGTTTCCAACCTGCTCTATAAAAGGGAATGTTCAACACTGGGACTTCAATCGAAACATCCCAACGAAGTTTCTGAGAATGCTTCTGTCTAGAGTTTATATGAAGCCATTCCCGTTTACAACGAAATCCTCAAAGCTATCCAAATATCCTCTTGCAGATTTTACAAAAAGAGTGTTTCAAAACTGCTCTATCAAAAGAAAGGTTCAACTCTGTTAGTTGAGGGCACACATCACAAATAAACTACTGAGAATGCTTCTGTCTAGTTTTCATGGGAAGATATTTCCTTTTTCACCATAGGCCTGAAAGCGATCCAAATGTCCACATCCAGATACTACAAAAAGAGTGTTTCAAACCTGCTCTATGAAAGGGAATGTTCAACTCTGTGACTTGAGTGCAAACATCACAAAGAAGTTTCTGAGAATGCTGCTGTCTGCTTTTTGTATGTAATCCCGTTTCCAACGAAATCCTCCCAGCTAGCCAAATATCCACTTGCAGATTCCGCAAAAAGAGTGTTTCAAAACTGCTCCTTCAAAACGATGGTTTAGTTCTGTTAGTTGAGTACATACATCACAGATAAGTTTCTGAGAATGCTTCTGTCTAGTTTTTATGGGAGGATATTTCCTTTTACAACACAAGCCTGAATGCGCTCCGAATGGACACTTCCAGATATGACAAAAGGCGTGTTTCAAACCTGCTCTCTCAAAGGGAATGTTCAACTCTGTGACTTCAATGCAAACATCACAAAGAAGTTTCTGAGAATGCTGCTGTCTGCTTTTTACATGTATTCCCGTTTCCAACGAAATCCTCAAAGCTGCCCTAATATCCACTTGCATATTCCACAAAAAGAGTGTTGCAAAACTGCTCTCTCAAAAGAAAGGTTCAACTCTGTTAGCTGAGTAGATCCATCACAGAAAAGTTTCTGACATTGCTTCTATCTAGATTTTCTTGGAAGATATTTCCATTTTCACCGTCGTCCTGAAAGCGCTCCAAATGTCCACTTCCAGGGAATGCAGAAAGAGTGTTTCCAACCTGCTCTATAAAAGGGAATGTTCAACACTGGGACTTCAATCGAAACATCCCAACGAAGTTTCTGAGAATGCTTCTGTCTAGAGTTTATATTAAGCCATTCCCGTTTGCAACGAAATCCTCAAAGCTATCCAAATATCCTCTTGCAGATTTTACAAAAAGAGTGTTTCAAAACTGCTCTATCAAAAGAAAGGTTCAACTCTGTTAGTTGAGGGCACACATCACAAATAAACTTCTGAGAATGCTTCTGTCTAGTTTTTACGGGAAGATATTTCCTTTTTCACCATAGGCCTGAAAGCGCTCCAAATGTCCTCATCCAGATACTACAAAAAGAGTGTTTCCAACCTGCTCTATGAAAGGGAATGCTCAACTCTGTGAATTGAATGCAGACATCACAAAGAAGTTTCTGAGAATGCTGCTGTCTCCTTTTTATATGTAATCCCGTTTCCAACCAAATCCTCAAACTAGCCAAATATCCACTTGCAGATTCTACGAAAACATTGTTTCAAAACTGCTCCTTCAAAACGATGGTTCAATCCTGTTAGTTGAGCAAACACATCACAAGTAAGTTTCTGAGAATGCTTCCGTCTAGTTTTTATGGGAAGATATTTCCTTTTTCAACATAGGCCTGAAAGCGCTCCAAATGTCCACTTCCAGATACTACAAAAAGAGTGTTTCAAATCTGCTCTATGAATGGGAATGTTCTACTCTGTGACTTGAATGCAACATCCCAAAGAAGTTTCTGAGAATGCTTCTGTCTAGAGTTTATCTGAAGACATACCCGTTTCCAACGAAATCCTCAAAGCTATCCAAATATCCTCTTGCAGATTCTACAAAAAGAGTGTTTCAAAGCTGCTCTTTGCAAAGAAAGGTTCAACTCTGTCAGTAGAGGGCACACATCAAGAACAAGTTTCTGAGAACGCTTCTGTCTAGTTTTTATGGGAAGATATTTCCTTTTTCACGTTACGCCTGAAAGCACGCCAAATGTTCACTTATAGACACTACAAAAAGAGTGTTTCAAACCTGCTCTGTGAAAGGGAATGTTCAACACTGTGACTTCAATTGAAACATCCCAAAGAAGTTTCTGAGAATGCTTCTGTCTAGAGTTTATCTGAAGACATTCCCGTTTCCCAAGAAATCCTCAAAGCTATCCAAATATCCTCTTGCAGATTCTACAAAAAGAGTGTTTCAAAACTGCTCTTTGCAAAGAAAGGTTCAACTCTGTCAGTAGAGGGCACACATCACAAACAAGTTTCTGAGAATGCTTCTGTCTAGTTTTTATGGGAAGATATTTCCTTTTTCACCTTAGGCCTGAAAGCAATCCAAATGTTCACTTACAGACACTACAAAAAGAGTTTTTCAAACCTGCTCTGTGAAAGGGAGTGTTCAATTCTGTGACTTGAATGCAAATATCACAAAGTAGTTTCTGACAATGCTGCTGTCTGCTTTTTATACGTATTCCCGTTTCCAACGAAATCCTCCAAGCTGGCCTAATACCCACTTGCATATTCCACAAAAAGAGTGTTTCAAAACTGCTCTCTCAAAAGAAAGGTTCAACTCTGTTTGCTGAGTAGATACATCATGAAAAAAGTTCTGACATTGCTTCTATCTAGTTTTTATTGGAAGATATCTCCTTTTTCACCGTAGACCTGAAAGCGCTCCAAATGTCCACTTCCAGATACTACAAAAAGAGTGTTTCAAACCTGCTCTATGAAAGGGAATGTTCAACACTGGGACTTCAATAGAAACATCCCAAAGCAGTTTCTGAGAATGCTTCTGTCTAGAGTTTACATGAAGACATTCCCGTTTCCAACGAAATCCTCAAAGCTATCCAAATATCCTCTTGCAGATTTTACAAAAAGTGTGTTTCAGAACTGCTCTATCAAAACAAAGGTTCAACACTGTCAGTTGAGGGCACACATCACAAATAAGTTTCTGAGAATGCTTCTGTCTAGTTTTCATGGGAAGATATTTCCTTTTTCACCATAGGCCTGAAAGCGATCCAAATGTCCACATCCGGATACTACAAAAAGAGTGTTTCAAACCTGCTCTATGAAAGGGAATGTTCACCTCTGCGACTTGAATGCAAACATCACAAAGAAGTTTCTGAGAATGCTGCTGTCTGCTTTTTGTATGTAATCCCGTTTCCAACGAAATCCTCCAAGCTAGCCAAATATCCAGTTGCAGATTCCGCAAAAAGGGTGTTTCAAAACTGCTCCTTCAAAACGATGGTTTAGTTCTGTTAGTTGAGTACATACATCACAAATAAGTTTCTGTGAATGCTTCTGTCTAGTTTTTATGGGAGGATATTTCCTTTTTCAACACAAACCTGAATGCGCTCCGAATGGACACTTCCAGATATGACAAAAGGCGTGTTTCAAACCTGCTCTCTCAAAGGGAATGTTCAACTCTGTGACTTCAATGCAAACATCACAAAGAAGTTTCTGAGAATGCTGCTGTCTGCTTTTTACATGTATTCCCGTTTCCAACGAAATCCTCAAAGCTGCCCTAATATCCACTTGCATATTCCACAAAAAGAGTGTTGCAAAACTGCTCTCTCAAAAGAAAGGTTCAACTCTGTTAGCTGAGTAGATCCATCACATAAAAGTTTCTGACATTGCTTCTATCTAGATTTTATTGGAAGATATTTCCATTTTCACCATCGTCCTGAAAGCGCTACAAATGTCCACTTCCAGGGAATGCAAAAAGAGTGTTTCCAACCTGCTCTATAAAAGGGAATGTTCAACACTGGGACTTCAATCGAAACATCCCAACGAAGTTTCTGAGAATGCTTCTGTCTAGAGTTTATATGAAGCCATTCCCGTTTGCAACGAAATCCTCAAAGCTATCCAAATATCCTCTTGCAGATTTTACAAAAAGAGTGTTTCAAAACTGCTCTATCAAAAGAAAGGTTCAACTCTGTTAGTTGAGGGCACACATCACAAATAAATTTCTGAGAATGCTTCTGTCTAGTTTTTACGGGAAGATATTTCCTTTTTCACCATACGCCTGAAAGCGCTCCAAATGTCCTCATCCAGATACTACAAAAAGAGTGTTTCAAACCTGCTCTATGAAAGGGAATGTTCAACACTGGGACTTCAATTGAAACATCCCAAAGCAGTTTCTGAGAATGCTTCTGTCTAGAGTTTACATGAAGACATTCCCGTTTCCAACGAAATCCTCAAAGCTATCCAAATATCCTCTTGCAGATTTTACAAAAAGTGTGTTTCAGAACTGCTCTATCAAAACAAAGGTTCAACACTGTCAGTTGAGGGCACACATCACAAATAAGTTTCTGAGAATGCTTCTGTCTAGTTTTCATGGGAAGATATTTCCTTTTTCACCATAGGCCTGAAAGCGATCCAAATGTCCACATCCAGATACTACAAAAAGAGTGTTTCAAACCTGCTCTATGAAAGGGAATGTTCAACTCTGTGACTTGAATGCAAACATCACAAAGAAGTTTCTGAGAATGCTGCTGTCTGCTTTTTGTATGTAATCCCGTTTCCAACGAAATCCTCCCAGCTAGCCAAATATCCACTTGCAGATTCCGCAAAAAGAGTGTTTCAAAACTGCTCCTTCAAAACGATGGTTTAGTTCTGTTAGTTGAGTACATACATCACAGATAAGTTTCTGAGAATGCTTCTGTCTAGTTTTTCTGGGAGGATATTTCCTTTTTCAACACAAGCCTGAATGCGCTCCGAATGGACACTTCCAGATATGACAAAAGGCGTGTTTCAAACCTGCTCTCTCAAAGGGAATGTTCAACTCTGTGACTTCAATGCAAACATCACAAAGAAGTTTCTGAGAATGCTGCTGTCTGCTTTTTACATGTATTCCCGTTTCCAACGAAATCCTCAAAGCTGCCCTAATATCCACTTGCATATTCCACAAAAAGAGTGTTGCAAAACTGCTCTCTCAAAAGAAAGGTTCAACTCTGTTAGCTGAGTAGATCCATCACAGAAAAGTTTCTGACGTTGCTTCTATCTAGATTTTCTTGGAAGATATTTCCATTTTCACCGTCGTCCTGAAAGCGCTCCAAATGTCCACTTCCAGGGAATGCAGAAAGAGTGTTTCCAACCTGCTCTATAAAAGGGAATGTTCAACACTGGGACTTCAATCGAAACATCCCAACGAAGTTTCTGAGAATGCTTCTGTCTAGAGTTTATATGAAGCCATTCCCGTTTGCAACGAAATCCTCAAAGCTATCCAAATATCCTCTTGCAGATTTTACAAAAAGAGTGTTTCAAAACTGCTCTATCAAAAGAAAGGTTCAACTCTGTTAGTTGAGGGCACACATCACAAATAAACTTCTGAGAATGCTTCTGTCTAGTTTTTACGGGAAGATATTTCCTTTTTCACCATACGCCTGAAAGCGCTCCAAATGTCCTCATCCAGATACTACAAAAAGAGTGTTTCCAACGTGCTCTAGGAAAGGGAATGCTCAACTCTGTGAATTGAATGCAGACATCACAAAGAAGTTTCTGAGAATGCTGCTGTCTCCTTTTTATATGTAATCCCGTTTCCAACGAAATCCTCAAAGCTAGCCAAATATCCACTTGCAGATTCCACGAAAACAGTGTTTCAAAACTGCTCCTTCAAAAGGATGGTTCAATCCTGTTAGTTGAGCAAACTCATCACAATTAAGTTTCTGAGAATGCTTCCGTCTAGTTTTTATAGGAAGATATTTCCTTTTTCAACATAGGCCTGAAAGCGCTCCAAATGTCCACTTCCAGATAGTACAAAAAGAGTGTTTCAAATCTGCTCTATGAATGGGAATGTTCTACTCTGTGACTTGCATGCAACATCCCAAAGAAATTTCTGAGAATGCTTCTGTCTAGAGTTTATCTGAAGACATACCCGTTTCCAACGAAATCCTCAAAGCTATCCAAATATCCTCTTGCAGATTCTACAAAAAGTGTGTTTCAAAGCTGCTCTTTGCAAAGAAAGGTTCAACTCTGTCAGTAGAGGGCACACATCACGAACAAGTTTCTGAGAATGCTTCTGTCTAGTTTTTATGGGAAGATATTTCCTTTTTCACGTTAGGCCTGAAAGCACGCCAAATGTTCACTTATAGACACTACAAAAAGAGTGTTGCAAACCTGCTCTGTGAAAGGGAATGTTCAACACTGTGACTTCAATTGAAACATCCCAAAGAAGTTTCTGAGAATGCTTCTGTCTAGAGTTTATCTGAAGACATTCCCGTTTCCCAAGAAATCCTCAAAGCTATCCAAATATCCTCTTGCAGATTCTACAAAAAGAGTGTTTCAAAACTGGTCTTTGCAAAGAAAGGTTCAACTCTGTCAGTAGAGGGCACACATCACAAACAAGTTTCTGAGAATGCTTCTGTCTAGTTTTTATGGGAAGATATTTCCTTTTTCACCTTAGGCCTGAAAGCAATCCAAATGTTCACTTACAGACACTACAAAAAGAGTGTTTCAAACCTGCTCTGTGAAAGGGAGTGTTCAATTCTGTGACTTGAATGCAAACATCACAAAGTAGTTTCTGACAATGCTGCTTTCTGCTTTTTATACGTATTCCCGTTTCCAACGAAATCCTCCAAGCTGGCCTAATACCCACTTGCATATTCCACAAAGACAGTGTCAAAACTGCTCTCTCAAAACAAAGGTTCAACTCTGTTTGCTGAGTAGATACATCATGAAAAAAGTTCTGACATTGCTTCTATCTAGTTTTTATTGGAAGATATCTCCTTTTTCACCGTAGACCTGAAAGCGCTCCAAATGTCCACTTCCAGATAGTAGAAAAAGAGTGTTTCAAACCTGCTCTATGAATGGGAATGTTCAACACTGGGACTTCAATTGAAACATCCCAAAGCAGTTTCTGAGAATGCTTCTGTCTAGAGTTTACATGAAGACATTCCCGTTTCCAACGAAATCCTCAAAGCTATCCAAATATCCTCTTGCAGATTTTACAAAAAGTGTGTTTCAGAACTGCTCTATCAAAACAAAGGTTCAACACTGTCAGTTGAGGGCACACATCACAAATAAGTTTCTGAGAATGCTTCTGTCTAGTTTTCATGGGAAGATATTTCCTTTTTCACCATAGGCCTGAAAGCGATCCAAATGTCCACATCCAGATACTACAAAAAGAGTGTTTCAAACCTGCTCTATGAAAGGGAATGTTCAACTCTGTGACTTGAATGCAAACATCACAAAGAAGTTTCTGAGAATGCTGCTGTCTGCTTTTTGTATGTAATCCCGTTTCCAACGAAATCCTCCCAGCTAGCCAAATATCCACTTGCAGATTCCGCAAAAAGAGTGTTTCAAAACTGCTCCTTCAAAACGATGGTTTAGTTCTGTTAGTTGAGTACATACATCACAGATAAGTTTCTGAGAATGCTTCTGTCTAGTTTTTATGGGAGGATATTTCCTTTTTCAACACAAGCCTGAATGCGCTCCGAATGGACACTTCCAGATATGACAAAAGGCGTGTTTCAAACCTGCTCTCTCAAAGGGAATGTTCAACTCTGTGACTTCAATGCAAACATCACAAAGAAGTTTCTGAGAATGCTGCTGTCTGCTTTTTACATGTATTCCCGTTTCCAACGAAATCCTCAAAGCTGCCCTAATATCCACTTGCATATTCCACAAAAAGAGTGTTGCAAAACTGCTCTCTCAAAAGAAAGGTTCAACTCTGTTAGCTGAGTAGATCCATCACATAAAAGTTTCTGACGTTGCTTCTATCTAGATTTTATTGGAAGATATTTCCATTTTCACCGTCGTCCTGAAAGCGCTCCAAATGTCCACTTCCAGGGAATGCAGAAAGAGTTTTTCCAACCTGCTCTATAAAAGGGAATGTTCAACACTGGGACTTCAATCGGAAACATCCCAACGAAGTTTCTGAGAATGCTTCTGTCTAGAGTTTATATGAAGCCATTCCCGTTTGCAATGAAATCCTCAAAGCTATCCAAATATCCTCTTGCAGATTTTACAAAAAGAGTGTTTCAAAACTGCTCTATCAAAAGAAAGGTTCAACTCTGTTAGTTGAGGGCACACATCACAAATAAATTTCTGAGAATGCTTCTGTCTAGTTTTTACGGGAAGATATTTCCTTTTTCACCATACGCCTGAAAGCGCTCCAAATGTCCTCATCCAGATACTACAAAAAGAGTGTTTCCAACCTGCTCTATGAAAGGGAATGCTCAACTCTGTGACTTGAATGCAGACATCACAAAGAAGTTTCTGAGAATGCTGCTGTCTCCTTTTTATATGTAATCCCGTTTCCAACCAAATCCTCAAACTAGCCAAATATCCACTTGCAGATTCTACGAAAACATTGTTTCAAAACTGCTCCTTCAAAACGATGGTTCAATCCTGTTAGTTGAGCAAACACATCACAAGTAAGTTTCTGAGAATGCTTCCGTCTAGTTTTTATGGGAAGATATTTCCTTTTTCAACATGGGCCTGAAAGCGCTCCAAATGTCCACTTCCAGATACTACAAAAAGAGTGTTTCAAATCTGCTCTATGAATGGGAATGTTCTACTCTGTGACTTGAATGCAACATCCCAAAGAAGTTTCTGAGAATGCTTCTGTCTAGAGTTTATCTGAAGACATACCCGTTTCCAACGAAATCCTCAAAGCTATCCAAATATCCTCTTGCAGATTCTACAAAAAGTGTGTTTCAAAGCTGGTCTTTGCAAAGAAAGGTTCAACTCTGTCAGTAGAGGGCACACATCACGAACAAGTTTCTGAGAATGCTTCTGTCTAGTTTTTATGGGAAGATATTTCCTTTTTCACGTTAGGCCTGAAAGCACGCCAAATGTTCACTTATAGACACTACAAAAAGAGTGTTTGAAACCTGCTCTGTGAAAGGGAATGTTCAACACTGTGACTTCAATTGAAACATCCCAAAGAAGTTTCTGAGAATGCTTCTGTCTAGAGTTTATCTGAAGACATTCCCGTTTCCCAAGAAATCCTCAAAGCTATCCAAATATCCTCTTGCAGATTCTACAAAAAGAGTGTTTCAAAACTGCTCTTTGCAAAGAAAGGTTCAACTCTGTCAGTAGAGGGCACACATCACAAACAAGTTTCTGAGAATGCTTCTGTCTAGTTTTTATGGGAAGATATTTCCTTTTTCACCTTAGGCCTGAAATCAATCCAAATGTTCACTTACAGACACTACAAAAAGAGAGTTTCAAACCTGCTCTGTGAAAGGGAGTGTTCAATTCTGTGACTTGAATGCAAACATCACAAAGTAGTTTCTGACAATGCTGCTGTCTGCTTTTTATACGTATTCCCGTTTCCAACGAAATCCTCCAAGCTGGCCTAATACCCACTTGCATATTCCACCAAAAGAGTGTTTCAAAACTGCTCTCTCAAAAGAAAGGTTCAACTCTGTTTGCTGAGTAGATACATCATGAAAAAAGTTCTGACATTGCTTCTATCTAGTTTTTATTGGAAGATATCTCCTTTTTCACCGTAGACCTGAAAGCGCTCCAAATGTCCACTTCCAGATACTACAAAAAGAGTGTTTCAAACCTGCTCTATGAAAGGGAATGTTCAACACTGGGACTTCAATTGAAACATCCCAAAGCATTTTCTGAGAATGCTTCTGTCTAGAGTTTACATGAAGACATTCCCGTTTCCAACGAAATCCTCAAAGCTATCCAAATATCCTCTTGCAGATTTTACAAAAAGTGTGTTTCAGAACTGCTCTATCAAAACAAAGGTTCAACACTGTCAGTTGAGGGCACACATCACAAATAAGTTTCTGAGAATGCTGCTGTCTGCTTTTTGTATGTAATCCCGTTTCCAACGAAATCCTCCCAGCTAGCCAAATATCCACTTGCAGATTCCGCAAAAAGAGTGTTTCAAAATTGCTCCTTCAAAACGATGGTTTAGTTCTGTTAGTTGAGTACATACATCACAGATAAGTTTCTGAGAATGCTTCTGTCTAGTTTTTATGGGAGGATATTTCCTTTTTCAACACAAGCCTGAATGCGCTCCGAATGGACACTTCCAGATATGACAAAAGGCGTGTTTCAAACCTGCTCTCTCAAAGGGAATGTTCAACTCTGTGACTTCAATGCAAACATCACAAAGAAGTTTCTGAGAATGCTGCTGTCTGCTTTTTACATGTATTCCCGTTTCCAACGAAATCCTCAAAGCTGCCCTAATATCCACTTGCATATTCCACAAAAAGAGTGTTGCAAAACTGCTCTCTCAAAAGAAAGGTTCAACTCTGTTAGCTGAGTAGATCCATCACAGAAAAGTTTCTGACGTTGCTTCTATCTAGATTTTCTTGGAAGATATTTCCATTTTCACCGTCGTCCTGAAAGCGCTCCAAATGTCCACTTCCAGGGAATGCAGAAAGAGTGTTTCCAACCTGCTCTATAAAAGGGAATGTTCAACACTGGGACTTCAATCGAAACATCCCAACGAAGTTTCTGAGAATGCTTCTGTCTAGAGTTTATATGAAGCCATTCCCGTTTGCAACGAAATCCTCAAAGCTATCCAAATATCCTCTTGCAGATTTTACAAAAAGAGTGTTTCAAAACTGCTCTATCAAAAGAAAGGTTCAACTCTGTTAGTTGAGGGCACACATCACAAATAAACTTCTGAGAATGCTTCTGTCTAGTTTTTACAGGAAGATATTTCCTTTTTCACCATAGGCCAGAAAGCGCTCTAAATGTCCTCATCCAGATACTACAAAAAGAGTGTTTCCAACCTGCTCTATGAAAGGGAATGCTCAACTCTGTGAATTGAATGCAGACATCACAAAGAAGTTTCTGAGAATGCTGCTGTCTCCTTTGTATATGTAATCCCATTTCCAACGAAATCCTCAAAGCTAGCCAAATATCCACTTGCAGATTCCACGAAAACAGTGTTTCAAAACTGCTCCTTCAAAACGATGGTTCAATCCTGTTAGTTGAGCAAACACATCACAAATAAGTTTCTGAGAATGCTTCCGTCTAGTTTTTATGGGAAGATATTTCCTTTTTCAACATAGGCCTGAAAGCGCTCCAAATGTCCACTTCCAGATACTACAAAAAGAGTGTTTCAAATCTGCTCTATGAATGGGAATGTTCTACTCTGTGACTTGAATGCAACATCCCAAAGAAGTTTCTGAGAATGCTTCTGTCTAGAGTTTATCTGAAGACATACCCGTTTCCAACGAAATCCTCAAAGCTATCCAAATATCCTCTGGCAGATTCTACAAAAAGAGTGTTTCAAAGCTGCTCTTTGCAAAGAAAGGTTCAACTCTGTCAGTAGAGGGCACACATCACGAACAAGTTTCTGAGAATGCTTCTGTCTAGTTTTTATGGGAAGATATTTCCTTTTTCACGTTAGGCCTGAAAGCACGCCAAATGTTCACTTATAGACACTACAAAAAGAGTGTTTCAAACCTGCTCCTGTGAAAGGGAATGTTCAACACTGTGACTTCAATTGAAACATCCCAAAGAAGTTTCTGAGAATGCTTCTGTCTAGAGTTTATCTGAAGACATTCCCGTTTCCCAAGAAATCCTCAAAGCTATCCAAATATCCTCTTGCAGATTCTACAAAAAGAGTGTTTCAAAACTGCTCTTTGCAAAGAAAGGTTCAACTCTGTCAGTAGAGGGCACACATCACAAACAAGTTTCTGAGAATGCTTCTGTCTAGTTTTTATGGGAAGATATTTCCTTTTTCACCTTAGGCCTGAAAGGAATCCAAATGTTCACTTACAGACACTACAAAAAGAGTGTTTCTAACCTGCTCTGTGAAAGGGAGTGTTCAATTCTGTGACTTGAATGCAAACATCACAAAGTAGTTTCTGACAATGCTGCTGTCTGCTTTTTATACGTATTCCCGTTTCCAACGAAATCCTCCAAGCTGGCCTAATACCCACTTGCATATTCCACAAAAAGAGTGTTTCAAAACTGCTCTCTCAAAAGAAAGGTTCAACTCTGTTTGCTGAGTAGATACATCATGAAAAAAGTTCTGACATTGCTTCTATCTAGTTTTTATTGGAAGATATCTCCTTTTTCACCGTAGACCTGAAAGCGCTCCAAATGTCCACTTCCAGATAGTACAAAAAGAGTGTTTCAAACGTGCTCTATGAAAGGGAATGTTCAACACTGGGACTTCAATTGAAACATCCCAAAGCAGTTTCTGAGAATGCATCTGTCTAGAGTTTACATGAAGACATTCCCGTTTCCAACGAAATCCTCAAAGCTATCCAAATATCCTCTTGCAGATTTTACAAAAAGTGTGTTTCAGAACTGCTCTATCAAAACAAAGGTTCAACACTGTCAGTTGAGGGCACACATCACAAATAAGTTTCTGAGAATGCTTCTGTCTAGTTTTCATGGGAAGATATTTCCTTTTTCACCATAGGCCTGAAAGCGATCCAAATGTCCACATCCAGATACTACAAAAAGAGTGTTTCAAACCTGCTCTATGAAAGGGAATGTTCAACTCTGCGACTTGAATGCAAACATCACAAAGAAGTTTCTGAGAATGCTGCTGTCTGCTTTTTTATGTAATCCCGTTTCCAACGAAATCCTCCAAGCTAGCCAAATATCCAGTTGCAGATTCCGCAAAAAGAGTGTTTCAAAACTGCTCCTTCAAAACGATGGTTTAGTTCTGTTAGTTGAGTACATACATCACAAATAAGTTTCTGAGAATGCTTCTGTCTAGTTTTTATGGGAGGATATTTCCTTTTTCAACACAAGCCTGAATGCGCTCCGAATGGACACTTCCAGATATGACAAAAGGCGTGTTGCAAACCTGCTCTCTCAAAGGGAATGTTCAACTCTGTGACTTCAATGCAAACATCACAAAGAAGTTTCTGAGAATGCTGCTGTCTCCTTTTTATATGTAATCCCGTTTCCAACGAAATCCTCAAAGCTAGCCAAATATCCACTTGCAGATTCCACGAAAACAGTGTTTCAAAACTGCTCCTTCAAAACGATGGTTCAATCCTGTTAGTTGAGCAAACACATCACAAATAAGTTTCTGAGAATGCTTCCGTCTAGTTTTTATGGGAAGATATTTCCTTTTTCAACATAGGCCTGAAAGCGCTCCAAATGTCCACTTCCAGATACTACAAAAAGAGTGTTTCAAATCTGCTCTATGAATGGGAATGTTCTACTCTGTGACTTGAATGCAACATCCCAAAGAAGTTTCTGAGAATGCTTCTGTCTAGAGTTTATCTGAAGACATCCCCGTTTCCAACGAAATCCTCAAAGCTATCCAAATATCCTCTTGCAGATTCTACAAAAAGAGTGTTTCAAAGCTGCTCTTTGCAAAGAAAGGTTCAACTCTGTCAGTTAGAGGGCACACATCAGGAACAAGTTTCTGAGAATGCTTCTGTCTGGTTTTTATGGGAAGATATTTCCTTTTTCACGTTACGCCTGAAAGCACGCCAAATGTTCACTTATAGACACTACAAAAAGAGTGTTTCAAACCTGCTCTGTGAAAGGGAATGTTCAACACTGTGACTTCAATTGAAACATCCCAAAGAAGTTTCTGAGAATGCTTCTGTCTAGAGTTTATCTGAAGACATTCCCGTTTCCCAAGAAATCCTCAAAGCTATCCAAATATCCTCTTGCAGATTCTACAAAAAGAGTGTTTCAAAACTGCTCTTTGCAAAGAAAGGTTCAACTCTGTCAGTAGAGGGCACACATCACAAACAAGTTTCTGAGAATGCTTCTGTCTAGTTTTTATGGGAAGATATTTCCTTTTTCACCTTAGGCCTGAAAGCAATCCAAATGTACACTTACAGACACTACAAAAAGAGTGTTTCAAACCTGCTCTGTGAAAGGGAGTGTTCAATTCTGTGACTTGAATGCAAACATCACAAAGTAGTTTCTGACAATGCTGCTGTCTGCTTTTTATACGTATTCCCGTTTCCAACGAAATCCTCCAAGCTGGCCTAATACCCACTTGCATATTCCACAAAAAGAGTGTTTCAAAACTGCTCTCTCAAAAGAAAGGTTCAACTCTGTTTGCTGAGTAGATACATCATGAAAAAAGTTCTGACATTGCTTCTATCTAGTTTTTATTGGAAGATATCTCCTTTTTCACCGTAGACCTGAAAGCGCTCCAAATGTCCACTTCCAGATAGTACAAAAAGAGTGTTTCAAACCTGCTCCTATGAAAGGGAATGTTCAACACTGGGACTTCAATTGAAACATCCCAAAGCAGTTTCTGAGAATGCTTCTGTCTAGAGTTTACATGAAGACATTCCCGTTTCCAACGAAATCCTCAAAGCTATCCAAATATCCTCTTGCAGATTTTACAAAAAGTGTGTTTCAGAACTGCTCTATCAAAACAAAGGTTCAACACTGTCAGTTGAGGGCACACATCACAAATAAGTTTCTGAGAATGTTTCGGTCTAGTTTTCATGGGAAGATATTTCCTTTTTCACCATAGGCCTGAAAGCGATCCAAATGTCCACATCCAGATACTACAAAAAGAGTGTTTCAAACCTGCTCTATGAAAGGGAATGTTCAACTCTGTGACTTGAATGCAAACATCACAAAGAAGTTTCTGAGAATGCTGCTGTCTGCTTTTTGTATGTAATCCCGTTTCCAACGAAATCCTCCCAGCTAGCCAAATATCCACTTGCAGATTCCGCAAAAAGAGTGTTTCAAAACTGCTCCTTCAAAACGATGGTTTAGTTCTGTTAGTTGAGTACATACATCACAGATAAGTTTCTGAGAATGCTTCTGTCTAGTTTTTATGGGAGGATATTTCCTTTTTCAACACAAGCCTGAATGCGCTCCGAATGGACACTTCCAGATATGACAAAAGGCGTGTTTCAAACCTGCTCTCTCAAAGGGAATGTTCAACTCTGTGACTTCAATGCAAACATCACAAAGAAGTTTCTGAGAATGCTGCTGTCTGCTTTTTACATGTATTCCCGTTTCCAACGAAATCCTCAAAGCTGCCCTAATATCCACTTGCATATTCCACAAAAAGAGTGTTGCAAAACTGCTCTCTCAAAAGAAAGGTCCAACTCTGTTAGCTGAGTAGATCCATCACATAAAAGTTTCTGACATTGCTTCTATCTAGATTTTCTTGGAAGATATTTCCATTTTCACCGTCGTCCTGAAAGCGCTCCAAATGTCCACTTCCAGGGAATGCAGAAAGAGTGTTTCCAACCTGCTCTATTAAAGGGAATGTTCAACACTGGGACTTCAATCGAAACATCCCAACGAAGTTTCTGAGAATGCTTCTGTCTAGAGTTTATATGAAGCCATTCCCGTTTGCAACGAAATCCTCAAAGCTATCCAAATATCCTCTTGCAGATTTTACAAAAAGAGTGTTTCAAAACTGCTCTATCAAAAGAAAGGTTCAACTCTGTTAGTTGAGGGCACACATCACAAATAAACTTCTGAGAATGCTTCTGTCTAGTTTTTACGGGAAGATATTTCCTTTTTCACCATACGCCTGAAAGCGCTCCAAATGTCCTCATCCAGATACTACAAAAAGAGTGTTTCCAACCTGCTCTATGAAAGGGAATGCTCAACTCTGTGAATTGAATGCAGACATCACAAAGAAGTTTCTGAGAATGCTGCTGTCTCCTTTTTATATGTAATCCCGTTTCCAACGAAATCCTCAAAGCTAGCCAAATATCCACTTGCAGATTCCACGAAAACAGTGTTTCAAAACTGCTCCTTCAAAACGATGGTTCAATCCTGTTAGTTGAGCAAACACATCACAAATAAGTTTCTGAGAATGCTTCCGTCTAGTTTTTATGGGAAGATATTTCCTTTTTCAACATAGGCCTGAAAGCGCTCCAAATGTCCACTTCCAGATACTACAAAAAGAGTGTTTCAAATCTGCTCTATGAATGGGAATGTTCTACTCTGTGACTTGAATGCAACATCCCAAAGAAGTTTCTGAGAATGCTTCTGTCTAGAAGTTTATCTGAAGACATACCCGTTTCCAACGAAATCCTCAAAGCTATCCAAATATCCTCTTGCAGATTCTACAAAAAGAGTGTTTCAAAGCTGCTCTTTGCAAAGAAAGGTTCAACTCTGTCAGTAGAGGGCACACATCACGAACAAGTTTCTGAGAATGCTTCTGTCTAGTTTTTATGGGAAGATATTTCCTTTTTCACGTTAGGCCTGAAAGCACGCCAAATGTTCACTTATAGACACTACAAAAAGAGTGTTTCAAACCTGCTCTGTGAAAGGGAATGTTCAACACTGTGACTTCAATTGAAACATCCCAAAGAAGTTTCTGAGAATGCTTCTGTCTAGAGTTTATCTGAAGACATTCCCGTTTCCCAAGAAATCCTCAAAGCTATCCAAATATCCTCTTGCAGATTCTACAAAAAGAGTGTTTCAAAACTGCTCTTTGCAAAGAAAGGTTCAACTCTGTCAGTAGAGGGCACACATCAAGAACAAGTTTCTGAGAATGCTTCTGTCTAGTTTTTATGGGAAGATATTTCCTTTTTCACCTTACGCCTGAAAGCAATCCAAATGTTCACTTACAGACACTACAAAAAGAGTGTTTCAAACCTGCTCTGTGAAAGGGAGTGTTCAATTCTGTGACTTGAATGCAAACATCACAAAGTAGTTTCTGACAATTCTGCTGTCTGCTTTTTATACGTATTCCCGTTTCCAACGAAATCCTCCAAGCTGGCCTAATACCCACTTGCATATTCCACAAAAAGAGTGTTTCAAAACTGCTCTCTCAAAAGAAAGGTTCAACTCTGTTTGCTGAGTAGATACATCATGAAAAAAGTTCTGACATTGCTTCTATCTAGTTTTTATTGGAAGATATCTCCTTTTTCACCGTAGACCTGAAAGCGCTCCAAATGTCCACTTCCAGATAGTACAAAAAGAGTGTTTCAAACCTGCTCTATGAATGGGAATGTTCAACACTGGGACTTCAATTGAAACATCCCAAAGCAGTTTCTGAGAATGCTTCTGTCTAGAGTTTACATGAAGACATTCCCGTTTCCAACGAAATCCTCAAAGCTATCCAAATATCCTCTTGCAGATTTTACAAAAATTGTGTTTCAGAACTGCTCTATCAAAACAAAGGTTCAACACTGTCAGTTGAGTGCACACATCACAAATAAGTTTCTGAGAATGCTTCTGTCTAGTTTTCATGGGAAGATATTTCCTTTTTCACCATAGGCCTGAAAGCGATCCAAATGTCCACATCCAGATACTACAAAAAGAGTGTTTCAAACCTGCTCTATGAAAGGGAATGTTCAACTCTGTGACTTGAATGCAAACATCACAAAGAAGTTTCTGAGAATGCTGCTGTCTCCTTTTTATATGTAATCCCGTTTCCAACGAAATCCTCAAAGCTAGCCAAATATCCACTTGCAGATTCCACGAAAACAGTGTTTCAAAACTGCTCCTTCAAAACGATGGTTCAATCCTGTTAGTTGAGCAAACACATCACAAATAAGTTTCTGAGAATGCTTCCGTCTAGTTTTTATGGGAAGATATTTCCTTTTTCAACATAGGCCTGAAAGCGCTCCAAATGTCCACTTCCAGATACTACAAAAAGAGTGTTTCAAATCTGCTCTATGAATGGGAATGTTCTACTCTGTGACTTGAATGCAACATCCCAAAGAAGTTTCTGAGAATGCTTCTGTCTAGAGTATATCTGAAGACATACCCGTTTCCAACGAAATCCTCAAAGCTATCCAAATATCCTCTTGCAGATTCTACAAAAAGTGTGTTTCAAAGCTGCTCTTTGCAAAGAAAGGTTCAACTCTGTCAGTAGAGGGCACACATCACGAACAAGTTTCTGAGAATGCTTCTGTCTGGTTTTTATGGGAAGATATTTCCTTTTTCACGTTACGCCTGAAAGCACGCCAAATGTTCACTTATAGACACTACAAAAAGAGTGTTTCAAACCTGCTCTGTGAAAGGGAATGTTCAACACTGTGACTTCAATTGAAACATCCCAAAGAAGTTTCTGAGAATGCTTCTGTCTAGAGTTTATCTGAAGACATTCCCGTTTCCCAAGAAATCCTCAAAGCTATCCAAATATCCTCGTGCAGATTCTACAAAAAGAGTGTTTCAAAACTGCTCTTTGCAAAGAAAGGTTCAACTCTGTCAGTAGAGGGCACACATCACAAACAAGTTTCTGAGAATGCTTCTGTCTAGTTTTTATGGGAAGATATTACCTTTTTCACCATAGGCCTGAAAGCAATCCAAATGTTCACTTACAGACACTACAAAAAGAGTGTTTCAAACCTGCTCTGTGAAAGGGAGTGTTCAATTCTGTGACTTGAATGCAAACATCACAAAGTAGTTTCTGACAATGCTGCTGTCTGCTTTTTATACGTATTCCCGTTTCCAACGAAATCCTCCAAGCTGGCCTAATACCCACTTGCATATTCCACAAAGACAGTGTCAAAACTGCTCTCTCAAAAGAAAGGTTCAACTCTGTTTGCTGAGTAGATACATCATGAAAAAAGTTCTGACATTGCTTCTATCTAGTTTTTATTGGAAGATATCTCCTTTTTCACCGTAGACCTGAAAGCGCTCCAAATGTCCACTTCCAGATAGTAGAAAAAGAGTGTTTCAAACCTGCTCTATGAATGGGAATGTTCAACACTGGGACTTCAATTGAAACATCCCAAAGCAGTTTCTGAGAATGCTTCTGTCTAGAGTTTACATGAAGACATTCCCGTTTCCAACGAAATCCTCAAAGCTATCCAAATATCCTCTTGCAGATTTTACAAAAAGTGTGTTTCAGAACTGCTCTATCAAAACAAAGGTTCAACACTGTCAGTTGAGTGCACACATCACAAATAAGTTTCTGAGAATGCTTCTGTCTAGTTTTCATGGGAAGATATTTCCTTTTTCACCATAGGCCTGAAAGCGCTCCAAATGTCCTCATCCAGATACTACAAAAAGAGTGTTTCCAACCTGCTCTATGAAAGGGAATGCTCAACTCTGTGAATTGAATGCAGACATCACAAAGAAGTTTCTGAGAATGCTGCTGTCTCCTTTTTATATGTAATCCCGTTTCCAACGAAATCCTCAAAGCTAGCCAAATATCCACTTGCAGATTCCACGAAAACAGTGTTTCAAAACTGCTCCTTCAAAACGATGGTTCAATCCTGTTAGTTGAGCAAACACATCACAAATAAGTTTCTGAGAATGCTTCCGTCTAGTTTTTATGGGAAGATATTTCCTTTTTCAACATAGGCCTGAAAGCGCTCCAAATGTCCACTTCCAGATACTACAAAAAGAGTGTTTCAAATCTGCTCTATGAATGGGAATGTTCTACTCTGTGACTTGAATGCAACATCCCAAAGAAGTTTCTGAGAATGCTTCTGTCTAGAGTTTATCTGAAGACATACCCGTTTCCAACGAAATCCTCAAACACTATCCAAATATCCTCTTGCAGATTCTACAAAAAGTGTGTTTCAAAGCTGCTCTTTGCAAAGAAAGGTTCAACTCTGTCAGTAGAGGGCACACATCACGAACAAGTTTCTGAGAATGCTTCTGTCTAGTTTTTATGGGAAGATATTTCCTTTTTCACGTTAGGCCTGAAAGCACGCCAAATGTTCACTTATAGACACTACAAAAAGAGTGTTTCAAACCTGCTCTGTGAAAGGGAATGTTCAACACTGTGACTTCAATTGAAACATCCCAAAGAAGTTTCTGAGAATGCTTCTGTCTAGAGTTTATCTGAAGACATTCCCGTTTCCCAAGAAATCCTCAAAGCTATCCAAATATCCTCTTGCAGATTCTACAAAAAGAGTGTTTCAAAACTGCTCTTTGCAAAGAAAGGTTCAACTCTGTCAGTAGAGGGCACACATCACAAACAAGTTTCTGAGAATGCTTCTGTCTAGTTTTTATGGGAAGATATTTCCTTTTTCACCTTAGGCCTGAAAGCAATCCAAATGTTCACTTACAGACACTACAAAAAGAGTGTTTCTAACCTGCTCTGTGAAAGGGAGTGTTCAATTCTGTGACTTGAATGCAAACATCACAAAGTAGTTTCTGACAATGCTGCTGTCTGCTTTTTATACGTATTCCCGTTTCCAACGAAATCCTCCAAGCTGGCCTAATACCCACTTGCATATTCCACAGAAAGAGTGTTTCGAAACTGCTCTCTCAAAAGAAAGGTTCAACTCTGTTTGCTGAGTAGATACATCATGAAAAAAGTTCTGACATTGCTTCTATCTAGTTTTTATTGGAAGATATCTCCTTTTTCACCGTAGACCTGAAAGCGCTCCAAATGTCCACTTCCAGATAGTACAAAAAGAGTGTTTCAAACCTGCTCTATGAATGGGAATGTTCAACACTGGGACTTCAATTGAAACATCCCAAAGCAGTTTCTGAGAATGCTTCTGTCTAGAGTTTACATGAAGACATTCCCGTTTCCAACGAAATCCTCAAAGCTATCCAAATATCCTCTTGCAGATTTTACAAAAAGTGTGTTTCAGAACTGCTCTATCAAAACAAAGGTTCAACACTGTCAGTTGAGGGCACACATCACAAATAAGTTTCTGAGAATGCTTCGGTCTAGTTTTCATGGGAAGATATTTCCTTTTTCACCATAGGCCTGAAAGCGATCCAAATGTCCACATCCAGATACTACAAAAAGAGTGTTTCAAACCTGCTCTATGAAAGGGAATGTTCAACTCTGTGACTTGAATGCAAACATCACAAAGAAGTTTCTGAGAATGCTGCTGTCTGCTTTTTGTATGTAATCCCGTTTCCAACGAAATCCTCCCAGCTAGCCAAATATCCACTTGCAGATTCCGCAAAAAGAGTGTTTCAAAACTGCTCCTTCAAAACGATGGTTTAGTTCTGTTAGTTGAGTACATACATCACAGATAAGTTTCTGAGAATGCTTCCGTCCTAGTTTTTATGGGAGGATATTTCCTTTTTCAACACAAGCCTGAATGCGCTCCGAATGGACACTTCCAGATATGACAAAAGGCGTGTTTCAAACCTGCTCTCTCAAAGGGAATGTTCAACTCTGTGACTTCAATGCAAACATCACAAAGAAGTTTCTGAGAATGCTGCTGTCTGCTTTTTACATGTATTCCCGTTTCCAACGAAATCCTCAAAGCTGCCCTAATATCCACTTGCATATTCCACAAAAAGAGTGTTGCAAAACTGCTCTCTCAAAAGAAAGGTTCAACTCTGTTAGCTGAGTAGATCCATCACATAAAAGTTTCTGACATTGCTTCTATCTAGATTTTCTTGGAAGATATTTCCATTTTCACCGTCGTCCTGAAAGCGCTCCAAATGTCCACTTCCAGGGAATGCAGAAAGAGTGTTTCCAACCTGCTCTATAAAAGGGAATGTTCAACACTGGGACTTCAATCGAAACATCCCAACGAAGTTTCTGAGAATGCTTCTGTCTAGAGTTTATATGAAGCCATTCCCGTTTGCAACGAAATCCTCAAAGCTATCCAAATATCCTCTTGCAGATTTTACAAAAAGAGTGTTTCAAAACTGCTCTATCAAAAGAAAGGTTCAACTCTGTTAGTTGAGGGCACACATCACAAATAAACTTCTGAGAATGCTTCTGTCTAGTTTTTACAGGAAGATATTTCCTTTTTCACCATAGGCCAGAAAGCGCTCCAAATGTCCTCATCCAGATACTACAAAAAGAGTGTTTCCAACCTGCTCTATGAAAGGGAATGCTCAACTCTGTGACTTGAATGCAGACATCACAAAGAAGTTTCTGAGAGTGCTGCTGTCTCCTTTGTATATGTAATCCCATTTCCAACGAAATCCTCAAAGCTAGCCAAATATCCACTTGCAGATTCCACGAAAACAGTGTTTCAAAACTGCTCCTTCAAAACGATGGTTCAATCCTGTTAGTTGAGCAAACACATCACAAATAAGTTTCTGAGAATGCTTCCGTCTAGTTTTTATGGGAAGATATTTCCTTTTTCAACATAGGCCTGAAAGCGCTCCAAATGTCCACTTCCAGATACTACAAAAAGAGTGTTTCAAATCTGCTCTATGAATGGGAATGTTCTACTCTGTGACTTGAATGCAACATCCCAAAGAAGTTTCTGAGAATGCTTCTGTCTAGAGTTTATCTGAAGACATACCCGTTTCCAACGAAATCCTCCAAGCTATCCAAATATCCTCTTGCAGATTCTACAAAAAGAGTGTTTCAAAGCTGCTCTTTGCAAAGAAAGGTTCAACTCTGTCAGTAGAGGGGACACATCAAGAACAAGTTTCTGAGAATGCTTCTGTCTAGTTTTTATGGGAAGATATTTCCTTTTTCACGTTACGCCTGAAAGCACGCCAAATGTTCACTTATAGACACTACAAAAAGAGTGTTTCAAACCTGCTCTGTGAAAGGGAATGTTCAACACTGTGACTTCAATTGAAACATCCCAAAGAAGTTTCTGAGAATGCTTCTGTCTAGAGTTTATCTGAAGACATTCCCGTTTCCCAAGAAATCCTCAAAGCTATCCAAATATCCTCTTGCAGATTCTACAAAAAGAGTGTTTCAAAACTGCTCTTTGCAAAGAAAGGTTCAACTCTGTCAGTAGAGGGCACACATCACAAACAAGTTTCTGAGAATGCTTCTGTCTAGTTTTTATGGGAAGATATTTCCTTTTTCACCTTAGGCCTGAAGCAATCCAAATGTTCACTTACAGACACTACAAAAAGAGTGTTTCAAACCTGCTCTGTGAAAGGGAGTGTTCAATTCTGTGACTTGAATGCAAACATCACAAAGTAGTTTCTGACAATGCTGCTGTCTGCTTTTTATACGTATTCCCGTTTCCAACGAAATCCTCCAAGCTGGCCTAATACCCACTTGCATATTCCACAAAAAGAGTGTTTCAAAACTGCTCTCTCAAAAGAAAGGTTCAACTCTGTTTGCTGAGTAGATACATCATGAAAAAAGTTCTGACATTGCTTCTATCTAGTTTTTATTGGAAGATATCTCCTTGTTCACCGTAGACCTGAAAGCGCTCCAAATGTCCACTTCCAGATAGTACAAAAAGAGTGTTTCAAACCTGCTCTATGAAAGGGAATGTTCAACACTGGGACTTCAATTGAAACATCCCAAAGCAGTTTCTGAGAATGCTTCTGTCTAGAGTTTACATGAAGACATTCCCGTTTCCAACGAAATCCTCAAAGCTATCCAAATATCCTCTTGCAGATTTTACAAAAAGTGTGTTTCAGAACTGCTCTATCAAAACAAAGGTTCAACACTGTCAGTTGAGGGCACACATCACAAATAAGTTTCTGAGAATGCTGCTGTCTGCTTTTTGTATGTAATCCCGTTTCCAACGAAATCCTCCCAGCTAGCCAAATATCCACTTGCAGATTCCGCAAAAAGAGTGTTTCAAAACTGCTCCTTCAAAACGATGGTTTAGTTCGGTTAGTTGAGTACATACATCACAGATAAGTTTCTGAGAATGCTTCTGTCTAGTTTTTATGGGAGGATATTTCCTTTTTCAACACAAGCCTGAATGCGCTCCGAATGGACACTTCCAGATATGACAAAAGACGTGTTTCAAACCTGCTCTCTCAAAGGGAATGTTCAACTCTGTGACTTCAATGCAAACATCACAAAGAAGTTTCTGAGAATGCTGCTGTCTGCTTTTTACATGTATTCCCGTTTCCAACGAAATCCTCAAAGCTGCCCTAATATCCACTTGCATATTCCACAAAAAGAGTGTTGCAAAACTGCTCTCTCAAAAGAAAGGTTCAACTCTGTTAGCTGAGTAGATCCATCACATAAAAGTTTCTGACATTGCTTCTATCTAGATTTTCTTGGAAGATATTTCCATTTTCACCGTCGTCCTGAAAGCGCTCCAAATGTCCACTTCCAGGGAATGCAGAAAGAGTGTTTCCAACCTGCTCTATAAAAGGGAATGTTCAACACTGGGACTTCAATCGAAACATCCCAACGAAGTTTCTGAGAATGCTTCTGTCTAGAGTTTATATGAAGCCATTCCCGTTTGCAACGAAATCCTCAAAGCTATCCAAATATCCTCTTGCAGATTTTACAAAAAGAGTGTTTCAAAACTGCTCTATCAAAAGAAAGGTTCAACTCTGTTAGTTGAGGGCACACATCACAAATAAACTTCTGAGAATGCTTCTGTCTAGTTTTTACGGGAAGATATTTCCTTTTTCACCATACGCCTGAAAGCGCTCCAAATGTCCTCATCCAGATACTACAAAAAGAGTGTTTCCAACCTGCTCTATGAAAGGGAATGCTCAACTCTGTGACTTGAATGCAGACATCACAAAGAAGTTTCTGAGAATGCTGCTGTCTCCTTTTTATATGTAATCCCGTTTCCAACGAAATCCTCAAAGCTAGCCAAATATCCACTTGCAGATTCCACGAAAACAGTGTTTCAAAACTGCTCCTTCAAAACGATGGTTCAATCCTGTTAGTTGAGCAAACACATCACAAATAAGTTTCTGAGAATGCTTCCGTGTAGTTTTTATGGGAAGATATTTCCTTTTTCAACATAGGCCTGAAAGCGCTCCAAATGTCCACTTCCAGATACGACAAAAAGAGTGTTTCAAATCTGCTCTATGAATGGGAATGTTCTACTCTGTGACTTGAATGCAACATCCCAAAGAAGTTTCTGAGAATGCTTCTGTCTAGAGTTTATCTGAAGACATACCCGTTTCCAACGAAATCCTCCAAGCTATCCAAATATCCTCTTGCAGATTCTACAAAAAGAGTGTTTCAAAGCTGCTCTTTGCAAAGAAAGGTTCAACTCTGTCAGTAGAGGGCACACATCACGAACAAGTTTCTGAGAATGCTTCTGTCTAGTTTTTATGGGAAGATATTTCCTTTTTCACGTTACAACTGAAAGCACGCCAAATGTTCACTTATAGACACTACAAAAAGAGTGTTTCAAACCTGCTCTGTGAAAGGGAATGTTCAACACTGTGACTTCAATTGAAACATCCCAAAGAAGTTTCTGAGAATGCTTCTGTCTAGAGTTTATCTGAAGACATTCCCGTTTCCCAAGAAATCCTCAAAGCTATCCAAATATCCTCTTGCAGATTCTACAAAAAGAGTGTTTCAAAACTGCTCTTTGCAAAGAAAGGTTCAACTCTGTCAGTAGAGGGCACACATCACAAACAAGTTTCTGAGAATGCTTCTGTCTAGTTTTTATGGGAAGATATTTCCTTTTTCACCTTAGGCCTGAAAGCAATCCAAATGTTCACTTACAGACACTACAAAAAGAGTGTTTCAAACCTGCTCTGTGAAAGGGAGTGTTCAATTCTGTGACTTGAATGCAAACATCACAAAGTAGTTTCTGACAATGCTGCTGTCTGCTTTTTATACGTATTCCCGTTTCCAACGAAATCCTCCAAGCTGGCCTAATACCCACTTGCATATTCCACAAAAAGAGTGTTTCAAAACTGCTCTCTCAAAAGAAAGGTTCAACTCTGTTTGCTGAGTAGATACATCATGAAAAAAGTTCTGACATTGCTTCTATCTAGTTTTTATTGGAAGATATCTCCTTTTTCACCATAGACCTGAAAGCGCTCCAAATGTCCACTTCCAGATAGTACAAAAAGAGTGTTTCAAACCTGCTCTATGAAAGGGAATGTTCAACACTGGGACTTCAATTGAAACATCCCAAAGCAGTTTCTGAGAATGCTTCTGTCTAGAGTTTACATGAAGACATTCCCGTTTCCAACGAAATCCTCAAAGCTATCCAAATATCCTCTTGCAGATTTTACAAAAAGTGTGTTTCAGAACTGCTCTATCAAAACAAAGGTTCAACACTGTCAGTTGAGGGCACACATCACAAATAAGTTTCTGAGAATGCTCTGTCTAGTTTTCATGGGAAGATATTTCCTTTTTCACCATAGGCCTGAAAGCGATCCAAATGTCCACATCCAGATACTACAAAAAGAGTGTTTCAAACCTGCTCTATGAAAGGGAATGTTCAACTCTGTGACTTGAATGCAAACATCACAAAGAAGTTTCTGAGAATGCTGGCTGTCTGCTTTTTGTATGTAATCCCGTTTCCAACGAAATCCTCCAAGCTAGCCAAATATCCACTTGCAGATTCCGCAAAAAGAGTGTTTCAAAACTGCTCCTTCAAAACGATGGTTTAGTTCTGTTAGTTGAGTACATACATCACAAATCAGTTTCTGAGAATGCTTCTGTCTAGTTTTTATGGGAGGATATTTCCTTTTTCAACACAAGCCTGAATGCGCTCCGAATGGACACTTCCAGATATGACAAAAGGCGTGTTTCAAACCTGCTCTCTCAAAGGGAATGTTCAACTCTGTGACTTCAAAGCAAACATCACGAAGAAGTTTCTGAGAATGCTGCTGTCTGCTTTTTATATGTATTGCCGTTTCCAACAAAATCCTCAAAGCTGCCCTAATATCCACTTGCATATTCCACGAAAAGAGTGTTGCAAAACTGCTTTCTCAAAAGAAAGTTTCAACTCTGTTAGCTGAGTAGATACATGACATGAAAGTTTCTGACATTGCTTCTATCTAGATTTTATTGGAAGATATTTCCATTTTCACCGTCGTCCTGAAAGCGCTCCAAATGTCCACTTCCAGATACTACAAAAAGAGTGTTTCAAACCTGCTCTATAAAAGGGAATGTTCAACACTGTGACTTCAATCAAAACATCCCAACGAAGTTTCTGAGAAGGCTTCTGTCTAGAGTTTATATGAAGCCATTCCCGTTTGCAACGAAATCCTCAAAGCTATCCAAATATCCTCTTGCAGATTTTACAAAAAGAGTGTTTCAAAACTGCTCTATCAAAAGAAAGGTTCAACTCTGATAGTTGAGGGCACACATCACAAGTAAATTTTTGAGAATGCTTCTGTCTAGTTTTTACGGGAAGATATTTCCTTTTTCACCATACGCCTGAAAGCGCTCCAAATGTCCTCATCCAGATACTACAAAAAGACTGTTTCAAACCTGCTCTATGAAAGGGAATGCTCAACTCTTTGACTTGAATGCAGACATCACAAAATAGTTTCTGAGAATGCTGCTGTCTCCTTTTTATATATAATCCCGTTTCCAACGAAATCCTCAAAGCTAGCCAAATATCCACTTGCAGATCCCACAAAAACAGTGTTTCAAAACTGCTCCTTCAAAATGATGGTTCAATTCTGTTAGTTGAGTAAACACGTCAGAAGTAAGTTTCTGAGAATGCTTCTGTCTAGTTTTTATGGGAAAATATATCCTTTTTCAACATAGGCCTGAAAGCGCTCCAAATGTCCACTTCCAGATACTACAAAAAGAGTGTTTCAAACCTGCTCTATGAATGGGAATGTTCTACTCTGTGACTTGAATGCAACATCCCAAAGAAGTTTCTGAGAATGCTTCTGTCTAGAGTTTATCTGAAGACATTCCCGTTTCCCAAGAAATCCTCAAAGCTATCCAAATATCCTCTTGCAGATTCTACAAAAAGAGTGTTTCAAAACTGCTCTTTGCAAAGAAAGGTTCAACTCTGTCAGTAGAGGGCACACATCACAAACAAGTTTCTGAGAATGCTTCTGTCTAGTTTTTATGGGAAGATATTTCCTTTTTCACGTTACGCCTGAAAGCACGCCAAATGTTCACTTATAGACACTACAAAAAGAGAGTTTCAAACCTGCTCTGTGAAAGGGAGTGTTCAATTTCTGTGACTTGAATGCAAACATCACAAAGTAGTTTCTGACAATGCTGCTGTCTGCTTTTTATACGTATTCCCGTTTCCAACGAAATCCTCCAAGCTGGCCTAATACCCACTTGCATATTCCACAAAAGGAGTGTTTCAAAACTGCTCTCTCAAAAGAAAGGTTCAACTCTGTTTGCTGAGTAGATACATCATGAAAAAAGTTCTGACATTGCTTCTATCTAGTTTTTATTGGAAGATATCTCCTTTTTCACCGTAGACCTGAAAGCGCTCCAAATGTCCACTTCCAGATAGTACAAAAAGAGTGTTTCAAACCTGCTCTATGAATGGGAATGTTCAACACTGGGACTTCAATTGAAACATCCCAAAGCAGTTTCTGAGAATGCTTCTGTCTAGAAGTTTACATGAAGACATTCCCGTTTCCAACGAAATCCTCAAAGCTATCCAAATATCCTCTTGCAGATTTTACAAAAAGTGTGTTTCAGAACTGCTCTATCAAAACAAAGGTTCAACACTGTCAGTTGAGGGCACACATCACAAATAAGTTTCTGAGAATGCTGCTGTCTGCTTTTTGTATGTAATCCCGTTTCCAACGAAATCCTCCCAGCTAGCCAAATATCCACTTGCAGATTCCGCAAAAAGAGTGTTTCAAAACTGCCCTTCAAAACGATGGTTTAGTTCTGTTAGTTGAGTACATACATCACAGATAAGTTTCTGAGAATGCTTCTGTCTAGTTTTTATGGGAGGATATTTCCTTTTTCAACACAAGCCTGAATGCGCTCCGAATGGACACTTCCAGATATGACAAAAGGCGTGTTTCAAACCTGCTCTCTCAAAGGGGATGTTCAACTCTGTGACTTCAATGCAAACATCACAAAGAAGTTTCTGAGAATGCTGCTGTCTGCTTTTTACATGTATTCCCGTTTCCAACGAAATCCTCAAAGCTGCCCTAATATCCACTTGCATATTCCACAAAAAGAGTGTTGCAAAACTGCTCTCTCAAAAGAAAGGTTCAACTCTGTTAGCTGAGTAGATCCATCACAGAAAAGTTTCTGACGTTGCTTCTATCTAGATTTTCTTGGAAGATATTTCCATTTTCACCGTCGTCCTGAAAGCGCTCCAAATGTCCACTTCCAGGGAATGCAGAAAGAGTGTTTCCAACCTGCTCTATAAAAGGGAATGTTCAACACTGGGACTTCAATCGAAACATCCCAACGAAGTTTCTGAGAATGCTTCTGTCTAGAGTTTATATGAAGCCATTCCCGTTTGCAACGAAATCCTCAAAGCCATCCAAATATCCTCTTGCAGATTTTACAAAAAGAGTGTTTCAAAACTGCTCTATCAAAAGAAAGGTTCAACTCTGTTAGTTGAGGGCACACATCACAAATAAATTTCTGAGAATGCTTATGTCTAGTTTTTACGGGAAGATATTTCCTTTTTCACCATACGCCTGAAAGCGCTCCAAATGTCCTCATCCAGATACTACAAAAAGAGTGTTTCCAACCTGCTCTATGAAAGGGAATGCTCAACTTCTGTGAATTGAATGCAGACATCACAAAGAAGTTTCTGAGAATGCTGCTGTCTCCTTTTTATATGTAATCCCGTTTCCAACGAAATCCTCAAAGCTAGCCAAATATCCACTTGCAGATTCCACGAAAACAGTGTTTCAAAACTGCTCCTTCAAAACGATGGTTCAATTCTGTTAGTTGAGCAAACACATCACAAGTAAGTTTCTGAGAATGCTTCCGTCTAGTTTTTATGGGAAGATATTTCCTTTTTCAACATAGGCCTGAAAGCGCTCCAAATGTCCACTTCCAGATACTACAAAAAGAGTGTTTCAAATCTGCTCTATGAATGGGAATGTTCTACTCTGTGACTTGAATGCAACATCCCAAAGAAGTTTCTGAGAATGCTTCTGTCTAGATTTTATCTGAAGACATACCCGTTTCCAACGAAATCCTCAAAGCTATCCAAATATCCTCTTGCAGATTCTACAAAAAGAGTGTTTCAAAGCTGCTCTTTGCAAAGAAAGGTTCAACTCTGTCAGTAGAGGGCACACATCACGAACAAGTTTCTGAGAATGCTTCTGTCTAGTTTTTATGGGAAGATATTTCCTTTTTCACGTTAGGCCTGAAAGCACGCCAAATGTTCAATTATAGACACTACAAAAAGAGTGTTTCAAACCTGCTCTGTGAAAGGGAATGTTCAACACTGTGACTTCAATTGAAACATCCCAAAGAAGTTTCTGAGAATGCTTCTGTCTAGAGTTTATCTGAAGACATTCCCGTTTCCCAAGAAATCTTCAAAGCTATCCAAATATCCTCTTGCAGATTCTACAAAAAGAGTGTTTCAAAACTGCTCTTTGCAAAGAAAGGTTCAACTCTGTCAGTAGAGGGCACACATCACAAACAAGTTTCTGAGAATGCTTCTGTCTAGTTTTTATGGGAAGATATTTCCTTTTTCACCTTAGGCCTGAAAGCAATCCAAATGTACACTTACAGACACTACAAAAAGAGTGTTTCAAACCTGCTCTGTGAAAGGGAGTGTTCAATTCTGTGACTTGAATGCAAACATCACAAAGTAGTTTCTGACAATGCTGCTGTCTGCTTTTTATACGTATTCCCGTTTCCAACGAAATCCTCCAAGCTGGCCTAATACCCACTTGCATATTCCACAAAAAGAGTGTTTCAAAACTGCTCTCTCAAAAGAAAGGTTCAACTCTGTTTGCTGAGTAGATACATCATGAAAAAAGTTCTGACATTGCTTCTATCTAGTTTTTATGGGAAGATATCTCCTTTTTCACCGTAGACCTGAAAGCGCTCCAAATGTCCACTTCCAGATAGTACAAAAAGAGTGTTTCAAACCTGCTCTGTGAAAGGGAATGTTCAACACTGGGACTTCAATTGAAACATCCCAAAGCAGTTTCTGAGAATGCTTCTGTGTAGAGTTTACATGAAGACATTCCCGTTTCCAACGAAATCCTCAAAGCTATCCAAATATCCTCTTGCAGATTTTACAAAAAGTGTGTTTCAGAACTGCTCTATCAAAACAAAGGTTCAACACTGTCAGTTGAGGGCACACATCACAAATAAGTTTCTGAGAATGCTGCTCTCTGCTTTTTGTATGTAATCCCGTTTCCAACGAAATCCTCCCAGCTAGCCAAATATCCACTTGCAGATTCCGCAAAAAGAGTGTTTCAAAACTGCTCCGTCAAAACGATGGTTTAGTTCTGTTAGTTGAGTACATACATCACAAATAAGTTTCTGAGAATGCTTCTGTATACTTTTTATGGGAGGATATTTCCTTTTTCAACACAAGCCTGAATGCGCTCCGAATGGACACTTCCAGATATGACAAAAGGCGTGTTTCAATCCTGCTCTCTCAAAGGGAATGTTCAACTCTGTGACTTCAATGCAAACATCACAAAGAAGTTTCTGAGAATGCTGCTGTCTGCTTTTTACATGTATTCCCGTTTCCAACGAAATCCTCAAAGCTGCCCTAATATCCACTTGCATATTCCACAAAAAGAGTGTTGCAAAACTGCTCTCTCAAAAGAAAGGTTCAACTCTGTTAGCTGAGTAGATCCATCACATAAAAGTTTCTGACATTGCTTCTATCTAGATTTTCTTGGAAGATATTTCCATTTTCACCGTCGTCCTGAAAGCGCTCCAAATGTCCACTTCCAGGGAATGCAGAAAGAGTGTTTCCAACCTGCTCTATAAAAGGGAATGTTCAACACTGGGACTTCAATCGAAACATCCCAACGAAGTTTCTGAGAATGCTTCTGTCTAGAGTTTATATGAAGCCATTCCCGTTTGCAACGAAATCCTCAAAGCTATCCAAATATCCTCTTGCAGATTTTACAAAAAGAGTGTTTCAAAACTGCTCTATCAAAAGAAAGGTTCAACTCTGTTAGTTGAGGGCACACATCACAAATAAACTTCTGAGAATGCTTCTGTCTAGTTTTTACGGGAAGATATTTCCTTTTTCACCATACGCCTGAAAGCGCTCCAAATGTCCTCATCCAGATACTACAAAAAGAGTGTTTCCAACCTGCTCTATGAAAGGGAATGCTCAACTCTGTGAATTGAATGCAGACATCACAAAGAAGTTTCTGAGAATGCTGCTGTCTCCTTTTTATATGTAATCCCGTTTCCAACGAAATCCTCAAAGCTAGCCAAATATCCACTTGCAGATTCCACGAAAACAGTGTTTCAAAACTGCTCCTTCAAAACGATGGTTCAATCCTGTTTGTTGAGCAAACACATCACAAATAAGTTTCTGAGAATGCTTCCGTCTAGTTTTTATGGGAAGATATTTCCTTTTTCAACATAGGCCTGAAAGCGCTCCAAATGTCCACTTCCAGATACTACAAAAAGAGTGTTTCAAATCTGCTCTATGAATGGGAATGTTCTACTCTGTGACTTGAATGCAACATCCCAAAGAAGTTTCTGAGAATGCTTCTGTCTAGAGTTTATCTGAAGACATACCCGTTTCCAAAGAAATCCTCAAAGCTATCCAAATATCCTCTTGCAGATTCTACAAAAAGAGTGTTTCAAAGCTGCTCTTTGCAAAGAAAGGTTCAACTCTGTCAGTAGAGGGCACACATCATGAACAAGTTTCTGAGAATGCTTCTGTCTAGTTTTTATGGGAAGATATTTCCTTTTTCACGTTAGGCCTGAAAGCACGCCAAATGTTCAATTATAGACACTACAAAAAGAGTGTTTCAAACCTGCTCTGTGAAAGGGAATGTTCAACACTGTGACTTCAATTGAAACATCCCAAAGAAGTTTCTGAGAATGCTTCTGTCTAGAGTTTATCTGAAGACATTCCCGTTTCCCAAGAAATCCTCAAAGCTATCCAAATATCCTCTTGCAGATTCTACAAAAAGTGTTTCAAAACTGCTCTTTGCAAAGAAAGGTTCAACTCTGTCAGTAGAGGGCACACATCACAAACAAGTTTCTGAGAATGCTTCTGTCTAGTTTTTATGGGAAGATATTTCCTTTTTCACCTTAGGCCTGAAAGCAATCCAAATGTTCACTTACAGACACTACAAAAAGAGTGTTTCAAACCTGCTCTGTGAAAGGGAGTGTTCAGTTCTGTGACTTGAATGCAAACATCACAAAGTAGTTTCTGACAATGCTGCTGTCTGCTTTTTATACGTATTCCCGTTTCCAACGAAATCCTCCAAGCTGGCCTAATACCCACTTTCATATTCCACAAAAAGAGTGTTTCAAAACTGCTCTCTCAAAAGAAAGGTTCAACTCTGTTTGCTGAGTAGATACATCATGAAAAAAGTTCTGACATTGCTTCTATCTAGTTTTTATTGGAAGATATCTCCTTTTTCACCGTAGACCTGAAAGCGTTCCAAATGTCCACTTCCAGATAGTACAAAAAGAGTGCTTCAAACCTGCTCTATGAATGGGAATGTTCAACACTGGGACTTCAATTGAAACATCCCAAAGCAGTTTCTGAGAATGCTTCTGTGTAGAGTTTACATGAAGACATTCCCGTTTCCAACGAAATCCTCAAAGCTATCCAAATATCCTCTTGCAGATTTTACAAAAAGTGTGTTTCAGAACTGCTCTATCAAAACAAAGGTTCAACACTGTCAGTTGAGGGCACACATCACAAATAAGTTTCTGAGAATGCTTCTGTCTAGTTTTCATGGGAAGATATTTCCTTTTTCACCATAGGCCTGAAAGCGATCCAAATGTCCACATCCAGATACTACAAAAAGAGTGTTTCAAACCTGCTCTATGAAAGGGAATGTTCAACTCTGTGACTTGAATGCAAACATCACAAAGAAGTTTCTGAGAATGCTGCTGTCTGCTTTTTGTATGTAATCCCGTTTCCAACGAAATCCTCCCAGCTAGCCAAATATCCACTTGCAGATTCCGCAAAAAGAGTGTTTCAAAACTGCTCCTTCAAAACGATGGTTTAGTTCTGTTAGTTGAGTACATACATCACAGATAAGTTTCTGAGAATGCTTCTGTCTAGTTTTTATGGGAGGATATTTCCTTTTTCAACACAAGCCTGAATGCGCTCCGAATGGACACTTCCAGATATGACAAAAGGCGTGTTTCAAACCTGCTCTCTCAAAGGGAATGTTCAACTCTGTGACTTCAATGCAAACATCACAAAGAAGTTTCTGAGAATGCTGCTGTCTGCTTTTTACATGTATTCCCGTTTCCAACGAAATCCTCAAAGCTGCCCTAATATCCACTTGCATATTCCACAAAAAGAGTGTTGCAAAACTGCTCTCTCAAAAGAAAGGTTCAACTGCTGTTAGCTGAGTAGATCCATCACATAAAAGTTTCTGACATTGCTTTCTATCTAGATTTTCTTGGAAGATATTTCCATTTTCACCGTCGTCCTGAAAGCGCTCCAAATGTCCACTTCCAGGGAATGCAGAAAGAGTGTTTCCAACCTGCTTTATAAAAGGGAATGTTCAACACTGGGACTTCAATCGAAACATCCCAACGAAGTTTCTGAGAATGCTTCTGTCTAGAGTTTATATGAAGCCATTCCCGTTTGCAACGAAATCCTCAAAGCTATCCAAATATCCTCTTGCAGATTTTACAAAAAGAGTGTTTCAAAACTGCTCTATCAAAAGAAAGGTTCAACTCTGTTAGTTGAGGGCACACATCACAAATAAACTTCTGAGAATGCTTCTGTCTAGTTTTTACGGGAAGATATTTCCTTTTTCACCATAGGCCTGAAAGCGCTCCAAATGTCCTCATCCAGATACTACAAAAAGAGTGTTTCCAACCTGCTCTATGAAAGGGAATGCTCAACTCTGTGACTTGAATGCAGACATCACAAAGAAGTTTCTGAGAATGCTGCTGTCTCCTTTTTATATGTAATCCCGTTTCCAACGAAATCCTCAAAGCTAGCCAAATATCCACTTGCAGATTCCACGAAAACAGTGTTTCAAAACTGCTCCTTCAAAACGATGGTTCAATCCTGTTAGTTGAGCAAACACATCACAAATAAGTTTCTGAGAATGCTTCCGTCTAGTTTTTATGGGAAGATATTTCCTTTTTCAACATAGGCCTGAAAGCGCTCCAAATGTCCACTTCCAGATACTACAAAAAGAGTGTTTCAAATCTGCTCTATGAATGGGAATGTTCTACTCTGTGACTTGAATGCAACATCCCAAAGAAGTTTCTGAGAATGCTTCTGTCTAGAGTTTATCTGAAGACATACCCGTTTCCAACGAAATCCTCCAAGCTATCCAAATATCCTCTTGCAGATTCTACAAAAAGAGTGTTTCAAAGCTGCTCTTTGCAAAGAAAGGTTCAACTCTGTCAGTAGAGGGGACACATCAAGAACAAGTTTCTGAGAATGCTTCTGTCTAGTTTTTATGGGAAGATATTTCCTTTTTCACGTTAGGCCTGAAAGCACGCCAAATGTTCACTTATAGACACTACAAAAAGAGTGTTTCAAACCTGCTCTGTGAAAGGGAATGTTCAACACTGTGACTTCAATTGAAACATCCCAAAGAAGTTTCTGAGAATGCTTCTGTCTAGAGTTTATCTGAAGACATACCCGTTTCCAACGAAATCCTCAAAGCTATCCACATATCCTCTTGCAGATTCTACAAAAAGAGTGTTTCAAAGCTGCTCTTTGCAAAGAAAGGTTCAACTCTGTCAGTAGAGGGCACACATCACAAATAAGTTTCTGAGAATGCTTCTGTCTAGTTTTTATGGGAAGATATTTCCTTTTTCACCTTAGGCCTGAAAGCAATCCATATGTTCACTTACAGACACTACAAAAAGAGTGTTTCAAACCTGCTCTGTGAAAGGGAGTGTTCAATTCTGTGACTTGAATGCAAACATCACAAAGTAGTTTCTGACAATGCTGCTGTCTGCTTTTTATACGTATTCCCGTTTCCAACGAATTCCTCCAAGCTGGCCTAATACCCACTTGCATATTCCACAAAAAGAGTGTTTCAAAACTGCTCTCCCAAAAGAAAGGTTCAACTCTGTTTGCTGAGTAGATACATCATGAAAAAAGTTCTGACATTGCTTCTATCTAGTTTTTATTGGAAGATATCTCCTTTTTCACCGTAGACCTGAAAGCGCTCCAAATGTCCACTTCCAGATAGTACAAAAAGAGTGTTTCAAACCTGCTCTATGAAAGGGAATGTTCAACACTGGGACTTCAATTGAAACATCCCAAAGCAGTTTCTGAGAATGCTTCTGTCTAGAGTTTACATGAAGACATTCCCGTTTCCAACGAAATCCTCAAAGCTATCCAAATATCCTCTTGCAGATTTTACAAAAAGTGTGTCTCAGAACTGCTCTATCAAAACAAAGGTTCAACACTGTCAGTTGAGGGCACACATCACAAATAAGTTTCTGAGAATGCTTCTGTCTAGTTTTCATGGGAAGATATTTCCTTTTTCACCATAGGCCTGAAAGCGATCCAAATGTCCACATCCAGATACTACAAAAAGAGTGTTTCCAACCTGCTCTATGAAAGGGAATGTTCAACTCTGTGACTTGAATGCAAACATCACAAAGAAGTTTCTGAGAATGCTGCTGTCTGCTTTTTGTATGTAATCCCGTTTCCAACGAAATCCTCCCAGCTAGCCAAATATCCACTTGCAGATTCCGCAAAAAGAGTGTTTCAAAACTGCTCCTTCAAAACGATGGTTTAGTTCTGTTAGTTGAGTACATACATCACAGATAAGTTTCTGAGAATGCTTCTGTCTAGTTTTTATGGGAGGATATTTCCTTTTTCAACACAAGCCTGAATGCGCTCCGAATGGACACTTCCAGATATGACAAAAGGCGTGTTTCAAACCTGCTCTCTCAAAGGGAATGTTCAACTCTGTGACTTCAATGCAAACATCACAAAGAAGTTTCTGAGAATGCTGCTGTCTGCTTTTTACATGTATTCCCGTTTCCAACGAAATCCTCAAAGCTGCCCTAATATCCACTTGCATATTCCACAAAAAGAGTGTTGCAAAACTGCTCTCTCAAAAGAAAGGTTCAACTCTGTTAGCTGAGTAGATCCATCACAGAAAAGTTTCTGACGTTGCTTCTATCTAGATTTTCTTGGAAGATATTTCCATTTTCACCGTCGTCCTGAAAGCGCTCCAAATGTCCACTTCCAGGGAATGCAGAAAGAGTGTTTCCAACCTGCTCTATAAAAGGGAATGTTCAACACTGGGACTTCAATCGAAACATCCCAACGAAGTTTCTGAGAATGCTTCTGTCTAGAGTTTATATGAAGCCATTCCCGTTTGCAACGAAATCCTCAAAGCTATCCAAATATCCTCTTGCAGATTTTACAAAAAGAGTGTTTCAAAACTGCTCTATCAAAAGAAAGGTTCAACTCTGTTAGTTGAGGGCACACATCACAAATAAACTTCTGAGAATGCTTCTGTCTAGTTTTTACGGGAAGATATTTCCTTTTTCACCATACGCCTGAAAGCGCTCCAAATGTCCTCATCCAGATACTACAAAAAGAGTGTTTCCAACCTGCTCTATGAAAGGGAATGCTCAACTCTGTGAATTGAATGCAGACATCACAAAGAAGTTTCTGAGAATGCTGCTGTCTCCTTTTTATATGTAATCCCGTTTCCAACGAAATCCTCAAAGCTAGCCAAATATCCACTTGCAGATTCCACGAAAACAGTGTTTCAAAACTGCTCCTTCAAAACGATGGTTCAATCCTGTTAGTTGAGCAAACACATCACAAATAAGTTTCTGAGAATGCTTCCGTCTAGTTTTTATGGGAAGATATATCCTTTTTCAACATAGGCCTGAAAGCGTTCCAAATGTCCACTTCCAGATACTACAAAAGAGTGTTTCAAATCTGCTCTATGAATGGGAATGTTCTACTCTGTGACTTGAATGCAACATCCCAAAGAAGTTTCTGAGAATGCTTCTGTCTAGAGTTTATCTGAAGACATACCCGTTTCCAACGAAATCCTCAAAGCTATCCAAATATCCTCTTGCAGATTCTACAAAAAGAGTGTTTCAAAGCTGCTCTTTGCAAAGAAAGGTTCAACTCTGTCAGTAGAGGGCACACATCACGAACAAGTTTCTGAGAATGCTTCTGTCTAGTTTTTATGGGAAGATATTTCCTTTTTCACGTTAGGCCTGAAAGCACGCCAAATGTTCACTTATAGACACTACAAAAAGAGTGTTTCACACCTGCTCTGTGAAAGGGAATGTTCAACACTGTGACTTCAATTGAAACATCCCAAAGAAGTTTCTGAGAATGCTTCTGTCTAGAGTTTATCTGAAGACATTCCCGTTTCCCAAGAAATCCTCAAAGCTATCCAAACATCCTCTTGCAGATTCTACAAAAAGAGTGTTTCAAAACTGCTCTTTGCAAAGAAAGGTTCAACTCTGTCAGTAGAGGGCACACATCACAAACAAGTTTCTGAGAATGCTTCTGTCTAGTTTTTATGGGAAGATATTTCCTTTTTCACCTTAGGCCTGAAAGCAATCCAAATGTTCACTTACAGACACTACAAAAAGAGTGTTTCAAACCTGCTCTGTGAAAGGGAGTTTTCAATTCTGTGACTTGAATGCAAACATCACAAAGTAGTTTCTGACAATGCTGCTGTCTGCTTTTTATACGTATTCCCGTTTCCAAGGGAAATCCTCCAAGCTGGCCTAATACCCACTTGCATATTCCACAAAAAGAGTGTTTCAAAACTGCTCTCTCAAAAGAAAGGTTCAACTCTGTTTGCTGAGTAGATACATCATGAAAAAAGTTCTGACATTGCTTCTATCTAGTTTTTATTGGAAGATATCTCCTTTTTCACCGTAGACCTGAAATCCCTCCAAATGTCCACTTCCAGATACTACAAAAAGAGTGTTTCAAACCTGCTCTATGAATGGGAATGTTCAACACTGGGACTTCAATTGAAACATCCCAAAGCAGTTTCTGAGAATGCTTCTGTCTAGAGTTTACATGAAGACATTCCCGTTTCCAACGAAATCCTCAAAGCTATCCAAATATCCTCTTGCAGATTTTACAAAAAGTGTGTTTCAGAACTGCTCTATCAAAACAAAGGTTCAACACTGTCAGTTGAGGGCACACATCACAAATAAGTTTCTGAGAATGCTTCTGTCTAGTTTTCATGGGAAGATATTTCCTTTTTCACCATAGGCCTGAAAGCGATCCAAATGTCCACATCCAGATACTACAAAAAGAGTGTTTCAAACCTGCTCTATGAAAGGGAATGTTCAACTCTGTGACTTGAATGCAAACATCACAAAGAAGTTTCTGAGAATGCTGCTGTCTCCTTTTTATATGTAATCCCGTTTCCAACGAAATCCTGAAAGCTAGCCAAATATCCACTTGCAGATTCCACGAAAACAGTGTTTCAAAACTGCTCCTTCAAAACGATGGTTCAATCCTGTTAGTTGAGCAAACACATCACAATTAAGTTTCTGAGAATGCTTCCGTCTAGTTTTTATGGGAAGATATTTCCTTTTTCAACATAGGCCTGAAAGCGCTCCAAATGTCCACTTCCAGATACTACAAAAAGAGTGTTTCAAATCTGCTCTATGAATGGGAATGTTCTACTCTGTGACTTGAATGCAACATCCCAAAGAAGTTTCTGAGAATGCTTCTGTCTAGAGTTTATCTGAAGACATACCCGTTTCCAACGAAATCCTCAAAGCTATCCAAATATCCTCTTGCAGATTCTACAAAAAGTGTGTTTCAAAGCTGCTCTTTGCAAAGAAAGGTTCAACTCTGTCAGTAGAGGGCACACATCACGAACAAGTTTCTGAGAATGCTTCTGTCTAGTTTTTATGGGAAGATATTTCCTTTTTCACGTTAGGCCTGAAAGCACGCCAAATGTTCACTTATAGACACTACAAAAAGAGTGTTTCAAACCTGCTCTGTGAAAGGGAATGTTCAACACTGTGACTTCAATTGAAATATCCCAAAGAAGTTTCTGAGAATGCTTCTGTCTAGAGTTTATCTGAAGACATTCCCGTTTCCCAAGAAATCCTCAAAGCTATCCAAATATCCTCTTGCAGATTCTACAAAAAGAGTGTTTCAAAACTGCTCTTTGCAAAGAAAGGTTCAACTCTGTCAGTAGAGGGCACACATCACAAACAAGTTTCTGAGAATGCTTCTGTCTAGTTTTTATGGGAAGATATTTCCTTTTTCACCTTAGGCCTGAAAGCAATCCAAATGTTCACTTACAGACACTACAAAAAGAGTGTTTCAAACCTGCTCTGTGAAAGGGAGTGTTCAATTCTGTGACTTGAATGCAAACATCACAAAGTAGTTTCTGACAATGCTGCTGTCTGCTTTTTATACGTATTCCCGTTTCCAACGAAATCCTCCAAGCTGGCCTAATACCCACTTGCATATTCCACAAAAAGAGTGTTTCAAAACTGCTCTCTCAAAAGAAAGGTTCAACTCTGTTTGCTGAGTAGATACATCATGAAAAAAGTTCTGACATTGCTTCTATCTAGTTTTTATTGGAAGATATCTCCTTTTTCACCGTAGACCTGAAAGCGCTCCAAATGTCCACTTCCAGATACTACAAAAAGAGTGTTTCAAACCTGCTCTATGAAAGGGAATGTTCAACACTGGGACTTCAATAGAAACATCCCAAAGCAGTTTCTGAGAATGCTTCTGTCTAGAGTTTACATGAAGACATTCCCGTTTCCAACGAAATCCTCAAAGCTATCCAAATATCCTCTTGCAGATTTTACAAAAAGTGTGTTTCAGAACTGCTCTATCAAAACAAAGGTTCAACACTGTCAGTTGAGGGCACACATCACAAATAAGTTTCTGAGAATGCTTCTGTCTAGTTTTCATGGGAAGATATTTCCTTTTTCACCATAGGCCTGAAAGCGATCCAAATGTCCACATCCAGATACTACAAAAAGAGTGTTTCAAACCTGCTCTATGAAAGGGAATGTTCAACTCTGTGACTTGAATGCAAACATCACAAAGAAGTTTCTGAGAATGCTGCTGTCTGCTTTTTGTATGTAATCCCGTTTCCAACGAAATCCTCCCAGCTAGCCAAATATCCACTTGCAGATTCCGCAAAAAGAGTGTTTCAAAACTGCTCCTTCAAAACGATGGTTTAGTTCTGTTAGTTGAGTACATACATCACAGATAAGTTTCTGAGAATGCTTCTGTCTAGTTTTTATGGGAGGATATTTCCTTCTTCAACACAAGCCTGAATGCGCTCCGAATGGACACTTCCAGATATGACAAAAGGCGTGTTTCAAACCTGCTCTCTCAAAGGGAATGTTCAACTCTGTGACTTCAATGAAAAGATCACAAAGAAGTTTCTGAGAATGCTGCTGTCTGTTTTTTACATGTATTCCCGTTTCCAACGAAATCCTCAAAGCTGCCCTAATATCCACTTGCATATTCCACAAAAAGAGTGTTGCAAAACTGCTCTCTCAAAAGAAAGGTTCAACTCTGTTAGCTGAGTAGATCCATCACATAAAAGTTTCTGACGTTGCTTCTATCTAGATTTTATTGGAAGATATTTCCATTTTCACCGTCGTCCTGAAAGCGCTCCAAATGTCCACTTCCAGGGAATGCAGAAAGAGTGTTTCCAACCTGCTCTATAAAAGGGAATGTTCAACACTGGGACTTCAATCGAAACATCCCAACGAAGTTTCTGAGAATGCTTCTGTCTAGAGTTTATATGAAGCCATTCCCGTTTGCAATGAAATCCTCCAAGCTATCCAAATATCCTCTTGCAGATTTTACAAAAAGAGTGTTTCAAAACTGCTCTATCAAAAGAAAGGTTCAACTCTGTTAGTTGAGGGCACACATCACAAATAAATTTCTGAGAATCCTTCTGTCTAGTTTTCATGGGAAGATATTTCCTTTTTCACCATAGGCCTGAAAGCCGATCCAAATGTCCACATCCAGATACTACAAAAAGAGTGTTTCAAACCTGCTCTATGAAAGGGAATGTTCAACTCTGTGACTTGAATGGAAACATCACAAAGAAGTTTCTGAGAATGCTGCTGTCTGCTTTTTGTATGTAATCCCGTTTCCAACGAAATCCTCCCAGCTAGCCAAATATCCACTTGCAGATTCCGCAAAAAGAGTGTTTCAAAACTGCTCCTTCAAAACGATGGTTTAGTTCTGTTAGTTGAGTACATACATCACAGATAAGTTTCTGAGAATGCTTCTGTCTAGTTTTTATGGGAGGATATTTCCTTTTTCAACACAAGCCTGAATGCGCTCCGAATGGACACTTCCAGATATGACAAAAGGCGTGTTTCAAACCTGCTCTCTCAAAGGGAATGTTCAACTCTGTGACTTCAATGCAAACATCACAAAGAAGTTTCTGAGAATGCTGCTGTCTGCTTTTTACATGTATTCCCGTTTCCAACGAAATCCTCAAAGCTGCCCTAATATCCACTTGCATATTCCACAAAAAGAGTGTTGCAAAACTGCTCTCTCAAAAGAAAGGTTCAACTCTGTTAGCTGAGTAGATCCATCACAGAAAAGTTTCTGACGTTGCTTCTATCTAGATTTTCTTGGAAGATATTTCCATTTTCACCGTCGTCCTGAAAGCGCTCCAAATGTCCACTTCCAGGGAATGCAGAAAGAGTGTTTCCAACCTGCTCTATAAAAGGGAATGTTCAACACTGGGACTTCAATCGAAACATCCCAACGAAGTTTCTGAGAATGCTTCTGTCTAGAGTTTATATGAAGCCATTCCCGTTTGCAACGAAATCCTCAAAGCTATCCAAATATCCTCTTGCAGATTTTACAAAAAGAGTGTTTCAAAACTGCTCTATCAAAAGAAAGGTTCAACTCTGTTAGTTGAGGGCACACATCACAAATAAATTTCTGAGAATGCTTCTGTCTAGTTTTTACGGGAAGATATTTCCTTTTTCACCATAGGCCTGAAAGCGCTCCAAATGTCCTCATCCAGATACTACAAAAAGAGTGTTTCCAACCTGCTCTATGAAAGGGAATGCTCAACTCTGTGACTTGAATGCAGACAGCACAAAGAAGTTTCTGAGAATGCTGCTGTCTCCTTTTTATATGTAATCCCGTTTCCAACGAAATCCTCAAAGCTAGCCAAATATCCACTTGCAGATTCCACGAAAACAGTGTTTCAAAACTGCTCCTTCAAAACGATGGTTCAATCCTGTTAGTTGAGCAAACACATCACAAATAAGTTTCTGAGAATGCTTCCGTCTAGTTTTTATGGGAAGATATTTCCTTTTTCAACATAGGCCTGAAAGCGCTCCAAATGTCCACTTCCAGATACTACAAAAAGAGTGTTTCAAATCTGCTCTATGAATGGGAATGTTCTACTCTGTGACTTGAATGCAACATCCCAAAGAAATTTCTGAGAATGCTTCTGTCTAGAGTTTATCTGAAGACATACCCGTTTCCAACGAAATCCTCAAAGCTATCCAAATATCCTCTTGCAGATTCTACAAAAAGTGTGTTTCAAAGCTGCTCTTTGCAAAGAAAGGTTCAACTCTGTCAGTAGAGGGCACACATCACGAACAAGTTTCTGAGAATGCTTCCGTCTAGTTTTTATGGGAAGATATTTCCTTTTTCACGTTAGGCCTGAAAGCACGCCAAATGTTCACTTATAGACACTACAAAAAGAGTGTTTCAAACCTGCTCTGTGAAAGGGAATGTTCAACACTGTGACTTCAATTGAAACATCCCAAAGAAGTTTCTGAGAATGCTTCTGTCTAGAGTTTATCTGAAGACATTCCCGTTTCCCAAGAAATCCTCAAAGCTATCCAAATATCCTCTTGCAGATTCTACAAAAAGAGTGTTTCAAAACTGCTCTTTGCAAAGAAAGGTTCAACTCTGTCAGTAGAGGGCACACATCACAAACAAGTTTCTGAGAATGCTTCTGTCTAGTTTTTATGGGAAGATATTTCCTTTTTCACCTTAGGCCTGAAAGCAATCCAAATGTTCACTTACAGACACTACAAAAAGAGTGTTTCAAACCTGCTCTGTGAAAGGGAGTGTTCAATTCTGTGACTTGAATGCAAACCTCACAAAGTAGTTTCTGACAATGCTGCTGTCTGCTTTTTATACGTATTCCCGTTTCCAACGAAATCCTCCAAGCTGGCCTAATACCCACTTGCATATTCCACAAAAAGAGTGTTTCAAAACTGCTCTCTCAAAAGAAAGGTTCAACTCTGTTTGCTGAGTAGATACATCATGAAAAAAGTTCTGACATTGCTTCTATCTACTTTTTATTGGAAGATATCTCCTTTTTCACCGTAGACCTGAAAGCGCTCCAAATGTCCACTTCCAGATAGTACAAAAAGAGTGTTTCAAACCTGCTCTATAAAAGGGAATGTTCAACACTGGGACTTCAATTGAAACATCCCAAAGCAGTTTCTGAGAATGCTTCTGTCTAGAGTTTACATGAAGACATTCCCGTTTCCAACGAACTCCTCAAAGCTATCCAAATATCCTCTTGCAGATTTTACAAAAAGTGTGTTTCAGAACTGCTCTATCAAAACAAAGGTTCAACACTGTCAGTTGAGGGCACACATCACAAATAAGTTTCTGAGAATGCTTCTGTCTAGTTTTCATGGGAAGATATTTCCTTTTTCACCATAGGCCTGAAAGCGATCCAAATGTCCACATCCAGATACTACAAAAAGAGTGTTTCAAACCTGCTCTATGAAAGGGAATGTTCAACTCTGTGACTTGAATGCAAACATCACAAAGAAGTTTCTGAGAATGCTGCTCTCTGCTTTTTGTATGTAATCCCGTTTCCAACGAAATCCTCCCAGCTAGCCAAATATCCACTTGCAGATTCCGCAAAAAGAGTGTTTCAAAACTGCTCCGTCAAAACGATGGTTTAGTTCTGTTAGTTGAGTACATACATCACAAATAAGTTTCTGAGAATGCTTCTGTATACTTTTTATGGGAGGATATTTCCTTTTTCAACACAAGCCTGAATGCGCTCCGAATGGACACTTCCAGATATGACAAAAGGCGTTTTTCAATCCTGCTCTCTCAAAGGGAATGTTCAACTCTGTGACTTCAATGCAAACATCACAAAGAAGTTTCTGAGAATGCTGCTGTCTGCTTTTTACATGTATTCCCGTTTCCAACGAAATCCTCAAAGCTGCCCTAATATCCACTTGCATATTCCACAAAAAGAGTGTTGCAAAACTGCTCTCTCAAAAGAAAGGTTCAACTCTGTTAGCTGAGTAGATCCATCACATAAAAGTTTCTGACATTGCTTCTATCTAGATTTTCTTGGAAGATATTTCCATTTTCACCGTCGTCCTGAAAGCGCTCCAAATGTCCACTTCCAGGGAATGCAGAAAGAGTGTTTCCAACCTGCTCTATAAAAGGGAATGTTCAACACTGGGACTTCAATCGAAACATCCCAACGAAGTTTCTGAGAATGCTTCTGTCTAGAGTTTATATGAAGCCATTCCCGTTTGCAACGAAATCCTCAAAGCTATCCAAATATCCTCTTGCAGATTTTACAAAAAGAGTGTTTCAAAACTGCTCTATCAAAAGAAAGGTTCAACTCTGTTAGTTGAGGGCACACATCACAAATAAACTTCTGAGAATGCTTCTGTCTAGTTTTTACGGGAAGATATTTCCTTTTTCACCATACGCCTGAAAGCGCTCCAAATGTCCTCATCCAGATACTACAAAAAGAGTGTTTCCAACGTGCTCTATGAAAGGGAATGCTCAACTCTGTGAATTGAATGCAGACATCACAAAGAAGTTTCTGAGAATGCTGCTGTCTCCTTTGTATATGTAATCCCGTTTCCAACGAAATCCTCAAAGCTAGCCAAATATCCACTTGCAGATTCCACGAAAACAGTGTTTCAAAACTGCTCCTTCAAAACGATGGTTCAATCCTGTTAGTTGAGCAAACACATCACAAATAAGTTTCTGAGAATGCTTCCGTCTAGTTTTTATGGGAAGACATTTCCTTTTTCAACATAGGCCTGAAAGCGCTCCAAATGTCCACTTCCAGATACTACAAAAAGAGTGTTTCAAATCTGCTCTATGAATGGGAATGTTCTACTCTGTGACTTGAATGCAACATCCCAAAGAAGTTTCTGAGAATGCTTCTGTCTAGAGTTTATCTGAAGACATACCCGTTTCCAACGAAATCCTCCAAGCTATCCAAATATCCTCTTGCAGATTCTACAAAAAGTGTGTTTCAAAGCTGCTCTTTGCAAAGAAAGGTTCAACTCTGTCAGTAGAGGGCACACATCACGAACAAGTTTCTGAGAATGCTTCTGTCTAGTTTTTATGGGAAGATATTTCCTTTTTCACGTTAGGCCTGAAAGCACGCCAAATGTTCACTTATAGACACTACAAAAAGAGTGTTTCAAACCTGCTCTGTGAAAGGGAATGTTCAACACTGTGACTTCAATTGAAACATCCCAAAGAAGTTTCTGAGAATGCTTCTGTCTAGAGTTTATCTGAAGACATTCCCGTTTCCCAAGAAATCCTCAAAGCTATCCAAATATCCTCTTGCAGATTCTACAAAAAGAGTGTTTCAAAACTGGTCTTTGCAAAGAAAGGTTCAAATCTGTCAGTAGAGGGCACACATCACAAACAAGTTTCTGAGAATGCTTCTGTCTAGTTTTTATGGGAAGATATTTCCTTTTTCACCTTAGGCCTGAAAGCAATCCAAATGTTCACTTACAGACACTACAAAAAGAGTGTTTCAAACCTGCTCTGTGAAAGGGAGTGTTCAATTCTGTGACTTGAATGCAAACATCACAAAGTAGTTTCTGACAATGCTGCTGTCTGCTTTTTATACGTAATCCCGTTTCCAACGAAATCCTTCAAGCTGGCCTAATACCCACTTGCATATTCCACAAAAAGAGTGTTTCAAAACTGCTCTCTCAAAAGAAAGGTTCAACTCTGTTTGCTGAGTAGATACATCATGAAAAAAGTTCTGACATTGCTTCTATCTAGTTTTTATTGGAAGATATCTCCTTTTTCACCGTAGACCTGAAAGCGCTCCAAATGTCCACTTCCAGATAGTACAAAAAGAGTGTTTCAAACCTGCTCTATGAATGGGAATGTTCAACACTGGGACTTCAATTGAAACATCCCAAAGCAGTTTCTGAGAATGCTTCTGTGTAGAGTTTACATGAAGACATTCCCGTTTCCAACGAAATCCTCAAAGCTATCCAAATATCCTCTTGCAGATTTTACAAAAAGTGTGTTTCAGAACTGCTCTATCAAAACAAAGGTTCAACACTGTCAGTTGAGGGCACACATCACAAACAAGTTTCTGAGAATGCTGCTGTCTGCTTTTTGTATGTAATCCCGTTTCCAACGAAATCCTCCCAGCTAGCCAAATATCCACTTGCAGATTCCGCAAAAAGAGTGTTTCAAAACTGCTCCTTCAAAACGATGGTTTAGTTCGGTTAGTTGAGTACATACATCACAGATAAGTTTCTGAGAATGCTTCTGTCTAGTTTTTATGGGAGGATATTTTCTTTTTCAACACAAGCCTGAATGCGCTCCGAATGGACACTTCCAGATATGACAAAAGGCGTGTTTCAAACCTGCTCTCTGAAAGGGAATGTTCAACTCTGTGACTTCAATGCAAACATCACAAAGAAGTTTCTGAGAATGCTGCTGTCTGCTTTTTACATGTATTCCCGTTTCCAACGAAATCCTCAAAGCTGCCCTAATATCCACTTGCATATTCCACAAAAAGAGTGTTGCAAAACTGCTCTCTCAAAAGAAAGGTTCAACTCTGTTAGCTGAGTAGATCCATCACAGAAAAGTTTCTGACATTGCTTCTATCTAGATTTTATTGGAAGATATTTCCATTTTCACCGTCGTCCTGAAAGCGCTCCAAATGTCCACTTCCAGGGAATGCAAAAAGAGTGTTTCCAACCTGCTCTATAAAAGGGAATGTTCAACACTGGGACTTCAATCGAAACATCCCAACGAAGTTTCTGAGAATGCTTCTGTCTAGAGTTTATATGAAGCCATTCCCGTTTGCAACGAAATCCTCAAAGCTATCCAAATATCCTCTTGCAGATTTTACAAAAAGAGTGTTTCAAAACTGCTCTATCAAAAGAAAGGTTCAACTCTGTTAGTTGAGGGCACACATCACAAATAAATTTCTGAGAATGCTTCTGTCTAGTTTTCATGGGAAGATATTTCCTTTTTCACCATAGGCCTGAAAGCGATCCAAATGTCCACATCCAGATACTACAAAAAGAGTGTTTCAAACCTGCTCTATGAAAGGGAATGTTCAACTCTGTGACTTGAATGCAAACATCACAAAGTAGTTTCTGAAAATGCTGCTGTCTGCTTTTTGTATGTAATCCCGTTTCCAACGAAATCCTCCCAGCTAGCCAAATATCCACTTGCAGATTCCGCAAAAAGAGTGTTTCAAAACTGCTCCTTCAAAACGATGGTTTAGTTCTGTTAGTTGAGTACATACATCACAGATAAGTTTCTGAGAATGCTTCTGTCTAGTTTTTATTGGAGGATATTTCCTTTTTCAACACAAGCCTGAATGCGCTCCGAATGGACACTTCCAGATATGACAAAAGGCGTGTTTCAAACCTGCTCTCTCAAAGGGAATGTTCAACTCTGTGACTTCAATGCAAACATCACAAAGAAGTTTCTGAGAATGCTGCTGTCTGCTTTTTACATGTATTCCCGTTTCCAACGAAATCCTCAAAGCTGCCCTAATATCCACTTGCATATTCCACAAAAAGAGTGTTGCAAAACTGCTCTCTCAAAAGAAAGGTTCAACTCTGTTAGCTGAGTAGATCCATCACAGAAAAGTTTCTGACGTTGCTTCTATCTAGATTTTCTTGGAAGATATTTCCATTTTCACCGTCGTCCTGAAAGCGCTCCAAATGTCCACTTCCAGGGAATGCAGAAAGAGTGTTTCCAACCTGCTCTATAAAAGGGAATGTTCAACACTGGGACTTCAATCGAAACATCCCAACGAAGTTTCTGAGAATGCTTCTGTCTAGAGTTTATATGAAGCCATTCCCGTTTGCAACGAAATCCTCAAAGCTATCCAAATATCCTCTTGCAGATTTTACAAAAAGAGTGTTTCAAAACTGCTCTATCAAAAGAAAGGTTCAACTCTGTTAGTTGAGGGCACACATCACAAATAAACTTCTGAGAATGCTTCTGTCTAGTTTTTACGGGAAGATATTTCCTTTTTCACCATACGCCTGAAAGCGCTCCAAATGTCCTCATCCAGATACTACAAAAAGAGTGTTTCCAACCTGCTCTATGAAAGGGAATGCTCAACTCTGTGAATTGAATGCAGACATCACAAAGAAGTTTCTGAGAATGCTGCTGTCTCCTTTGTATATGTAATCCCGTTTCCAACGAAATCCTCAAAGCTAGCCAAATATCCACTTGCAGATTCTACGAAAACAGTGTTTCAAAACTGCTCCTTCAAAACGATGGTTCAATCCTGTTAGTTGAGCAAACACATCACAAATAAGTTTCTGAGAATGCTTCCGTCTAGTTTTTATGGGAAGATATTTCCTTTTTCAACATAGGCCTGAAAGCGCTCCAAATGTCCACTTCCAGATACTACAAAAAGAGTGTTTCAAATCTGCTCTATGAATGGGAATGTTCTACTCTGTGACTTGAATGCAACATCCCAAAGAAGTTTCTGAGAATGCTTCTGTCTAGAGTTTATCTGAAGACATACCCGTTTCCAACGAAATCCTCAAAGCTATCCAAATATCCTCTTGCAGATTTTACAAAAAGTGTGTTTCAGAACTGCTCTATCAAAACAAAGGTTCAACTCTGTCAGTAGAGGGCACACATCATGAATAAGTTTCTGAGAATGCTTCTGTCTAGTTTTTATGGGAAGATATTTCCTTTTTCACGTTAGGCCTGAAAGCACGCCAAATGTTCACTTATAGACACTACAAAAAGAGTGTTTCAAACCTGCTCTGTGAAAGGGAATGTTCAACACTGTGACTTCAATTGAAACATCCCAAAGAAGTTTCTGAGAATGCTTCTGTCTAGAGTTTATCTGAAGACATTCCCGTTTCCCAAGAAATCCTCAAAGCTATCCAAATATCCTCTTGCAGATTCTACAAAAAGAGTGTTTCAAAACTGGTCTTTGCAAAGAAAGGTTCAACTCTGTCAGTAGAGGGCACACATCACAAACAAGTTTCTGAGAATGCTTCTGTCTAGTTTTTATGGGAAGATATTTCCTTTTTCACCTTAGGCCTGAAAGCAATCCAAATGTTCACTTACAGACACTACAAAAAGAGTGTTTCAAACCTGCTCTGTGAAAGGGAGTGTTCAATTCTGTGACTTGAATGCAAACATCACAAAGTAGTTTCTGACAATGCTGCTGTCTGCTTTTTATACGTATTCCCGTTTCCAACGAAATCCTCCAAGCTGGCCTAATACCCACTTGCATATTCCACAAAAAGAGTGTTTCAAAACTGCTCTCTCAAAAGAAAGGTTCAACTCTGTTTGCTGAGTAGATACATCATGAAAAAAGTTCTGACATTGCTTCTATCTAGTTTTTATTGGAAGATATCTCCTTTTTCACCGTAGACCTGAAAGCGCTCCAAATGTCCACTTCCAGATAGTACAAAAAGAGTGTTTCAAACCTGCTCTATGAAAGGGAATGTTCAACACTGGGACTTCAATTGAAACATCCCAAAGCAGTTTCTGAGAATGCTTCCTGTCTAGAGTTTACATGAAGACATTCCCGTTTCCAACGAAATCCTCAAAGCTATCCAAATATCCTCTTGCAGATTTTACAAAAAGTGTGTTTCAGAACTGCTCTATCAAAACAAAGGTTCAACACTGTCAGTTGAGGGCACACATCACAAATAAGTTTCTGAGAATGCTTCTGTCTAGTTTTCATGGGAAGATATTTCCTTTTTCACCATAGGCCTGAAAGCGATCCAAATGTCCACATCCAGATACTACAAAAAGAGTGTTTCAAACCTGCTCTATGAAAGGGAATGTTCAACTCTGTGACTTGAATGCAAACATCACAAAGAAGTTTCTGAGAATGCTGCTGTCTGCTTTTTGTATGTAATCCCGTTTCCAACGAAATCCTCCCAGCTAGCCAAATATCCACTTGCAGATTCCGCAAAAAGAGTGTTTCAAAACTGCTCCTTCAAAACGATGGTTTAGTTCTGTTAGTTGAGTACATACATCACAAATAAGTTTCTGAGAATGCTTCTGTATAGTTTTTATGGGAGGATATTTCCTTTTTCAACACAAGCCTGAATGCGCTCCGAATGGACACTTCCAGATATGACAAAAGGCGTGTTTCAAACCTGCTCTCTCAAAGGGAATGTTCAACTCTGTGACTTCAATGCAAACATCACAAAGAAGTTTCTGAGAATGCTGCTGTCTGCTTTTTACATGTATTCCCGTTTCCAACGAAATCCTCAAAGCTGCCCTAATATCCACTTGCATATTCCACAAAAAGAGTGTTGCAAAACTGCTCTCTCAAAAGAAAGGTTCAACTCTGTTAGCTGAGTAGATCCATCACATAAAAGTTTCTGACATTGCTTCTATCTAGATTTTCTTGGAAGATATTTCCATTTTCACCGTCGTCCTGAAAGCGCTCCAAATGTCCACTTCCAGGGAATGCAGAAAGAGTGTTTCCAACCTGCTCTATAAAAGGGAATGTTCAACACTGGGACTTCAATCGAAACATCCCAACGAAGTTTCTGAGAATGCTTCTGTCTAGAGTTTATATGAAGCCATTCCCGTTTGCAACGAAATCCTCAAAGCTATCCAAATATCCTCTTGCAGATTTTACAAAAAGAGTGTTTCAAAACTGCTCTATCAAAAGAAAGGTTCAACTCTGTTAGTTGAGGGCACACATCACAAATAAATTTCTGAGAATGCTTCTGTCTAGTTTTTACGGGAAGATATTTCCTTTTTCACCATACGCCTGAAAGCGCTCCAAATGTCCTCATCCAGATACTACAAAAAGAGTGTTTCCAACCTGCTCTATGAAAGGGAATGCTCAACTCTGTGAATTGAATGCAGACATCACAAAGAAGTTTCTGAGAATGCTGCTGTCTCCTTTTTATATGTAATCCCGTTTCCAACGAAATCCTCAAGCTAGCCAAATATCCACTTGCAGATTCCACGAAAACAGTGTTTCAAAACTGCTCCTTCAAAACGATGGTTCAATCCTGTTAGTTGAGCAAACACATCACAAATAAGTTTCTGAGAATGCTTCCGTCTAGTTTTTATGGGAAGATATTTCCTTTTTCAACATAGGCCTGAAAGCGCTCCAAATGTCCTCTTCCAGATACTACAAAAAGAGTGTTTCAAATCTGCTCTATGAATGGGAATGTTCTACTCTGTGACTTGCATGCAACATCCCAAAGAAGTTTCTGAGAATGCTTCTGTCTAGAGTTTATCTGAAGACATACCCGTTTCCAACGAAATCCTCCAAGCTATCCAAATATCCTCTTGCAGATTCTACAAAAAGTGTGTTTCAAAGCTGCTCTTTGCAAAGAAAGGTTCAACTCTGTCAGTAGAGGGCACACATCACGAACAAGTTTCTGAGAATGCTTCTGTCTGGTTTTTATGGGAAGATATTTCCTTTTTCACGTTACGCCTGAAAGCACGCCAAATGTTCACTTATAGACACTACAAAAAGAGTGTTTCAAACCTGCTCTGTGAAAGGGAATGTTCAACACTGTGACTTCAATTGAAACATCCCAAAGAAGTTTCTGAGAATGCTTCTGTCTAGAGTTTATCTGAAGACATTCCCGTTTCCCAAGAAATCCTCAAAGCTATCCAAATATCCTCTTGCAGATTCTACAAAAAGAGTGTTTCAAAACTGCTCTTTGCAAAGAAAGGTTCAACTCTGTCAGTAGAGGGCACACATCACAAACAAGTTTCTGAGAATGCTTCTGTCTAGTTTTTATGGGAAGATATTTCCTTTTTCACCTTAGGCCTGAAAGGAATCCAAATGTTCACTTACAGACACTTCAAAAAGAGTGTTTCAAACCTGCTCTGTGAAAGGGAGTGTTCAATTCTGTGACTTGAATGCAAACATCACAAAGTAGTTTCTGACAATGCTGCTGTCTGCTTTTTATACGTATTCCCGTTTCCAACGAAATCCTCCAAGCTGGCCTAATACCCACTTGCATATTCCACAAAAAGAGTGTTTCAAAACTGCTCTCTCAAAAGAAAGGTTCAACTCTGTTAGCTGAGTAGATACATCATGAAAAAAGTTCTGACTTTGCTTCTATCTAGTTTTTATTGGAAGATATCTCCTTTTTCACCGTAGACCTGAAAGCGCTCCAAATGTCCACTTCCAGATAGTACAAAAAGAGTGTTTCAAACCTGCTCTATGAATGGGAATGTTCAACACTGGGACTTCAATTGAAACATCCCAAAGCAGTTTCTGAGAATGCTTCTGTGTAGAGTTTACATGAAGACATTCCCGTTTCCAACGAAATCCTCAAAGCTATCCAAATATCCTCTTGCAGATTTTACAAAAAGTGTGTTTCAGAACTGCTCTATCAAAACAAAGGTTCAACACTGTCAGTTGAGGGCACACATCACAAATAAGTTTCTGAGAATGCTTCTGTCTAGTTTTCATGGGAAGATATTTCCTTTTTCACCATAGGCCTGAAAGCGATCCAAATGTCCACATCCAGATACTACAAAAAGAGTGTTTCAAACCTGCTCTATGAAAGGGAATGTTCAACTCTGTGACTTGAATGCAAACATCACAAAGAAGTTTCTGAGAATGCTGCTGTCTGCTTTTTGTATGTAATCCCGTTTCCAACGAAATCCTCCCAGCTAGCCAAATATCCACTTGCAGATTCCGCAAAAAGAGTGTTTCAAAACTGCTCCTTCAAAACGATGGTTTAGTTCTGTTAGTTGAGTACATACATCACAGATAAGTTTCTGAGAATGCTTCTGTCTAGTTTTTATGGGAGGATATTTCCTTTTTCAACACAAGCCTGAATGCGCTCCGAATGGACACTTCCAGATATGACAAAAGGCGTGTTTCAAACCTGCTCTCTCAAAGGGAATGTTCAACTCTGTGACTTCAATGCAAACATCACAAAGAAGTTTCTGAGAATGCTGCTGTCTGCTTTTTACATGTATTCCCGTTTCCAACGAAATCCTCAAAGCTGCCCTAATATCCACTTGCATATTCCACAAAAAGAGTGTTGCAAAACTGCTCTCTCAAAAGAAAGCTTCAACTCTGTTAGCTGAGTAGATCCATCACATAAAAGTTTCTGACATTGCTTCTATCTAGATTTTCTTGGAAGATATTTCCATTTTCACCGTCGTCCTGAAAGCGCTCCAAATGTCCACTTCCAGGGAATGCAAAAAGAGTGTTTCCAACCTGCTCTATAAAAGGGAATGTTCAACACTGGGACTTCAATCGAAACATCCCAACGAAGTTTCTGAGAATGCTTCTGTCTAGAGTTTATATGAAGCCATTCCCGTTTGCAACGAAATCCTCAAAGCTATCCAAATATCCTCTTGCAGATTTTACAAAAAGAGTGTTTCAAAACTGCTCTATCAAAAGAAAGGTTCAACTCTGTTAGTTGAGGGCACACATCACAAATAAATTTCTGAGAATGCTTCTGTCTAGTTTTTACGGGAAGATATTTCCTTTTTCACCATACGCCTGAAAGCGCTCCAAATGTCCTCATCCAGATACTACAAAAAGAGTGTTTCAAACCTGCTCTATGAAAGGGAATGCTCAACTCTGTGACTTGAATGCAGACATCACAAAGAAGTTTCTGAGAATGCTGCTGTCTCCTTTTTATAGGTAATCCCGTTTCCAACGAAATCCTCAAAGCTAGCCAAATATCCACTTGCAGATTCCACGAAAACAGGGTTTCAAAACTGCTCCTTCAAAACGATGGTTCAATTCTGTTAGTTGAGCAAACACATCAGAAATAAGTTTCTGAGAATGCTTCCGTCTAGTTTTTATGGGAAGATATTTCGTTTCTCAACATAGGCCTGAAAGCGCTCCAAATGTCCACTTCCAGATACTACAAAAAGAGTGTTTCAAATCTGCTCTATGAATGGGAATGTTCTACTCTGTGACTTGAATGCAACATCCCAAAGAAGTTTCTGAGAATGCTTCTGTCTAGAGTTTATCTGAAGACATACCCGTTTCCAACGAAATCCTCAAAGCTATCCAAATATCCTCTTGCAGATTCTACAAAAAGAGTGTTTCAAAGCTGCTCTTTGCAAAGAAAGGTTCAACTCTGTCAGTAGAGGGCACACATCATGAACAAGTTTCTGAGAATGCTTCTGTCTAGTTTTTATGGGAAGATATTTCCTTTTTCACGTTAGGCCTGAAAGCACGCCAAATGTTCACTTATAGACACTACAAAAAGAGTGTTTCAAACCTACTCTGTGAAAGGGAATGTTCAACACTGTGACTTCAATTGAAACATCCCAAAGAAGTTTCTGAGAATGCTTCTGTCTAGAGTTTATCTGAAGACATTCCCGTTTCCCAAGAAATCTTCAAAGCTATCCAAATATCCTCTTGCAGATTCTACAAAAAGAGTGTTTCAAAACTGCTCTTTGCAAAGAAAGGTTCAACTCTGTCAGTAGAGGGCACACATCACAAACAAGTTTCTGAGAATGCTTCTGTCTAGTTTTTATGGGAAGATATTTCCTTTTTCACCTTAGGCCTGAAAGCAATCCATATGTTCACTTACAGACACTACAAAAAGAGTGTTTCAAACCTGCTCTGTGAAAGGGAGTGTTCAATTGCTGTGACTTGAATGCAAACATCACAAAGTAGTTTCTGACAATGCTGCTGTCTGCTTTTTATACCTATTCCCGTTTCCAACGAAATCCTCCAAGCTGGACTAATACCCACTTGCATATTCCACAAAAAGAGTGTTTCAAAACTGCTCTCTCAAAAGAAAGGTTCAACTCTGTTTGCTGAGTAGATACATCATGAAAAAAGTTCTGACATTGCTTCTATCTAGTTGTTATTGGAAGATATCTCCTTTTTCACCGTAGACCTGAAAGCGCTCCAAATGTCCACTTCCAGATAGTACAAAAAGAGTGTTTCAAACCTGCTCTATGAAAGGGAATGTTCAACACTGGGACTTCAATTGAAACATCCCAAAGCAGTTTCTGAGAATGCTTCTGTCTAGAGTTTACATGAAGACATTCCCGTTTCCAACGAAATCCTCAAAGCTATCCAAATATCCTCTTGCAGATTTTACAAAAAGTGTGTTTCAGAACTGCTCTATCAAAACAAAGGTTCAACACTGTCAGTTGAGGGCACACATCACAAATAAGTTTCTGAGAATGCTTCTGTCTAGTTTTCATGGGAAGATATTTCCTTTTTCACCATAGGCCTGAAAGCGATCCAAATGTCCACATCCAGATACTACAAAAAGAGTGTTTCAAACCTGCTCTATGAAAGGGAATGCTCAACTCTGTGAATTGAATGCAGACATCACCAAGAAGTTTCTCAGAATGCTGCTGTCTCCTTTTTATATGTAATCCCGTTTCCAACGAAATCCTCAAAGCTAGCCAAATATCCACTTGCAGATTCCACGAAAACAGTGTTTCAAAACTGCTCCTTCAAAACGATGGTTCAATCCTGTTAGTTGAGCAAACACATCACAAATAAGTTTCTGAGAATGCTTCCGTCTAGTTTTTATGGGAAGATATTTCGTTTTTCAACATAGGCCTGAAAGCGCTCCAAATGTCCACTTCCAGATACTACAAAAAGAGTGTTTCAAATCTGCTCTATGAATGGGAATGTTCTACTCTGTGACTTGAATGCAACATCCCAAAGAAGTTTCTGAGAATGCTTCTGTCTAGAGTTTATCTGAAGACATACCCGTTTCCAACGAAATCCTCAAAGCTATCCAAATATCCTCTTGCAGATTCTACAAAAAGTGTGTTTCAAAGCTGCTCTTTGCAAAGAAAGGTTCAACTCTGTCAGTAGAGGGCACACATCACGAACAAGTTTCTGAGAATGCTTCTGTCTAGTTTTTATGGGAAGATATTTCCTTTTTCACGTTAGGCCTGAAAGCACGCCAAATGTTCACTTATAGACACTACAAAAAGAGTGTTTCAAACCTGCTCTGTGAAAGGGAATGTTCAACACTGTGACTTCAATTGAAACATCCCAAAGAAGTTTCTGAGAATGCTTCTGTCTAGAGTTTATCTGAAGACATTCCCGTTTCCCAAGAAATCCTCAAAGCTATCCAAATATCCTCTTGCAGATTCTACAAAAAGAGTGTTTCAAAACTGCTCTTTGCAAAGAAAGTTTCAACTCTGTCAGTAGAGGGCACACATCACAAACAAGTTTCTGAGAATGCTTCTGTCTAGTTTTTATGGGAAGATATTTCCTTTTTCACCTTAGGCCTGAAAGCAATCCAAATGTTCACTTACAGACACTACAAAAAGAGTGTTTCAAACCTGCTCTGTGAAAGGGAGTGTTCAATTCTGTGACTTGAATGCAAACATCACAAAGTAGTTTCTGACAATGCTGCTGTCTGCTTTTTATACGTATTCCCGTTTCCAACGAAATCCTCCAAGCTGGCCTAATACCCACTTGCATATTCCACAAAGACAGTGTCAAAACTGCTCTCTCAAAAGAAAGGTTCAACTCTGTTTGCTGAGTAGATACATCATGAAAAAAGTTCTGACATTGCTTCTATCTAGTTTTTATTGGAAGATATCTCCTTTTTCACCGTAGACCTGAAAGCGCTCCAAATGTCCACTTCCAGATAGTAGAAAAAGAGTGTTTCAAACCTGCTCTATGAATGGGAATGTTCAACACTGGGACTTCAATTGAAACATCCCAAAGCAGTTTCTGAGAATGCTTCTGTGTAGAGTTTACATGAAGACATTCCCGTTTCCAACGAAATCCTCAAAGCTATCCAAATATCCTCTTGCAGATTTTACAAAAAGTGTGTTTCAGAACTGCTCTATCAAAACAAAGGTTCAACACTGTCAGTTGAGGGCACACATCACAAATAAGTTTCTGAGAATGCTTCTGTCTAGTTTTCATGGGAAGATATTTCCTTTTTCACCATAGGCCTGAAAGCGATCCAAATGTCCACATCCAGATACTACAAAAAGAGTGTTTCAAACCTGCTCTATGAAAGGGAATGTTCAACTCTGTGACTTGAATGCAAACATCACAAAGAAGTTTCTGAGAATGCTGCTGTCTGCTTTTTGTATGTAATCCCGTTTCCAACGAAATCCTCCCAGCTAGCCAAATATCCACTTGCAGATTCCGCAAAAAGAGTGTTTCAAAACTGCTCCTTCAAAACGATGGTTTAGTTCTGTTAGTTGAGTACATACATCACAGATAAGTTTCTGAGAATGCTTCTGTCTAGTTTTTATGGGAGGATATTTCCTTTTTCAACACAAGCCTGAATGCGCTCCGAATGGACACTTCCAGATATGACAAAAGGCGTGTTTCAAACCTGCTCTCTCAAAGGGAATGTTCAACTCTGTGACTTCAATGCAAACATCACAAAGAAGTTTCTGAGAATGCTGCTGTCTGCTTTTTACATGTATTCCCGTTTCCAACGAAATCCTCAAAGCTGCCCTAATATCCACTTGCATATTCCACAAAAAGAGTGTTGCAAAACTGCTCTCTCAAAAGAAAGGTTCAACTCTGTTAGCTGAGTAGATCCATCACAGAAAAGTTTCTGACGTTGCTTCTATCTAGATTTTCTTGGAAGATATTTCCATTTTCACCGTCGTCCTGAAAGCGCTCCAAATGTCCACTTCCAGGGAATGCAGAAAGAGTGTTTCCAACCTGCTCTATAAAAGGGAATGTTCAACACTGGGACTTCAATCGAAACATCCCAACGAAGTTTCTGAGAATGCTTCTGTCTAGAGTTTATATGAAGCCATTCCCGTTTGCAACGAAATCCTCAAAGCTATCCAAATATCCTCTTGCAGATTTTACAAAAAGAGTGTTTCAAAACTGCTCTATCAAAAGAAAGGTTCAACTCGGTTAGTTGAGGGCACACATCACAAATAAATTTCTGAGAATGCTTCTGTCTAGTTTTTACGGGAAGATATTTCCTTTTTCACCATACGCCTGAAAGCGATCCAAATGTCCTCATCCAGATACTACAAAAAGAGTGTTTCCAACCTGCTCTATGAAAGGGAATGCTCAACTCTGTGACTTGAATGCAGACATCACAAAGAAGTTTCTGAGAATGTTGCTGTCTCCTTTTTATATGTAATCCCGTTTCCAACGAAATCCTCAAAGCTAGCCAAATATCCACTTGCAGATTCCACGAAAACAGTGTTTCAAAACTGCTCCTTCAAAACGATGGTTCAATCCTGTTAGTTGAGCAAACACATCACAAATAAGTTTCTGAGAATGCTTCCGTCTAGTTTTTATGGGAAGATATTTCCTTTTTCAACATAGGCCTGAAAGCGCTCCAAATGTCCACTTCCAGATACTACAAAAAGAGTGTTTCAAATCTGCTCTATGAATGGGAATGTTCTACTCTGTGACTTGAATGCAACATCCCAAAGAAGTTTCTGAGAATGCTTCTGTCTAGAGTTTATCTGAAGACATACCCGTTTCCAACGAAATCCTCCAAGCTATCCAAATATCCTCTTGCAGATTCTACAAAAAGAGTGTTTCAAAGCTGCTCTTTGCAAAGAAAGGTTCAACTCTGTCAGTAGAGGGGACACATCAAGAACAAGTTTCTGAGAATGCTTCTGTCTAGTTTTTATGGGAAGATATTTCCTTTTTCACGTTAGGCCTGAAAGCACGCCAAATGTTCACTTATAGACACTACAAAAAGAGTGTTTCAAACCTGCTCTGTGAAAGGGAATGTTCAACACTGTGACTTCAATTGAAACATCCCAAAGAAGTTTCTGAGAATGCTTCTGTCTAGAGTTTATCTGAAGACATTCCCGTTTCCCAAGAAATCCTCAAAGCTATCCAAATATCCTCTTGCAGATTCTACAAAAAGAGTGTTTCAAAACTGCTCTTTGCAAAGAAAGGTTCAACTCTGTCAGTAGAGGGCACACATCACAAACTAGTTTCTGAGAATGCTTCTGTCTAGTTTTTATGGGAAGATATTTCCTTTTTCACCTTAGGCCTGAAAGCACGCCAAATGTTCACTTATAGACACTACAAAAAGAGTGTTTCAAACCTGCTCTGTGAAAGGGAGTGTTCAATTCTGTGACTTGAATGCAAACATCACAAAGTAGTTTCTGACAATGCTGCTGTCTGCTTTTTATACGTATTCCCGTTTCCAACGAAATCCTCCAAGCTGGCCTAATACCCACTTGCATATTCCACACAAAGAGTGTTTCAAAACTGCTCTCTCAAAAGAAAGGTTCAACTCTGTTAGCTGAGTAGATACATCATGAAAAAAGTTCTGACATTGCTTCTATCTAGTTTTTATTGGAAGATATCTCCTTTTTCACCGTAGACCTGAAAGCGCTCCAAATGTCCACTTCCAGATAGTACAAAAAGAGTGTTTCAAACCTGCTCTATGAATGGGAATGTTCAACACTGGGACTTCAATTGAAACATCCCAAAGCAGTTTCTGAGAATGCTTCTGTCTAGAGTTTACATGAAGACATTCCCGTTTCCAACGAAATCCTCAAAGCTATCCAAATATCCTCTTGCAGATTTTACAAAAAGTGTGTTTCAGAACTGCTCTATCAAAACAAAGGTTCAACACTGTCAGTTGAGTGCACACATCACAAATAAGTTTCTGAGAATGCTGCTCTCTGCTTTTTGTATGTAATCCCGTTTCCAACGAAATCCTCCCAGCTAGCCAAATATCCACTTGCAGATTCCGCAAAAAGAGTGTTTCAAAACTGCTCCGTCAAAACGATGGTTTAGTTCTGTTAGTTGAGTACATACATCACAAATAAGTTTCTGAGAATGCTTCTGTCTAGTTTTTATGGGAGGATATTTCCTTTTTCAACACAAGCCTGAATGCGCTCCGAATGGACACTTCCAGATATGACAAAAGGCGTGTTTCAAACCTGCTCTCTCAAAGGGAATGTTCAACTCTGTGACTTCAATGCAAACATCACAAAGAAGTTTCTGAGAATGCTGCTGTCTGCTTTTTACATGTATTCCCGTTTCCAACGAAATCCTCAAAGCTGCCCTAATATCCACTTGCATATTCCACAAAAAGAGTGTTGCAAAACTGCTCTCTCAAAAGAAAGGTTCAACTCTGTTAGCTGAGTAGATCCATCACATAAAAGTTTCTGACGTTGCTTCTATCTAGATTTTCTTGGAAGATATTTCCATTTTCACCGTCGTCCTGAAAGCGCTCCAAATGTACACTTCCAGGGAATGCAGAAAGAGTGTTTCCAACCTGCTCTATAAAAGGGAATGTTCAACACTGGGACTTCAATCGAAACATCCCAACGAAGTTTCTGAGAATGCTTCTGTCTAGAGTTTATATGAAGCCATTCCCGTTTGCAACGAAATCCTCAAAGCTATCCAAATATCCTCTTGCAGATTTTACAAAAAGAGTGTTTCAAAACTGCTCTATCAAAAGAAAGGTTCAACTCTGTTAGTTGAGGGCACACATCACAAATAAATTTCTGAGAATGCTTCTGTCTAGTTTTTACGGGAAGATATTTCCTTTTTCACCATACGCCTGAAAGCGCTCCAAATGTCCTCATCCAGATACTACAAAAAGAGTGTTTACAACCTGCTCTATGAAAGGGAATGCTCAACTCTGTGACTTGAATGCAGACATCACAAAGAAGTTTCTGAGAATGCTGCTGTCTCCTTTTTATATGTAATCCCGTTTCCAACGAAATCCTCAAAGCTAGCCAAATATCCACTTGCAGATTCCACGAAAACAGTGTTTCAAAACTGCTCCTTCAAAACGATGGTTCAATTCTGTTAGTTGAGCAAACACATCACAAGTAAGTTTCTGAGAATGCTTCCGTCTAGTTTTTATGGGAAGATATTTCCTTTTTCAACATAGGCCTGAAAGCGCTCCAAATGTCCACTTCCAGATACTACAAAAAGAGTGTTTCAAATCTGCTCTATGAATGGGAATGTTCTACTCTGTGACTTGAATGCAACATCCCAAAGAAGTTTCTGAGAATGCTTCTGTCTAGAGTTTATCTGAAGACATACCCGTTTCCAACGAAATCCTCCAAGCCATCCAAATATCCTCTTGCAGATTCTACAAAAAGAGTGTTTCAAAGCTGCTCTTTGCAAAGAAAGGTTCAACTCTGTCAGTAGAGGGGACACATCAAGAACAAGTTTCTGAGAATGCTTCTGTCTAGTTTTTATGGGAAGATATTTCCTTTTTCACGTTAGGCCTGAAAGCACGCCAAATGTTCAATTATAGACACTACAAAAAGAGTGTTTCAAACCTGCTCTGTGAAAGGGAATGTTCAACACTGTGACTTCAATTGAAACATCCCAAAGAAGTTTGCTGAGAATGCTTCTGTCTAGAGTTTATCTGAAGACACTCCCATTTCCCAAGAAATCCTCAAAGCTATCCAAATATCCTCTTGCAGATTCTACAAAAAGAGTGTTTCAAACTGCTGTTTGCAAAGAAAGGTTCAACTCTGTCAGTAGAGGGCACACATCACAAACAAGTTTCTGAGAATGCTTCTGTCTAGTTTTTATGGGAAGATATTTCCTTTTTCACCTTAGGCCTGAAAGCAATCCAAATGTTCACTTACAGACACTACAAAAAGAGTGTTTCAAACCTGCTCTGTGAAAGGGAGTGTTCAATTCTGTGACTTGAATGCAAACATCACAAAGTAGTTTCTGACAATGCTGCTGTCTGCTTTTTATACGTATTCCCGTTTCCAACGAAATCCTCCAAGCTGGCCTAATACCCACTTGCATATTCCACAAAAAGAGTGTTTCAAAACTGCTCTCTCAAAAGAAAGGTTCAACTCTGTTTGCTGAGTAGATACATCATGAAAAAAGTTCTGACATTGCTTCTATCTAGTTTTTATTGGAAGATATCTCCTTTTTCACCGTAGACCTGAAAGCGCTCCAAATGTCCACTTCCAGATAGTACAAAAAGAGTGTTTCAAACCTGCTCTATGAATGGGAATGTTCAACACTGGGACTTCAATTGAAACATCCCAAAGCAGTTTCTGAGAATGCTTCTGTCTAGAGTTCACATGAAGACATTCCCGTTTCCAACGAAATCCTCAAAGCTATCCAAATATCCTCTTGCAGATTTTACAAAAAGTGTGTTTCAGAACTGCTCTATCAAAACAAAGGTTCAACACTGTCAGTTGAGTGCACACATCACAAATAAGTTTCTGAGAATGCTTCTGTCTAGTTTTCATGGGAAGATATTTCCTTTTTCACCATACGCCTGAAAGCGATCCAAATGTCCACATCCAGATACTACAAAAAGAGTGTTTCCAACCTGCTCTATGAAAGGGAATGCTCAACTCTGTGACTTGAATGCAAACATCACAAAGAAGTTTCTGAGAATGCTGCTGTCTGCTTTTTGTATGTAATCCCGTTTCCAACGAAATCCTCCCAGCTAGCCAAATATCCACTTGCAGATTCCGCAAAAAGAGTGTTTCAAAACTGCTCCTTCAAAACGATGGTTTAGTTCTGTTAGTTGAGTACATACATCACAGATAAGTTTCTGAGAATGCTTCTGTCTAGTTTTTATGGGAGGATATTTCCTTTTTCAACACAAGCCTGAATGCGCTCCGAATGGACACTTCCAGATATGACAAAAGGCGTGTTTCAAACCTGCTCTCTCAAAGGGAATGTTCAACTCTGTGACTTCAATGCAAACATCACAAAGAAGTTTCTGAGAATGCTGCTGTCTGCTTTTTACATGTATTCCCGTTTCCAACGAAATCCTCAAAGCTGCCCTAATATCCACTTGCATATTCCACAAAAAGAGTGTTGCAAAACTGCTCTCTCAAAAGAAAGCTTCAACTCTGTTAGCTGAGTAGATCCATCACATAAAAGTTTCTGACATTGCTTCTATCTAGATTTTCTTGGAAGATATTTCCATTTTCACCGTCGTCCTGAAAGCGCTCCAAATGTCCACTTCCAGGGAATGCAGAAAGAGTGTTTCCAACCTGCTCTATAAAAGGGAATGCTCAACACTGGGACTTCAATCGAAACATCCCAACGAAGTTTCTGAGAATGCTTCTGTCTAGAGTTTATATGAAGCCATTCCCGTTTGCAACGAAATCCTCAAAGCTATCCAAATATCCTCTTGCAGATTTTACAAAAAGAGTGTTTCAAAACTGCTCTATCAAAAGAAAGGTTCAACTCTGTTAGTTGAGGGCACACATCACAAATAAACTTCTGAGAATGCTTCTGTCTAGTTTTCATGGGAAGATATTTCCTTTTTCACCATAGGCCTGAAGCGATCCAAATGTCCACATCCAGATACTACAAAAAGAGTGTTTCAAACCTGCTCTATGAAAGGGAATGTTCAACTCTGTGACTTGAATGCAAACATCACAAAGAAGTTTCTGAGAATGCTGCTGTCTGCTTTTTGTATGTAATCCCGTTTCCAACGAAATCCTCCCAGCTAGCCAAATATCCACTTGCAGATTCCGCAAAAAGAGTGTTTCAAAACTGCTCCTTCAAAACGATGGTTTAGTTCTGTTAGTTGAGTACATACATCACAGATAAGTTTCTGAGAATGCTTCTGTCTAGTTTTTCTGGGAGGATATTTCCTTTTTCAACACAAGCCTGAATGCGCTCCGAATGGACACTTCCAGATATGACAAAAGGCGTGTTTCAAACCTGCTCTCTCAAAGAGAATGTTCAACTCTGTGACTTCAATGCAAACATCACAAAGAAGTTTCTGAGAATGCTGCTGTCTGCTTTTTACATGTATTCCCGTTTCCAACGAAATCCTCAAAGCTGCCCTAATATCCACTTGCATATTCCACAAAAAGAGTGTTGCAAAACTGCTCTCTCAAAAGAAAGGTTCAACTCTGTTAGCTGAGTAGATCCATCACATAAAAGTTTCTGACATTGCTTCTATCTAGATTTTCTTGGAAGATATTTCCATTTTCACTGTCGTCCTGAAAGCGCTCCAAATGTCCACTTCCAGGGAATGCAGAAAGAGTGTTTCCAACCTGCTCTATAAAAGGGAATGTTCAACACTGGGACTTCAATCGAAACATCCCAACGAAGTTTCTGAGAATGCTTCTGTCTAGAGTTTATATGAAGCCATTCCCGTTTGCAACGAAATCCTCAAAGCTATCCAAATATCCTCTTGCAGATTTTACAAAAAGAGTGTTTCAAAACTGCTCTATCAAAAGAAAGGTTCAACTCTGTTAGTTGAGGGCACACATCACAAATAAACTTCTGAGAATGCTTCTGTCTAGTTTTTACGGGAAGATATTTCCTTTTTCACCATACGCCTGAAAGCGCTCCAAATGTCCTCATCAAGATACTACAAAAAGAGTGTTTCCAACCTGCTCTATGAAAGGGAATGCTCAACTCTGTGAATTGAATGCAGACATCACAAAGAAGTTTCTGAGAATGCTGCTGACTCCTTTTTATATGTAATCCCGTTTCCAACGAAATCCTCAAAGCTAGCCAAATATCCACTTGCAGATTCCACGAAAACAGTGTTTCAAAACTGCTCCTTCAAAACGATGGTTCAATTCTGTTAGTTGAGCAAACACATCACAAGTAAGTTTCTGAGAATGCTTCCGTCTAGTTTTTATGGGAAGATATTTCCTTTTTCAACATAGGCCTGAAAGCGCTCCAAATGTCCACTTCCAGATACTACAAAAAGAGTGTTTCAAATCTGCTCTATGAATGGGAATGTTCTACTCTGTGACTTGAATGCAACATCCCAAAGAAGTTTCTGAGAATGCTTCTGTCTAGAGTATATCTGAAGACATACCCGTTTCCAACGAAATCCTCAAAGCTATCCAAATATCCTCTTGCAGATTCTACAAAAAGTGTGTTTCAAAGCTGCTCTTTGCAAAGAAAGGTTCAACTCTGTCAGTAGAGGGCACACATCACGAACAAGTTTCTGAGAATGCTTCTGTCTGGTTTTTATGGGAAGATATTTCCTTTTTCACGTTACGCCTGAAAGCACGCCAAATGTTCACTTATAGACACTACAAAAAGAGTGTTTCAAACCTGCTCTGTGAAAGGGAATGTTCAACACTGTGACTTCAATTGAAACATCCCAAAGAAGTTTCTGAGAATGCTTCTGTCTAGAGTTTATCTGAAGACATTCCCGTTTCCCAAGAAATCCTCAAAGCTATCCAAATATCCTCTTGCAGATTCTACAAAAAGAGTGTTTCAAAACTGCTCTTTGCAAAGAAAGTTTCAACTCTGTCAGTAGAGGGCACACATCACAAACAAGTTTCTGAGAATGCTTCTGTCTAGTTTTTATGGGAAGATATTTCCTTTTTCACCTTAGGCCTGAAAGCAATCCAAATGTTCACTTACAGACACTACAAAAAGAGTGTTTCAAACCTGCTCTGTGAAAGGGAGTGTTCAATTCTGTGACTTGAATGCAAACATCACAAAGTAGTTTCTGACAATGCTGCTGTCTGCTTTTTATACGTATTCCCGTTTCCAACGAAATCCTCCAAGCTGGCCTAATACCCACTTGCATATTCCACAAAGACTGTGTCAAAACTGCTCTCTCAAAAGAAAGGTTCAACTCTGTTTGCTGAGTAGATACATCATGAAAAAAGTTCTGACATTGCTTCTATCTAGTTTTTATTGGAAGATATCTCCTTTTTCACCGTAGACCTGAAAGCGCTCCAAATGTCCACTTCCAGATAGTACAAAAAGAGTGTTTCAAACCTGCTCTATGAATGGGAATGTTCAACGCTGGGACTTCAATTGAAACATCCCAAAGCAGTTTCTGAGAATGCTTCTGTGTAGAGTTTACATGAAGACATTCCCGTTTCCAACGAAATCCTCAAAGCTATCCAAATATCCTCTTGCAGATTTTACAAAAAGTGTGTTTCAGAACTGCTCTATCAAAACAAAGGTTCAACACTGTCAGTTGAGTGCACACATCACAAATAAATTTCTGAGAATGCTTCTGTCTAGTTTTCATGGGAAGATATTTCCTTTTTCACCATAGGCCTGAAAGCGATCCAAATGTCCACATCCAGATACTACAAAAAGAGTGTTTCCAACCTGCTCTATGAAAGGGAATGCTCAACTCTGTGAATTGAATGCAGACATCACAAAGAAGTTTCTGAGAATGCTGCTGTCTCCTTTTTATATGTAATCCCGTTTCCAACGAAATCCTCAAAGCTAGCCAAATATCCACTTGCAGATTCCACGAAAACAGTGTTTCAAAACTGCTCCTTCAAAACGATGGTTCAATCCTGTTAGTTGAGCAAACACATCACAATTAAGTTTCTGAGAATGCTTCCGTCTAGTTTTTATGGGAAGATATTTCCTTTTTCAACATAGGCCTGAAAGCGCTCCAAATGTCCACTTCCAGATACTACAAAAAGAGTGTTTCAAATCTGCTCTATGAATGGGAATGTTCTACTCTGTGACTTGCATGCAACATCCCAAAGAAGTTTCTGAGAATGCTTCTGTCTAGAGTTTATCTGAAGACATACCCGTTTCCAACGAAATCCTCAAAGCTATCCAAATATCCTCTGGCAGATTCTACAAAAAGAGTGTTTCAAAGCTGCTCTTTGCAAAGAAAGGTTCAACTCTGTCAGTAGAGGGCACACATCACGAACAAGTTTCTGAGAATGCTTCTGTCTAGTTTTTATGGGAAGATATTTCCTTTTTCACGTTAGGCCTGAAAGCACGCCAAATGTTCACTTATAGACACTACAAAAAGAGTGTTTCAAACCTGCTCTGTGAAAGGGAATGTTCAACACTGTGACTTCAATTGAAATATCCCAAGAAGTTTCTGAGAATGCTTCTGTCTAGAGTTTATCTGAAGACATTCCCGTTTCCCAAGAAATCCTCAAAGCTATCCAAATATCCTCTTGCAGATTCTACAAAAAGAGTGTTTCAAAACTGCTCTTTGCAAAGAAAGGTTCAACTCTGTCAGTAGAGGGCACACATCACAAACAAGTTTCTGAGAATGCTTCTGTCTAGTTTTTATGGGAAGATATTTCCTTTTTCACCTTAGGCCTGAAAGCAATCCAAATGTTCACTTACAGACACTACAAAAAGAGTGTTTCAAACCTGCTCTGTGAAAGGGAGTGTTCAATTCTGTGACTTGAATGCAAACATCACAAAGTAGTTTCTGACAATGCTGCTGTCTGCTTTTTATACGTATTCCCGTTTCCAACGAAATCCTCCAAGCTGGCCTAATACCCACTTGCATATTCCACAAAAAGAGTGTTTCAAAACTGCTCTCTCAAAAGAAAGGTTCAACTCTGTTTGCTGAGTAGATACATCCTGAAAAAAGTTCTTACATTGCTTCTATCTAGTTTTTATTGGAAGATATCTCCTTTTTCACCGTAGACCTGAAAGCGCTCCAAATGTCCACTTCCAGATAGTACAAAAAGAGTGTTTCAAACCTGCTCTATGAAAGGGAATGTTCAACACTGGGACTTCAATTGAAACATCCCAAAGCAGTTTCTGAGAATGCTTCTGTCTAGAGTTTACATGAAGACATTCCCGTTTCCAACGAAATCCTCAAAGCTATCCAAATATCCTCTTGCAGATTTTACAAAAAGTGTGTTTCAGAACTGCTCTATCAAAACAAAGGTTCAGCACTGTCAGTTGAGGGCACACATCACAAATAAGTTTCTGAGAATGCTTCTGTCTAGTTTTCATGGGAAGATATTTCCTTTTTCACCATAGGCCTGAAAGCGATCCAAATGTCCACATCCAGATACTACAAAAAGAGTGTTTCAAACCTGCTCTATGAAAGGGAATGTTCAACTCTGTGACTTGAATGCAAACATCACAAAGAAGTTTCTGAGAATGCTGCTGTCTCCTTTTTATATGTAATCCCGTTTCCAACGAAATCCTCAAAGCTAGCCAAATATCCACTTGCAGATTCCACGAAAACAGTGTTTCAAAACTGCTCCTTCAAAACGATGGTTCAATCCTGTTAGTTGAGCAAACACATCACAAATAAGTTTCAGAGAATGCTTCCGTCTAGTTTTTATGGGAAGATATTTCCTTTTTCAACATAGGCCTGAAAGCGCTCCAAATGTCCACTTCCAGATACTACAAAAAGAGTGTTTCAAATCTGCTCTATGAATGGGAATGTTCTACTCTGTGACTTGAATGCAACATCCCAAAGAAGTTTCTGAGAATGCTTCTGTCTAGCAGTTTATCTGAAGACATACCCGTTTCCAACGAAATCCTCCAAGCTATCCAAATATCCTCTTGCAGATTCTACAAAAAGAGTGTTTCAAAGCTGCTCTTTGCAAAGAAAGGTTCAACTCTGTCAGTAGAGGGCACACATCACGAACAAGTTTCTGAGAATGCTTCTGTCTAGTTTTTATGGGAAGATATTTCCTTTTTCACGTTAGGCCTGAAAGCACGCCAAATGTTCACTTATAGACACTACAAAAAGAGTGTTTCAAACCTGCTCTGTGAAAGGGAATGTTCAACACTGTGACTTCAATTGAAACATCCCAAAGAAGTTTCTGAGAATGCTTCTGTCTAGAGTTTATCTGAAGACATTCCCGTTTCCCAAGAAATCCTCAAAGCTATCCAAATATCCTCTTGCAGATTCTACAAAAGGAGTGTTTCAAAACTGCTCTTTGCAAAGAAAGGTTCAACTCTGTCAGTAGAGGGCACACATCACAAACAAGTTTCTGAGAGTGCTTCTGTCTAGTTTTTATTGGAAGATATTTCCTTTTTCACCTTAGGCCTGAAAGCAATCCAAATGTTCACTTACAGACACTACAAAAAGAGTGTTTCAAACCTGCTCTGTGAAAGGGAGTGTTCAATTCTGTGACTTGAATGCAAACATCACAAAGTAGTTTCTGACAATGCTGCTGTCTGCTTTTTATACGTATTCCCGTTTCCAACGAAATCCTCCAAGCTGGCCTAATACCCACTTGCATATTGCACAAAAAGAGTGTTTCAAAACTGCTCTCTCAAAAGAAAGGTTCAACTCTGTTTGCTGAGTAGATACATCATGAAAAAAGTTCTGACATTGCTTCTATCTAGTTTTTATTGGAAGATATCTCCTTTTTCACCGTAGACCTGAAAGCGCTCCAAATGTCCACTTCCAGATAGTACAAAAAGAGTGTTTCAAACCTGCTCTATGAAAGGGAATGTTCAACACTGGGACTTCAATTGAAACATCCCAAAGCAGTTTCTGAGAATGCTTCTGTCTAGAGTTTACATGAAGACATTCCCGTTTCCAACGAAATCCTCAAAGCTATCCAAATATCCTCTTGCAGATTTTACAAAAAGTGTGTTTCAGAACTGCTCTATCAAAACAAAGGTTCAACACTGTCAGTTGAGGGCACACATCACAAATAAGTTTCTGAGAATGCTTCTGTCTAGTTTTCATGGGAAGATATTTCCTTTTTCACCATAGGCCTGAAAGCGATCCAAATGTCCACATCCAGATACTACAAAAAGAGTGTTTCAAACCTGCTCTATGAAAGGGAATGTTCAACTCTGTGACTTGAATGCAAACATCACAAAGAAGTTTCTGAGAATGCTGCTGTCTGCTTTTTGTATGTAATCCCGTTTCCAACGAAATCCTCCCAGCTAGCCAAATATCCACTTGCAGATTCCGCAAAAAGAGTGTTTCAAAACTGCTCCTTCAAAACGATGGTTTAGTTCTGTTAGTTGAGTACATACATCACAGATAAGTTTCTGAGAATGCTTCTGTCTAGTTTTTCTGGGAGGATATTTCCTTTTTCAACACAAGCCTGAATGCGCTCCGAATGGACACTTCCAGATATGACAAAAGGCGTGTTTCAAACCTGCTCTCTCAAAGGGAATGTTCAACTCTGTGACTTCAATGCAAACATCACAAAGAAGTTTCTGAGAATGCTGCTGTCTGCTTTTTACATGTATTCCCGTTTCCAACGAAATCCTCAAAGCTGCCCTAATATCCACTTGCATATTCCACAAAAAGAGTGTTGCAAAACTGCTCTCTCAAAAGAAAGGTTCAACTCTGTTAGCTGAGTAGATCCATCACATAAAAGTTTCTGACATTGCTTCTATCTAGATTTTCTTGGAAGATATTTCCATTTTCACCGTCGTCCTGAAAGCGCTCCAAATGTCCACTTCCAGGGAATGCAGAAAGAGTGTTTCCAACCTGCTCTATAAAAGGGAATGTTCAACACTGGGACTTCAATCGAAACATCCCAACGAAGTTTCTGAGAATGCTTCTGTCTAGAGTTTATATGAAGCCATTCCCGTTTGCAACGAAATCCTCAAAGCTATCCAAATATCCTCTTGCAGATTTTACAAAAAGAGTGTTTCAAAACTGCTCTATCAAAAGAAAGGTTCAACTCTGTTAGTTGAGGGCACACATCAGAAATAAACTTCTGAGAATGCTTCTGTCTTGTTTTTAAGGGAAGATATTTCCTTTTTCACCATACGCCTGAAAGCGCTCCAAATGTCCTCATCCAGATACTACAAAAAGAGTGTTTCAAACCTGCTCTATGAAAGGGAATGTTCAACACTGGGACTTCAATTGAAACATCCCAAAGCAGTTTCTGAGAATGCTGCTGTCTCCTTTGTATATATAATCCCGTTTCCAACGAAATCCTCAAAGCTAGCCAAATATCCACTTGCAGATTCCACGAAAACAGTGTTTCAAAACTGCTCCTTCAAAACGATGGTTCAATCCTGTTAGTTGAGCAAACACATCACAAATAAGTTTCTGAGAATGCTTCCGTCTAGTTTTTATGGGAAGATATTTCCTTTTTCAACATAGGCCTGAAAGCGCTCCAAATGTCCACTTCCAGATACTACAAAAAGAGTGTTTCAAATCTGCTCTATGAATGGGAATGTTCTACTCTGTGACTTGAATGCAACATCCCAAAGAAGTTTCTGAGAATGCTTCTGTCTAGAGTTTATCTGAAGACATACCCGTTTCCAACGAAATCCTCCAAGCTATCCAAATATCCTCTTGCAGATTCTACAAAAAGAGTGTTTCAAAGCTGCTCTTTGCAAAGAAAGGTTCAACTCTGTCAGTAGAGGGCACACATCACGAACAAGTTTCTGAGAATGCTTCTGTCTAGTTTTTATGGGAAGATATTTCCTTTTTCACGTTAGGCCTGAAAGCACGCCAAATGTTCACTTATAGACACTACAAAAAGAGTGTTTCAAACCTGCTCTGTGAAAGGGAATGTTCAACACTGTGACTTCAATTGAAACATCCCAAAGAAGTTTCTGAGAATGCTTCCTGTCTAGAGTTTATCTGAAGACATTCCCGTTTCCCAAGAAATCTTCAAAGCTATCCAAATATCCTCTTGCAGATTCTACAAAAAGAGTGTTTCAAAACTGCTCTTTGCAAAGAAAGGTTCAACTCTGTCAGTAGAGGGCACACATCACAAACAAGTTTCTGAGAATGCTTCTGTCTAGTTTTTATGGGAAGATATTTCCTTTTTCACCTTAGGCCTGAAAGCAATCCATATGTTCACTTACAGACACTACAAAAAGAGTGTTTCAAACCTGCTCTGTGAAAGGGAGTGTTCAATTCTGTGACTTGAATGCAAACATCACAAAGTAGTTTCTGACAATGCTGCTGTCTGCTTTTTATACGTATTCCCGTTTCCAACGAAATCCTCCAAGCTGGCCTAATACCCACTTGCATATTCCACAAAAAGAGTGTTTCAAAACTGCTCTCTCAAAAGAAATGTTCAACTCTGTTTGCTGAGTAGATACATCACGAAAAAAGTTCTGACATTGCTTCTATCTAGTTTTTATTGGAAGATATCTCCTTTTTCACCGTAGACCTGAAAGCGCTCCAAATGTCCACTTCCAGATAGTACAAAAAGAGTGTTTCAAACCTGCTCTATGAAAGGGAATGTTCAACACTGGGACTTCAATTTAAACATCCCAAAGCAGTTTCTGAGAATGCTTCTGTCTAGAGTTTACATGAAGACATTCCCGTTTCCAACGAAATCCTCAAAGCTATCCAAATATCCTCTTGCAGATTTTACAAAAAGTGTGTTTCAGAACTGCTCTATCAAAACAAAGGTTCAACACTGTCAGTTGAGGGCACACATCACAAATAAGTTTCTGAGAATGCTTCTGTCTAGTTTTCATGGGAAGATATTTCCTTTTTCACCATAGGCCTGAAAGCGATCCAAATGTCCACATCCAGATACTACAAAAAGAGTGTTTCAAACCTGCTCTATGAAAGGGAATGTTCAACTCTGTGACTTGAATGCAAACATCACAAAGAAGTTTCTGAGAATGCTGCTGTCTGCTTTTTGTATGTAATCCCGTTTCCAACGAAATCCTCCCAGCTAGCCAAATATCCACTTGCAGATTCCGCAAAAAGAGTGTTTCAAAACTGCTCCTTCAAAACGATGGTTTAGTTCTGTTAGTTGAGTACATACATCACAGATAAGTTTCTGAGAATGCTTCTGTCTAGTTTTTCTGGGAGGATATTTCCTTTTTCAACACAAGCCTGAATGCGCTCCGAATGGACACTTCCAGATATGACAAAAGGCGTGTTTCAAACCTGCTCTCTCAAAGAGAATGTTCAACTCTGTGACTTCAATGCAAACATCACAAAGAAGTTTCTGAGAATGCTGCTGTCTGCTTTTTACATGTATTCCCGTTTCCAACGAAATCCTCAAAGCTGCCCTAATATCCACTTTCATATTCCACAAAAAGAGTGTTGCAAAACTGCTCTCTCAAAAGAAAGGTTCAACTCTGTTAGCTGAGTAGATCCATCACATAAAAGTTTCTGACGTTGCTTCTATCTAGATTTTCTTGGAAGATATTTCCATTTTCACCGTCGTCCTGAAAGCGCTCCAAATGTCCACTTCCAGGGAATGCAGAAAGAGTGTTTCCAACCTGCTCTATAAAAGGGAATGTTCAACACTGGGACTTCAATCGAAACATCCCAACGAAGTTTCTGAGAATGCTTCTGTCTAGAGTTTATATGAAGCCATTCCCGTTTGCAACGAAATCCTCAAAGCTATCCAAATATCCTCTTGCAGATTTTACAAAATGAGTGTTTCAAAACTGCTCTATCAAAAGAAAGTTTCAACTCTGTTAGTTGAGGGCACACATCACAAATAAACTTCTGAGAATGCTTCTGTCTAGTTTTTACGGGAAGATATTTCCTTTTTCACCATACGCCTGAAAGTGCTCCAAATGTCCTCATCCAGATACTACAAAAAGAGTGTTTCCAACCTGCTCTATGAAAGGGAATGCTCAACTCTGTGACTTGAATGCAGACATCACAAAGAAGTTTCTGAGAATGCTGCTGTCTCCTTTTTATATGTAATCCCGTTTCCAACGAAATCCTCAAAGCTAGCCAAATATCCACTTGCAGATTCCACGAAAACAGTGTTTCAAAACTGCTCCTTTAAAACGATGGTTCAATTCTGTTAGTTGAGCAAACACATCACAAGTAAGTTTCTGAGAATGCTTCCGTCTAGTTTTTATGGGAAGATATTTCCTTTTTCAACATAGGCCTGAAAGCGCTCCAAATGTCCACTTCCAGATACTACAAAAAGAGTGTTTCAAATCTGCTCTATGAATGGGAATGTTCTACTCTGTGACTTGAATGCAACATCCCAAAGAAGTTTCTGAGAATGCTTCTGTCTAGAGTTTATCTGAAGACATACCCGTTTCCAACGAAATCCTCAAAGCTATCCAAATATCCTCTTGCAGATTCTACAAAAAGAGTGTTTCAAAGCTGCTCTTTGCAAAGAAAGGTTCAACTCTGTCAATAGAAGGGACACATCAAGAACAAGTTTCTGAGAATGCTTCTGTCTAGTTTTTATGGGAAGATATTTCCTTTTTCACGTTAGGCCTGAAAGCACGCCAAATGTTCACTTATAGACACTACAAAAAGAGTGTTTCAAACCTGCTCTCTGAAAGGGAATGTTCAACACTGTGACTTCAATTGAAACATCCCAAAGAAGTTTCTGAGAATGCTTCTGTCTAGAGTTTATCTGAAGACATTCCCGTTTCCCAAGAAATCCTCAAAGCTATCCAAATATCCTCTTGCAGATTCTACAAAAAGAGTGTTTCAAAACTGCTCTTTGCAAAGAAAGGTTCAACTCTGTCAGTAGAGGGCACACATCACAAACAAGTTTCTGAGAATGCTTCTGTCTAGTTTTTATGGGAAGATATTTCCTTTTTCACCTTAGGCCTGAAAGCACGCCAAATGTTCACTTATAGACACTACAAAAAGAGTGTTTCAAACCTGCTCTGTGAAAGGGAGTGTTCAATTCTGTGACTTGAATGCAAACATCACAAAGTAGTTTCTGACAATGCTGCTGTCTGCTTTTTATACGTATTCCCGTTTCCAACGAAATCCTCCAAGCTGGCCTAATACCCACTTGCATATTCCACAAAAAGAGTGTTTCAAAACTGCTCTCTCAAAAGAAAGGTTCAACTCTGTTAGCTGAGTAGATACATCATGAAAAAAGTTCTGACATTGCTTCTATCTAGTTGTTATTGGAAGATATCTCCTTTTTCACCGTAGACCTGAAAGCGCTCCGAATGTCCACTTCCAGATAGTACAAAAAGAGTGTTTCAAACCTGCTCTATGAAAGGGAATGTTCAACACTGGGACTTCAATTGAAACATCCCAAAGCAGTTTCTGAGAATGCTTCTGTCTAGAGTTTACATGAAGACATTCCCGTTTCCAACGAAATCCTCAAAGCTATCCAAATATCCTCTTGCAGATTTTACAAAAAGTGTGTTTCAGAACTGCTCTATCAAAACAAAGGTTCAACACTGTCAGTTGAGGGCACACATCACAAATAAGTTTCTGAGAATGCTTCTGTCTAGTTTTCATGGGAAGATATTTCCTTTTTCACCATAGGCCTGAAAGCGATCCAAATGTCCACATCCAGATACTACAAAAAGAGTGTTTCAAACCTGCTCTATGAAAGGGAATGTTCAACTCTGTGACTTGAATGCAAACATCACAAAGAAGTTTCTGAGAATGCTGCTGTCTGCTTTTTGTATGTAATCCCGTTTCCAACGAAATCCTCCCAGCTAGCCAAATATCCACTTGCAGATTCCGCAAAAAGAGTGTTTCAAAACTGCTCCTTCAAAACGATGGTTTAGTTCTGTTAGTTGAGTACATACATCACAGATAAGTTTCTGAGAATGCTTCTGTCTAGTTTTTATGGGAGGATATTTCCTTTTTCAACACAAGCCTGAATGCGCTCCGAATGGACACTTCCAGATATGACAAAAGGCGTGTTTCAAACCTGCTCTCTCAAAGGGAATGTTCAACTCTGTGACTTCAATGCAAACATCACAAAGAAGTTTCTGAGAATGCTGCTGTCTGCTTTTTACATGTATTCCCGTTTCCAACGAAATCCTCAAAGCTGCCCTAATATCCACTTGCATATTCCACAAAAAGAGTGTTGCAAAACTGCTCTCTCAAAAGAAAGGTTCAACTCTGTTAGCTGAGTAGATCCATCACAGAAAAGTTTCTGACGGTTGCTCTATCCAGATTTTATTGGAAGATATTTCCATTTTCACCGTCGTCCTGAAAGCGCTCCAATTGTCCACTTCCAGGGAATGCAGAAAGAGTGTTTCCAACCTGCTCTATAAAAGGGAATGTTCAACACTGGGACTTCAATCGAAACATCCCGACGAAGTTTCTGAGAATGCTTTCTGTCTAGAGTTTATATGAAGCCATTCCCGTTTGCAACGAAATCCTCAAAGCTATCCAAATATCCTCTTGCAGATTTTACAAAAAGAGTGTTTCAAAACTGCTCTATCAAAAGAAAGGTTCAACTCTGTTAGTTGAGGGCACACATCACAAATAAACTTCTGAGAATGCTTCTGTCTAGTTTTTACGGGAAGATATTTCCCTTTTCACCATACGCCTGAAAGCGCTCCAAATGTCCTCATCCAGATACTACAAAAAGAGTGTTTCCAACCTGCTCTATGAAAGGGAATGCTCAACTCTGTGAATTAAATGCAGACATCACAAAGAAGTTTCTGAGAATGCTGCTGTCTCCTTTTTATATGTAATCCCGTTTCCAACGAAATCCTCAAAGCTAGCCAAATATCCACTTGCAGATTCCACGAAAACAGTGTTTCAAAACTGCTCCTTCAAAAGGATGGTTCAATCCTGTTAGTTGAGCAAACTCATCACAATTAAGTTTCTGAGAATGCTTCCGTCTAGTTTTTATGGGAAGATATTTCCTTTTTCAACATAGGCCTGAAAGCGCTCCAAATGTCCACTTCCAGATAGTACAAAAAGAGTGTTTCAAATCTGCTCTATGAATGGGAATGTTCTACTCTGTGACTTGCATGCAACATCCCAAAGAAATTTCTGAGAATGCTTCTGTCTAGAGTTTATCTGAAGACATACCCGTTTCCAACGAAATCCTCAAAGCTATCCAAATATCCTCTTGCAGATTCTACAAAAAGTGTGTTTCAAAGCTGCTCTTTGCAAAGAAAGGTTCAACTCTGTCAGTAGAGGGCACACATCACGAACAAGTTTCTGAGAATGCTTCTGTCTAGTTTTTATGGGAAGATATTTCCTTTTTCACGTTAGGCCTGAAAGCACGCCAAATGTTCACTTATAGACACTACAAAAAGAGTGTTTCAAACCTGCTCTATGAATGGGAATGTTCAACACTGGGACTTCAATCGAAACATCCCAACGAAGTTTCTGAGAATGCTTCTGTCTAGAGTTTATATGAAGCCATTCCCGTTTGCAACGAAATCCTCAAAGCTATCCAAATATCCTCTTGCAGATTTTACAAAAAGAGTGTTTCAAAACTGCTCTATCAAAAGAAAGGTTCAACTCTGTTAGTTGAGGGCACACATCACAAATAAATTTCTGAGAATGCTTCTGTCTAGTTTTCATGGGAAGATATTTCCTTTTTCACCATAGGCCTGAAAGCGATCCAAATGTCCACATCCAGATACTACAAAAAGAGTGTTTCAAACCTGCTCTATGAAAGGGAATGTTCAACTCTGTGACTTGAATGCAAACATCACAAAGTAGTTTCTGAAAATGCTGCTGTCTGCTTTTTGTATGTAATCCCGTTTCCAACGAAATCCTCCCAGCTAGCCAAATATCCACTTGCAGATTCCGCAAAAAGAGTGTTTCAAAACTGCTCCTTCAAAACGATGGTTTAGTTCTGTTAGTTGAGTACATACATCACAGATAAGTTTCTGAGAATGCTTCTGTCTAGTTTTTATGGGAGGATATTTCCTTTTTCAACACAAGCCTGAATGCGCTCCGAATGGACACTTCCAGATATGACAAAAGGCGTGTTTCAAACCTGCTCTCTCAAAGGGAATGTTCAACTCTGTGACTTCAATGCAAACATCACAAAGAAGTTTCTGAGAATGCTGCTGTCTCCTTTTTACATGTATTCCCGTTTCCAACGAAATCCTCAAAGCTGCCCTAATATCCACTTGCATATTCCACAAAAAGAGTGTTGCAAAACTGCTCTCTCAAAAGAAAGGTTCAACTCTGTTAGCTGAGTAGATCCATCACAGAAAAGTTTCTGACGTTGCTTCTATCTAGATTTTCTTGGAAGATATTTCCATTTTCACCGTCGTCCTGAAAGCGCTCCAAATGTCCACTTCCAGGGAATGCAGAAAGAGTGTTTCCAACCTGCTCTATAAAAGGGAATGTTCAACACTGGGACTTCAATCGAAACATCCCAACGAAGTTTCTGAGAATGCTTCTGTCTAGTTTATATGAAGCCATTCCCGTTTGCAACGAAATCCTCAAAGCTATCCAAATATCCTCTTGCAGATTTTACAAAAAGAGTGTTTCAAAACTGCTCTATCAAAAGAAAGGTTCAACTCTGTTAGTTGAGGGCACACATCACAAATAAACTTCTGAGAATGCTTCTGTCTAGTTTTTACGGGAAGATATTTCCTTTTTCACCATAGGCCTGAAAGCGCTCCAAATGTCCTCATCCAGATACTACAAAAAGAGTGTTTCCAACCTGCTCTATGAAAGGGAATGCTCAACTCTGTGAATTGAATGCAGACATCACAAAGAAGTTTCTGAGAATGCTGCTGTCTCCTTTGTATATGTAATGCCGTTTCCAACGAAATCCTCAAAGCTAGCCAAATATCCACTTGCAGATTCCACGAAAACAGTGTTTCAAAACTGCTCCTTCAAAACGATGGTTCAATCCTGTTAGTTGAGCAAACACATCACAAATAAGTTTCTGAGAATGCTTCCGTCTAGTTTTTATGGGAAGATATTTCCTTTTTCAACATAGGCCTGAAAGCGCTCCAAATGTCCACTTCCAGATACTACAAAAAGAGTGTTTCAAATCTGCTCTATGAATGGGAATGTTCTACTCTGTGACTTGAATGCAACATCCCAAAGAAGTTTCTGAGAATGCTTCTGTCTAGAGTTTATCTGAAGACATCCCCGTTTCCAACGAAATCCTCAAAGCTATCCAAATATCCTCTTGCAGATTCTACAAAAAGAGTGTTTCAAAGCTGCTCTTTGCAAAGAAAGGTTCAACTCTGTCAGTTAGAGGGCACACATCAGGAACAAGTTTCTGAGAATGCTTCTGTCTAGTTTTTATGGGAAGATATTTCCTTTTTCACGTTAGGCCTGAAAGCACGCCAAATGTTCACTTATAGACACTACAAAAAGAGTGTTTCAAACCTGCTCTGTGAAAGGGAATGTTCAACACTGTGACTTCAATTGAAACATCCCAAAGAAGTTTCTGAGAATGCTTCTGTCTAGAGTTTATCTGAAGACATTCCCGTTTCCCAAGAAATCCTCAAAGCTATCCAAATATCCTCTTGCAGATTCTACAAAAAGAGTGTTTCAAAGCTGCTCTTTGCAAAGAAAGGTTCAACTCTGTCAGTAGAGGGCACACATCACAAACAAGTTTCTGAGAATGCTTCTGTCTAGTTTAGTTTTTATGGGAAGATATTTCCTTTTTCACCTTAGGCCTGAAAGCAATCCATATGTTCACTTACAGACACTACAAAAAGAGTGTTTCAAACCTGCTCTGTGAAAGGGAGTGTTCAATTCTGTGACTTGAATGCAAACATCACAAAGTAGTTTCTGACAATGCTGCTGTCTGCTTTTTATACGTATTCCCGTTTCCAACGAAATCCTCCAAGCTGGCCTAATACCCACTTGCATATTCCACAAAAAGAGTGTTTCAAAACTGCTCTCTCAAAAGAAAGGTTCAACTCTGTTTGCTGAGTAGATACATCATGAAAAAAGTTCTGACATTGCTTCTATCTAGTTTTTATTGGAAGATATCTCCTTTTTCACCGTAGACCTGAAAGCGCTCCAAATGTCCCCTTCCAGATACTACAAAAAGAGTGTTTCAAACCTGCTCTATGAAAGGGAATGTTCAACACTGGGACTTCAATTGAAACATCCCAAAGCAGTTTCTGAGAATGCTTCTGTCTAGAGTTTACATGAAGACATTCCCGTTTCCAATGAAATCCTCAAAGCTCTCCAAATATCCTCTTGCAGATTTTACAAAAAGTGTGTTTCAGAACTGCTCTATCAAAACAAAGGTTCAACACTGTCAGTTGAGGGCACACATCACAAATAAGTTTCTGAGAATGATTCTGTCTAGTTTTCATGGGAAGATATATCCTTTTTCACCATAGGCCTGAAAGCAATCCAAATGTCCACATCCAGATACTACAAAAAGAGTGTTTCAAACCTGCTCTATGAAAGGGAATGTTCAACTCTGTGACTTGAATGCTAACATCACAAAGAAGTTTCTGAGAATGCTGCTGTCTGCTTTTTGTATGTAATCCCGTTTCTAACGAAATCCTCCAAGCTACCCAAATATCCACTTGCAGATTCCGCAAAAAGAGTGTTTCAAAACTGCTCCTTCAAAACGATGGTTTAGTTCTGTTAGTTGAGTACATACATCACAAATAAGTTTCTGAGAATGCTTCTGTCTAGTTTTTATGGGAGGATATTTCCTTTTCCAACACAAGCCTGAATGCGCTCCGAATGGACACTTCCAGATATGACAAAAGGCGTGTTTCAAACCTGCTCTCTCAAAGGGAATGTTCAACTCTGTGACTTCAATGCAAACATCACAAAGAAGTTTCTGAGAATGCTGCTGTCTGCTTTTTACATGTATTCCCGTTTCCAACGAAATCCTCAAAGCTGCCCTAATATCCACTTGCATATTCCACAAAAAGAGTGTTGCAAAACTGCTCTCTCAAAAGAAAGGTTCAACTCTGTTAGCTGAGTAGATCCATCACATAAAAGTTTCTGACATTGCTTCTATCTAGATTTTATTGGAAGATATTTCCATTTTCACCGTCGTCCTGAAAGCGCTCCAAATGTCCACTTCCAGGGAATGCAGAAAGAGTGTTTCCAACCTGCTCTATAAAAGGGAATGTTCAACACTGGGACTTCAATCGAAACATCCCAACGAAGTTTCTGAGAATGCTTCTGTCTAGAGTTTATATGAAGCCATTCCCGTTTGCAACGAAATCCTCAAAGCTATCCAAATATCCTCTTGCAGATTTTACAAAAAGAGTGTTTCAAAACTGCTCTATCAAAAGAAAGGTTCAACTCTGTTAGTTGAGGGCACACATCACAAATAAACTTCTGAGAATGCTTCTGTCTAGTTTTTACGGGAAGATATTTCCTTTTTCACCATATGCCTGAAAGCGCTCCAAATGTCCTCATCCAGATACTACAAAAAGAGTGTTTCCAACCTGCTCTATGAAAGGGAATGCTCAACTCTGTGAATTGAATGCAGACATCACAAAGAAGTTTCTGAGAATGCTGCTGTCTCCTTTGTATATGTAATCCCGTTTCCAACGAAATCCTCAAAGCTAGCCAAATATCCACTTGCAGATTCCACGAAAACAGTGTTTCAAAACTGCTCCTTCAAAACGATGGTTCAATCCTGTTAGTTGAGCAAACACATCACAAATAAGTTTCTGAGAATGCTTCCGTCTAGTTTTTATGGGAAGATATTTCCTTTTTCAACATAGGCCTGAAAGCGCTCCAAATGTCCACTTCCAGATACTACAAAAAGAGTGTTTCAAATCTGCTCTATGAATGGGAATGTTCTACTCTGTGACTTGAATGCAACATCCCAAAGAAGTTTCTGAGAATGCTTCTGTCTAGAGTTTATCTGAAGACATACCCGTTTCCAACGAAATCCTCCAAGCTATCCAAATATCCTCTTGCAGATTCTACAAAAAGAGTGTTTCAAAGCTGCTCTTTGCAAAGAAAGGTTCAACTCTGTCAGTAGAGGGGACACATCAAGAACAAGTTTCTGAGAATGCTTCTGTCTCGTTTTTATGGGAAGATATTTCCTTTTTCACGTTACGCCTGAAAGCACGCCAAATGTTCACTTATAGACACTACAAAAAGAGTGTTTCAAACCTGCTCTGTGAAAGGGAATGTTCAACACTGTGACTTCAATTGAAATATCCCAAAGAAGTTTCTCAGAATGCTTCTGTCTAGAGTTTATCTGAAGACATTCCCGTTTCCCAAGAAATCCTCAAAGCTATCCAAATATCCTCTTGCAGATTCTACAAAAAGAGTGTTTCAAAACTGGTCTTTGCAAAGAAAGGTTCAACTCTGTCAGTAGAGGGCACACATCACAAACAAGTTTCTGAGAATGCTTCTGTCTAGTTTTTATGGGAAGATATTTCCTTTTTCACCTTAGGCCTGAAAGCAATCCAAATGTTCACTTACAGACACTACAAAAAGAGTGTTTCAAACCTGCTCTGTGAAAGGGAGTGTTCAATTCTGTGACTTGAATGCAAACATCACAAAGTAGTTTCTGACAATGCTGCTGTCTGCTTTTTATACGTATTCCCGTTTCCAAAGAAATCCTCCAAGCTGGCCTAATACCCACTTGCATATTCCACAAAAAGAGTGTTTCAAAACTGCTCTCTCAAAAGAAAGGTTCAACTCTGTTTGCTGAGTAGATACATCATGAAAAAAGTTCTGACATTGCTTCTATCTAGTTTTTATTGGAAGATATCTCCTTTTTCACCGTAGACCTGAAAGCGCTCCAAATGTCCACTTCCAGATAGTACAAAAAGAGTGTTTCAAACCTGCTCTATGAATGGGAATGTTCAACACTGGGACTTCAATTGAAACATCCCAAAGCAGTTTCTGAGAATGCTTCTGTCTAGAGTTTACATGAAGACATTCCCGTTTCCAACGAAATCCTCAAAGCTATCCAAATATCCTCTTGCAGATTTTACAACAAGTGTGTTTCAGAACTGCTCTATCAAAACAAAGGTTCAACACTGTCAGTTGAGGGCACACATCACAAATAAGTTTCTGAGAATGCTTCTGTCTAGTTTTCATGGGAAGATATTTCCTTTTTCAACATAGGCCTGAAAGCGATCCAAATGTCCACATCCAGATACTACAAAAAGAGTGTTGCAAACCTGCTCTATGAAAGGGAATGTTCAACTCTGCGACTTGAATGCAAACATCACAAAGAAGTTTCTGAGAATGCTGCTGTCTGCTTTTTGTATGTAATCCCGTTTCCAACGAAATCCTCCAAGCTAGCCAAATATCCAGTTGCAGATTCCGCAAAAAGGGTGTTTCAAAACTGCTCCTTCAAAACGATGGTTTAGTTCTGTTAGTTGAGTACATACATCACAAATAAGTTTCTGAGAATGCTTCTGTCTAGTTTTTATGGGAGGATATTTCCTTTTTCAACACAAGCCTGAATGCGTTCCGAATGGACACTTCCAGATATGACAAAAGGCGTGTTTCAAACCTGCTCTCTCAAAGGGAATGTTCAACCCTGTGACTTCAACGAAAACATCACAAAGAAGTTTCTGAGAATGCTGCTGTCTGCTTTTTACATGTATTCCCGTTTCCAACGAAATCCTCAAAGCTGCCCTAATATCCACTTGCATATTCCACAAAAAGAGTGTTGCAAAACTGCTCTCTCAAAAGAAAGGTTCAACTCTGTTAGCTGAGTAGATCCATCACATAAAAGTTTCTGACATTGCTTCTATCTAGATTTTCTTGGAAGATATTTCCATTTTCACCGTCGTCCTGAAAGCGCTCCAAATGTCCACTTCCAGGGAATGCAGAAAGAGTGTTTCCAACCTGCTCTATAAAAGGGAATGTTCAACACTGGGACTTCAATCGAAACATCCCAACGAAGTTTCTGAGAATGCTTCTGTCTAGAGTTTATATGAAGCCATTCCCGTTTGCAACGAAATCCTCAAAGCTATCCAAATATCCTCTTGCAGATTTTACAAAAAGAGTGTTTCAAAACTGCTCTATCAAAAGAAAGGTTCAACTCTGTTAGTTGAGGGCACACATCAGAAATAAACTTCTGAGAATGCTTCTGTCTAGTTTTTACGGGAAGATATTTCCTTTTTCACCATAGGCCTGAAAGCGCTCCAAATGTCCTCATCCAGATACTACAAAAAGAGTGTTTCCAATCTGCTCTATGAAAGGGAATGCTCAACTCTGTGAATTGAATGCAGACATCACAAAGAAGTTTCTGAGAATGCTTGCTGTCTCCTTTGTATATGTAATCCCGTTTCCAACGAAATCCTCAAAGCTAGCCAAATATCCACTTGCAGATTCCACGAAAACAGTGTTTCAAAACTGCTCCTTCAAAACGATGGTTCAATCCTGTTAGTTGAGCAAACACATCACAAATAAGTTTCTGAGAATGCTTCCGTCTAGTTTTTATGGGAAGATATTTCCTTTTTCAACATAGGCCTGAAAGCGCTCCAAATGTCCACTTCCAGATACTACAAAAAGAGTGTTTCAAATCTGCTCTATGAATGGGAATGTTCTACTCTGTGACTTGAATGCAACATCCCAAAGAAGTTTCTGAGAATGCTTCTGTCTAGAGTTTATCTGAAGACATATCCGTTTCCAACGAAATCCTCAAAGCTATCCAAATATCCTCTTGCAGATTCTACAAAAAGTGTGTTTCAAAGCTGCTCTTTGCAAAGAAAGGTTCAACTCTGTCAGTAGAGGGCACACATCACGAACAAGTTTCTGAGAATGCTTCTGTCTAGTTTTTATGGGAAGATATTTCCTTTTTCACGTTACGCCTGAAAGCACGCCAAATGTTCACTTATAGACACTACAAAAAGAGTGTTTCAAACCTGCTCTGTGAAAGGGAATGTTCAACACTGTGACTTCAATTGAAACATCCCAAAGAAGTTTCTGAGAATGCTTCTGTCTAGAGTTTATCTGAAGACATTCCCGTTTCCCAAGAAATCCTCAAAGCTATCCAAATATCCTCTTGCAGATTCTACAAAAAGAGTGTTTCAAAACTGCTCTTTGCAAAGAAAGTTTCAACTCTGTCAGTAGAGGGCACACATCACAAACAAGTTTCTGAGAATGCTTCTGTCTAGTTTTTATGGGAAGATATTTCCTTTTTCACCTTAGGCCTGAAAGCAATCCAAATGTTCACTTACAGACACTACAAAAAGAGTGTTTCAAACCTGCTCTGTGAAAGGGAGTGTTCAATTCTGTGACTTGAATGCAAACATCACAAAGTAGTTTCTGACAATGCTGCTGTCTGCTTTTTATACGTATTCCCGTTTCCAACGAAATCCTCCAAGCTGGCCTAATACCCACTTGCATATTCCACAAAAAGAGTGTTTCAAAACTGCTCTCTCAAAAGAAAGGTTCAACTCTGTTAGCTGAGTAGATACATCATGAAAAAAGTTCTGACATTGCTTCTATCTAGTTTTTATTGGAAGATATCTCCTTTTTCACCGTAGACCTGAAAGCGCTCCAAATGTCCACTTCCAGATAGTACAAAAAGAGGGTTTCAAACCTGCTCTATGAATGGGAATGTTCAACACTGGGACTTCAATTGAAACATCCCAAAGCAGTTTCTGAGAATGCTTCTGTCTAGAGTTTACATGAAGACATTCCCGTTTCCAACGAAATCCTCAAAGCTATCCAAATATCCTCTTGCAGATTTTAAAAAAAGTGTGTTTCAGAACTGCTCTATCAAAACAAAGGTTCAACACTGTCAGTTGAGGGCACACATCACAAATAAGTTTCTGAGAATGCTTCTGTCTAGTTTTCATGGGAAGATATTTCCTTTTTCACCATAGGCCTGAAAGCGATCCAAATGTCCACATCCAGATACTACAAAAAGAGTGTTTCAAACCTGCTCTATGAAAGGGAATGTTCAACTCTGCGACTTGAATGCAAACATCACAAAGAAGTTTCTGAGAATGCTGCTGTCTGCTTTTTGTATGTAATCCCGTTTCCAACGAAATCCTCCCAGCTAGCCAAATATCCACTTGCAGATTCCGCAAAAAGAGTGTTTCAAAACTGCTCCTTCAAAACGATGGTTTAGTTCTGTTAGTTGAGTACATACATCACAGATAAGTTTCTGAGAATGCTTCTGTCTAGTTTTTATGGGAGGATATTTCCTTTTTCAACACAAGCCTGAATGCGCTCCGAATGGACACTTCCAGATATGACAAAAGGCGTGTTTCAAACCTGCTCTCTCAAAGGGAATGTTCAACTGCTGTGACTTCAATGCAAACATCACAAAGAAGTTTCTGAGAATGCTGCTGTCTGCTTTTTACATGTATTCCCGTTTCCAACGAAATCCTCAAAGCTGCCCTAATATCCACTTGCATATTCCACAAAAAGAGTGTTGCAAAACTGCTCTCTCAAAAGAAAGGTTCAACTCTGTTAGCTGAGTAGATCCATCACAGAAAAGTTTCTGACGTTGCTTCTATCTAGATTTTCTTGGAAGATATTTCCATTTTCACCGTCGTCCTGAAAGCGCTCCAAATGTCCACTTCCAGGGAATGCAGAAAGAGTGTTTCCAACCTGCTCTATAAAAGGGAATGTTCAACACTGGGACTTCAATCGAAACATCCCAACGAAGTTTCTGAGAATGCTTCTGTCTAGAGTTTATATGAAGCCATTCCCGTTTGCAACGAAATCCTCAAAGCTATCCAAATATCCTCTTGCAGATTTTACAAAAAGAGTGTTTCAAAACTGCTCTATCAAAAGAAAGGTTCAACTCTGTTAGTTGAGGGCACACATCACAAATAAACTTCTGAGAATGCTTCTGTCTAGTTTTTACGGGAAGATATTTCCTTTTTCACCATAGGCCAGAAAGCGCTCCAAATGTCCTCATCCAGATACTACAAAAAGAGTGTTTCCAACCTGCTCTATGAAAGGGAATGCTCAACTACTGTGAATTGAATGCAGACATCACAAAGAAGTTTCTGAGAATGCTGCTGTCTCCTTTTTCTATGTAATCCCGTTTCCAACGAAATCCTCAAAGCTAGCCAAATATCCACTTGCAGATTCCACGAAAACAGTGTTTCAAAACTGCTCCTTCAAAACGATGGTTCAATTCTGTTAGTTGAGCAAACACATCACATGTAAGTTTCTGAGAATGCTTCCGTCTAGTTTTTATGGGAAGATATTTCCTTTTTCAACATAGGCCTGAAAGCGCTCCAAATGTCCACTTCCAGATACTTCAAAAAGAGGGTTTCAAATCTGCTCTATGAATCGGAATGTTCTACTCTGTGACTTGAATGCAACATCCCAAAGAAGTTTCTGAGAATGCTTCTGTCTAGAGTTTATCTGAAGACATACACGTTTCCAACGAAATCCTCAAAGCTATCCAAATATCCTCTTGCAGATTCTACAAAAAGAGTGTTTCAAAGCTGCTCTTTGCAAAGAAAGGTTCAACTCTGTCAGTAGAGGGCACACATCACGAACAAGTTTCTGAGAATGCTTCTGTCTAGTTTTTATGGGAAGATATTTCCTTTTTCACGTTACAACTGAAAGCACGCCAAATGCTCACTTATAGACACTACAAAAAGAGTGTTTCAAACCTGCTCTGTGAAAGGGAATGTTCAACACTGTGACTTCAATTGAAACATCCCAAAGAAGTTTCTGAGAATGCTTCTGTCTAGAGTTTATCTGAAGACATTCCCGTTTCCCAAGAAATCCTCAAAGCTATCCAAATATCCTCTTGCAGATTCTACAAAAAGAGTGTTTCAAAACTGCTCTTTGCAAAGAAAGGTTCAACTCTGTCAGTAGAGGGCACACATCACAAACAAGTTTCTGAGAATGCTTCTGTCTAGTTTTTATGGGAAGATATTTCCTTTTTCACCTTAGGCCTGAAAGCAATCCAAATGTTCACTTACAGACACTACAAAAAGAGTGTTTCAAACCTGCTCTGTGAAAGGGAGTGTTCAATTCTGTGACTTGAATGCAAACATCACAAAGTAGTTTCTGACAATGCTGCTGTCTGCTTTTTATACGTATTCCCGTTTCCAACGAAATCCTCCAAGCTGGCCTAATACCCACTTGCATATTCCACAAAAAGAGTGTTTCAAAACTGCTCTCTCAAAAGAAAGGTTCAACTCTGTTTGCTGAGTAGATACATCATGAAAAAAGTTCTGACATTGCTTATCTATCTAGTTTTTATTGGAAGATATCTCCTTTTTCACCGTAGACCTGAAAGCGCTCCAAATGTCCACTTCCAGCATAGTAGAAAAAGAGTGTTTCAAACCTGCTCTATGAATGGGAATGTTCAACACTGGGACTTCAATTGAAACATCCCAAAGCAGTTTCTGAGAATGCTTCTGTCTAGAGTTTACATGAAGACATTCCCGTTTCCAACGAAATCGTCAAAGCTATCCAAATATCCTCTTGCAGATTTTACAAAAAGTGTGTTTCAGAACTGCTCTATCAAAACAAAGGTTCAACACTGTCAGTTGAGTGCACACATCACAAATAAGTTTCTGAGAATGCTTCTGTCTAGTTTTCATGGGAAGATATTTCCTTTTTCACCATAGGCCTGAAAGCGATCCAAATGTCCACATCCAGATACTACAAAAAGAGTGTTTCAAACCTGCTCTATGAAAGGGAATGTTCAACTCTGTGACTTGAATGCAAACATCACAAAGAAGTTTCTGAGAATGCTGCTGTCTGCTTTTTGTATGTAATCCCGTTTCCAACGAAATCCTCCCAGCTAGCCAAATATCCACTTGCAGATTCCGCACAAAGAGTGTTTCAAAACTGCTCCTTCAAAACGATGGTTTAGTTCTGTTAGTTGAGTACATACATCACAGATAAGTTTCTGAGAATGCTTCTGTCTAGTTTTTATGGGAGGATATTTCCTTTTTCAACACAAGCCTGAATGCGCTCCGAATGGACACTTCCAGATATGACAAAAGGCGTGTTTCAAACCTGCTCTCTCAAAGGGAATGTTCAACTCTGTGACTTCAATGCAAACATCACAAAGAAGTTTCTGAGAATGCTGCTGTCTGCTTTTTACATGTATTCCCGTTTCCAACGAAATCCTCAAAGCTGCCCTAATATCCACTTGCATATTCCACAAAAAGAGTGTTGCAAAACTGCTCTCTCAAAAGAAAGGTTCAACTCTGTTAGCTGAGTAGATCCATCACAGAATAGTTTCTGACATTGCTTCTATCCAGATTTTATTGGAAGATATTTCCATTTTCACCGTCGTCCTGAAAGCGCTCCAATTGTCCACTTCCAGGGAATGCAGAAAGAGTGTTTCCAACCTGCTCTATAAAAGGGAATGTTCAACACTGGGACTTCAATCGAAACATCCCAACGAAGTTTCTGAGAATGCTTCTGTCTAGAGTTTATATGAAGCCATTCCCGTTTGCAACGAAATCCTCAAAGCTATCCAAATATCCTCTTGCAGATTTTACAAAAAGAGTGTTTCAAAACTGCTCTATCAAAAGAAAGGTTCAACTCTGTTAGTTGAGGGCACACATCACAAATAAATTTCTGAGAATGCTTCTGTCTAGTTTTCATGGGAAGATATTTCCTTTTTCACCATAGGCCTGAAAGCGATCCAAATGTCCACATCCAGATACTACAAAAAGAGTGTTTCAAACCTGCTCTATGAAAGGGAATGCTCAACTCTGTGAATTGAATGCAGACATCACAAAGAAGTTTCTGAGAATGCTGCTGTCTCCTTTTTATATGTAATCCCGTTTCCAACGAAATCCTCAAAGCTAGCCAAATATCCACTTGCAGATTCCACGAAAACAGTGTTTCAAAACTGCTCCTTCAAAACGATGGTTCAATCCTGTTAGTTGAGCAAACACATCACAAATAAGTTTCTGAGAATGCTTCCGTCTAGTTTTTATGGGAAGATATTTCCTTTTTCAACATAGGCCTGAAAGCGCTCCAAATGTCCACTTCCAGATACTACAAAAAGAGTGTTTCAAATCTGCTCTATGAATGGGAATGTTCTACTCTGTGACTTGAATGCAACATCCCAAAGAAGTTTCTGAGAATGCTTCTGTCTAGAGTTTATCTGAAGACATACCCGTTTCCAACGAAATCCTCCAAGCTATCCAAATATCCTCTTGCAGATTCTACAAAAAGAGTGTTTCAAAGCTGCTCTTTGCAAAGAAAGGTTCAACTCTGTCAGTAGAGGGCACACATCATGAACAAGTTTCTGAGAATGCTTCTGTCTAGTTTTTATGGGAAGATATTTCCTTTTTCACGTTAGGCCTGAAAGCACGCCAAATGTTCACTTATAGACACTACAAAAAGAGTGTTTCAAACCTGCTCTGTGAAAGGGAATGTTCAACACTGTGACTTCAATTGAAACATCCCAAAGAAGTTTCTGAGAATGCTTCTGTCTAGAGTTTATCTGAAGACATACCCGTTTCCAACGAAATCCTCAAAGCTATCCACATATCCTCTTGCAGATTCTACAAAAAGAGTGTTTCAAAGCTGCTCTTTGCAAAGAAAGGTTCAACTCTGTCAGTAGAGGGCACACATCACGAACAAGTTTCTGAGAATGCTTCTGTCTAGTTTTTATGGGAAGATATTTCCTTTTTCACGTTAGGCCTGAAAGCACGCCAAATGTTCACTTATAGACACTACAAAAAGAGTGTTTCAAACCTGCTCTGTGAAAGGGAATGTTCAACACTGTGACTTCAATTGAAACATCCCAAAGAAGTTTCTGAGAATGCTTCTGTCTAGAGTTTATCTGAAGACATTCCCGTTTCCCAAGAAATCCTCAAAGCTATCCAAATATCCTCTTGCAGATTCTACAAAAAGAGTGTTTCAAAACTGCTCTTTGCAAAGAAAGGTTCAACTCTGTCAGTAGAGGGCACACATCACAAACAAGTTTCTGAGAATGCTTCTGTCTAGTTTTTATGGGAAGATATTTCCTTTTTCACATTAGGCCTGAAAGCAATCCAAATGTTCACTTACAGACACTACAAAAAGAGTGTTTCAAACCTGCTCTGTGAAAGGGAGTGTTCAATTCTGTGACTTGAATGCAAACATCACAAAGTAGTTTCTGACAATGCTGCTGTCTGCTTTTTATACGTATTCCCGTTTCCAACGAAATCCTCCAAGCTGGCCTAATACCCACTTGCATATTCCACAAAGACTGTTTCAAAACTGCTCTCTCAAAAGAAAGGTTCAACTCTGTTTGCTGAGTAGATACATCATGAAAAAAGTTCTGACATTGCTTCTATCTAGTTTTTATTGGAAGATATCTCCTTTTTCACCGTAGACCTGAAAGCGCTCCAAATGTCCACTTCCAGATAGTACAAAAAGAGTGTTTCAAACCTGCTCTATGAATGGGAATGTTCAACACTGGGACTTCAATTGAAACATCCCAAAGCAGTTTCTGAGAATGCTTCTGTCTAGAGTTTACATGAAGACATTCCCGTTTCCAACGAAATCCTCAAAGCTATCCAAATATCCTCTTGCAGATTTTACAAAAAGTGTGTTTCAGAACTGCTCTATCAAAACAAAGGTTCAACACTGTCAGTTGAGGGCACACATCACAAATAAGTTTCTGAGAATGCTTCTGTCTAGTTTTCATGGGAAGATATTTCCTTTTTCACCATAGGCCTGAAAGCGATCCAAATGTCCACATCCAGATACTACAAAAAGAGTGTTTCAAACCTGCTCTATGAAAGGGAATGTTCAACTCTGTGACTTGAATGCAAACATCACAAAGAAGTTTCTGAGAATGCTGCTCTCTGCTTTTTGTATGTAATCCCGTTTCCAACGAAATCCTCCCAGCTAGCCAAATATCCACTTGCAGATTCTGCAAAAAGAGTGTTTCAAAACTGCTCCTTCAAAACGATGGTTTAGTTCTGTTAGTTGAGTACATACATCACAGATAAGTTTCTGAGAATGCTTCTGTCTAGTTTTTATGGGAGGATATTTCCTTTTTCAACACAAGCCTGAATGCGCTCCGAATGGACACTTCCAGATATGACAAAAGGCGTGTTTCAAACCTGCTCTCTCAAAGGGAATGTTCAACTCTGTGACTTCAATGCAAACATCACAAAGAAGTTTCTGAGAATGCTGCTGTCTGCTTTTTACATGTATTCCCGTTTCCAACGAAATCCTCAAAGCTGCCCTAATATCCACTTGCATATTCCACAAAAAGAGTGTTGCAAAACTGCTCTCTCAAAAGAAAGGTTCAACTCTGTTAGCTGAGTAGATCCATCACATAAAAGTTTCTGACGTTGCTTCTATCTAGATTTTCTTGGAAGATATTTCCATTTTCACCGTCGTCCTGAAAGCGCTCCAAATGTCCACTTCCAGGGAATGCAGAAAGAGTGTTTCCAACCTGCTCTATAAAAGGGAATGTTCAACACTGGGACTTCAATCGAAACATCCCAACGAAGTTTCTGAGAATGCTTCTGTCTAGAGTTTATATGAAGCCATTCCCGTTTGCAACGAAATCCTCAAAGCTATCCAAATATCCTCTTGCAGATTTTACAAAAAGAGTGTTTCAGAACTGCTCTATCAAAAGAAAGGTTCAACTCTGTTAGTTGAGGGCACACATCACAAATAAATTTCTGAGAATGCTTCTGTCTAGTTTTTACGGGAAGATATTTCCTTTTTCACCATACGCCTGAAAGCGCTCCAAATGTCCTCATCCAGATACTACAAAAAGAGTGTTTCCAACCTGCTCTATGAAAGGGAATGCTCAACTCTGTGAATTGAATGCAGACATCACAAAGAAGTTTCTGAGAATGCTGCTGTCTCCTTTGTATATGTAATCCCGTTTGCCAACGAAATCCTCAAAGCTAGCCAAATAACCACTTGCAGATTCCACGAAAACAGTGTTTCAAAACTGCTCCTTCAAAACGATGGTTCAATCCTGTTAGTTGAGCAAACACATCACAAATAAGTTTCTGAGAATGCTTCCGTCTAGTTTTTATGGGAAGATATTTCCTTTTTCAACATAGGCCTGAAAGCGCTCCAAATGTCCACTTCCAGATACTACAAAAAGAGTGTTTCAAATCTGCTCTATGAATGGGAATGTTCTACTCTGTGACTTGAATGCAACATCCCAAAGAAGTTTCTGAGAATGCTTCTGTCTAGAGTTTATCTGAAGACATACCCGTTTCCAACGAAATCCTCAAAGCTATCCACATATCCTCTTGCAGATTCTACAAAAAGAGTGTTTCAAAGCTGCTCTTTGCAAAGAAAGGTTCAACTCTGTCAGTAGAGGGCACACATCACAAACAAGTTTCTGAGAATGCTTCTGTCTAGTTTTTATGGGAAGATATTTCCTTTTTCACCTTAGGCCTGAAAGCAATCCATATGTTCACTTACAGACACTACAAAAAGAGTGTTTCAAACCTGCTCTGTGAAAGGGAGTGTTCAATTCTGTGACTTGAATGCAAACATCACAAAGTAGTTTCTGACAATGCTGCTGTCTGCTTTTTATACGTATTCCCGTTTCCAACGAAATCCTCCAAGCTGGCCTAATACCCACTTGCATATTCCACAAAGACTGTGTCAAAACTGCTCTCTCAAAAGAAAGGTTCAACTCTGTTTGCTGAGTAGATACATCATGAAAAAAGTTCTGACATTGCTTCTATCTAGTTTTTATTGGAAGATATCTCCTTTTTCACCGTAGACCTGAAAGCGCTCCAAATGTCCACTTCCAGATAGTACAAAAAGAGTGTTTCAAACCTGCTCTATGAATGGGAATGTTCAACACTGGGACTTCAATTGAAACATCCCAAAGCAGTTTCTGAGAATGCTTCTGTCTAGAGTTTACTTGAAGACACTCCCGTTTCCAACGAAATCCTCAGAGCTATCCAAATATCCTCTTGCAGATTTTACAAAAAGTGTGTTTCAGAACTGCTCTATCAAAACAAAGGTTCAACACTGTCAGTTGAGGGCACACATCACAAATAAGTTTCTGAGAATGCTTCTGTCTAGTTTTCATGGGAAGATATTTCCTTTTTCACCATAGGCCTGAAAGCGATCCAAATGTCCACATCCAGATACTACAAAAAGAGTGTTTCAAACCTGCTCTATGAAAGGGAATGTTCAACTCTGTGACTTGAATGCAAACGTCACAAAGTAGTTTCTGAGAATGCTGCTGTCTGCTTTTTGTATGTAATCCCGTTTCCAACGAAATCCTCCCAGCTAGCCAAATATCCACTTGCAGATTCCGCAAAAAGAGTGTTTCAAAACTGCTCCTTCAAAACGATGGTTTAGTTCTGTTAGTTGAGTACATACATCACAGATAAGTTTCTGAGAATGCTTCTGTCTAGTTTTTATGGGAGGATATTTCCTTTTTCAACACAAGCCTGAATGCGCTCCGAATGGACACTTCCAGATATGACAAAAGGCGTGTTTCAAACCTGCTCTCTCAAAGGGAATGTTCAACTCTGTGACTTCAATGCAAACATCACAAAGAAGTTTCTGAGAATGCTGCTGTCTGCTTTTTACATGTATTCCCGTTTCCAACGAAATCCTCAAAGCTGCCCTAATATCCACTTGCATATTCCACAAAAAGAGTGTTGCAAAACTGCTCTCTCAAAAGAAAGGTTCAACTCTGTTAGCTGAGTAGATCCATCACAGAAAAGTTTCTGACGTTGCTTCTATCTAGATTTTATTGGAAGATATTTCCATTTTCACCGTCGTCCTGAAAGCGCTCCAAATGTCCACTTCCAGGGAATGCAGAAAGAGTGTTTCCAACCTGCTCTATAAAAGGGAATGTTCAACACTGGGACTTCAATCAAAACATCCCAACGAAGTTTCTGAGAATGCTTCTGTCTAGAGTTTATATGAAGCCATTCCCGTTTGCAACGAAATCCTCAAAGCTATCCAAATATCCTCTTGCAGATTTTACAAAAAGAGTGTTTCAAAACTGCTCTATCAAAAGAAAGGTTCAACTCTGTTAGTTGAGGGCACACATCACAAATAAACTTCTGAGAATGCTTCTGTCTAGTTTTCATGGGAAGATATTTCCTTTTTCACCATAGGCCTGAAAGCGATCCAAATGTCCACATCCACATACTACAAAAAGAGTGTTTCAAACCTGCTCTATGAAAGGGAATGTTCAACTCTGTGACTTGAATGCAAACATCACAAAGAAGTTTCTGAGAATGCTGCTCTCTGCTTTTTGTATGTCATCCCGTTTCCAACGAAATCCTCCAAGCTAGCCAAATATCCACTTGCATATTCCGCAAAAAGAGTGTTTCAAAACTGCTCCTTCAAAACGATGGTTTAGTTCTGTTAGTTGAGTACATACATCACAGATAAGTTTCTGAGAATGCTTCTGTCTAGTTTTTATGGGAGGATATTTCCTTTTTCAACACAAGCCTGAATGCGCTCCGAATGGACACTTCCAGATATGACAAAAGGCGTGTTTCAAACCTGCTCTCTCAAAGGGAATGTTCAACTCTGTGACTTCAATGCAAACATCACAAAGAAGTTTCTGAGAATGCTGCTGTCTGCTTTTTACATGTATTCCCGTTTCCAACGAAATCCTCAAAGCTGCCCTAATATCCACTTGCATATTCCACAAAAAGAGTGTTGCAAAACTGCTCTCTCAAAAGAAAGGTTCAACTCTGTTAGCTGAGTAGATCCATCACAGAAAAGTTTCTGACGTTGCTTCTATCTAGATTTTCTTGGAAGATATTTCCATTTTCACCGTCGTCCTGAAAGCGCTCCAAATGTCCACTTCCAGGGAATGCAGAAAGAGTGTTTCCAACCTGCTCTATAAAAGGGAATGTTCAACACTGGGACTTCAATCGAAACATCCCAACGAAGTTTCTGAGAATGCTTCTGTCTAGAGTTTATATGAAGCCATTCCCGTTTGCAACGAAATCCTCAAAGCTATCCAAATATCCTCTTGCAGATTTTACAAAAAGAGTGTTTCAAAACTGCTCTATCAAAAGAAAGGTTCAACTCTGTTAGTTGAGGGCACACATCACAAATAAACTTCTGAGAATGCTTCTGTCTAGTTTTTACGGGAAGATATTTCCTTTTTCACCATACGCCTGAAAGCGCTCCAAATGTCCTCATCCAGATACTACAAAAAGAGTGTTTCCAACCTGCTCTATGAAAGGGAATGCTCAACTCTGTGAATTGAATGCAGACATCACAAAGAAGTTTCTGAGAATGCTGCTGTCTCCTTTGTATATGTAATCCCGTTTCCAACGAAATCCTCAAAGCTAGCCAAATATCCACTTGCAGATTCCACGAAAACAGTGTTTCAAAACTGCTCCTTCAAAACGATGGTTCAATCCTGTTAGTTGAGCAAACACATCACAAATAAGTTTCTGAGAATGCTTCCGTCTAGTTTTTATGGGAAGATATTTCCTTTTTCAACATAGGCCTGAAAGCGCTCCAAATGTCCACTTCCAGATACTACAAAAAGAGTGTTTCAAATCTGCTCTATGAATGGGAATGTTCTACTCTGTGACTTGAATGCAACATCCCAAAGAAGTTTCTGAGAATGCTTCTGTCTAGAGTTTATCTGAAGACATACCCGTTTCCAACGAAATCCTCCAAGCTATCCAAATATCCTCTTGCAGATTCTACAAAAAGTGTGTTTCAAAGCTGCTCTTTGCAAAGAAAGGTTCAACTCTGTCAGTAGAGGGCACACATCACGAACAAGTTTCTGAGAATGCTTCTGTCTAGTTTTTATGGGAAGATATTTCCTTTTTCACGTTAGGCCTGAAAGCACGCCAAATGTTCACTTATAGACACTACAAAAAGAGTGTTTCAAACCTGCTCTGTGAAAGGGAATGTTCAACACTGTGACTTCAATTGAAACATCCCAAAGAAGTTTCTGAGAATGCTTCTGTCTAGAGTTTATCTGAAGACATTCCCGTTTCCCAAGAAATCCTCAAAGCTATCCAAATATCCTCTTGCAGATTCTACAAAAAGAGTGTTTCAAAACTGCTCTTTGCAAAGAAAGGTTCAACTCTGTCAGTAGAGGGCACACATCACAAACAAGTTTCTGAGAATGCTTCTGTCTAGTTTTTATGGGAAGATATTTCCTTTTTCACCATAGGCCTGAAAGCAATCCAAATGTTCACTTACAGACACTACAAAAAGAGTGTTTCAAACCTGCTCTGTGAAAGGGAGTGTTCAATTCTGTGACTTGAATGCAAACATCACAAAGTAGTTTCTGACAATGCTGCTGTCTGCTTTTTATACGTATTCCCGTTTCCAACGAAATCCTCCAAGCTGGCCTAATACCCACTTGCATATTCCACAAAGACTGTGTCAAAACTGCTCTCTCAAAAGAAAGGTTCAACTCTGTTTGCTGAGTAGATACATCATGAAAAAAGTTCTGACATTGCTTCTATCTAGTTTTTATTGGAAGATATCTCCTTTTTCACCGTAGACCTGAAAGCGCTCCAAATGTCCACTTCCAGATAGTACAAAAAGAGTGTTTCAAACCTGCTCTATGAAAGGGAATGTTCAACACTGGGACTTCAATTGAAACATCCCAAAGCAGTTTCTGAGAATGCTTCTGTCTAGAGTTTACATGAAGACATTCCCGTTTCCAACGAAATCCTCAAAGCTATCCAAATATCCTCTTGCAGATTTTACAAAAAGTGTGTTTCAGAACTGCTCTATCAAAACAAAGGTTCAACACTGTCAGTTGAGGGCACACATCACAAATAAGTTTCTGAGAATGCTTCTGTCTAGTTTTCATGGGAAGATATTTCCTTTTTCACCATAGGCCTGAAAGCGATCCAAATGTCCACATCCAGATACTACAAAAAGAGTGTTTCAAACCTGCTCTATGAAAGGGAATGTTCAACTCTGTGACTTGAATGCAAACATCACAAAGAAGTTTCTGAGAATGCTGCTGTCTGCTTTTTGTATGTAATCCCGTTTCCAACGAAATCCTCCCAGCTAGCCAAATATCCACTTGCAGATTCCGCAAAAAGAGTGTTTCAAAACTGCTCCGTCAAAACGATGGTTTAGTTCTGTTAGTTGAGTACATACATCACAAATAAGTTTCTGAGAATGCTTCTGTATACTTTTTATGGGAGGATATTTCCTTTTTCAACACAAGCCTGAATGCGCTCCGAATGGACACTTCCAGATATGACAAAAGGCGTGTTTCAATCCTGCTCTCTCAAAGGGAATGTTCAACTCTGTGACTTCAATGCAAACATCACAAAGAAGTTTCTGAGAATGCTGCTGTCTGCTTTTTACATGTATTCCCGTTTCCAACGAAATCCTCAAAGCTGCCCTAATATCCACTTGCATATTCCACAAAAAGAGTGTTGCAAAACTGCTCTCTCAAAAGAAAGGTTCAACTGTGTTAGCTGAGTAGATCCATCACATAAAAGTTTCTGACATTGCTTCTATCTAGATTTTCTTGGAAGATATTTCCATTTTCACCGTCGTCCTGAAAGCGCTCCAAATGTCCACTTCCAGGGAATGCAGAAAGAGTGTTTCCAACCTGCTCTATAAAAGGGAATGTTCAACACTGGGACTTCAATCGAAACATCCCAACGAAGTTTCTGAGAATGCTTCTGTCTAGGAGTTTATATGAAGCCATTCCCGTTTGCAACGAAATCCTCAAAGCTATCCAAATATCCTCTTGCAGATTTTACAAAAAGAGTGTTTCAAAACTGCTCTATCAAAAGAAAGGTTCAACTCTGTTAGTTGAGGGCACACATCACAAATAAATTTCTGAGAATGCTTCTGTCTAGTTTTTATGAGAGGATATTTCCTTTTTCAACACAAGCCGGAATGTGCTCCAAATGGACAGCTTCCAGACATGACAAAAGGCGTGTTTCAAACCTGCTCTATCAAATGGAATGTTCAACACTGGGACTTCAATGGAAACATCACAAAGAAGTTGCTGAGAATGCTGCCGTCTGCTTTTTAAATGTATTCCCGTTTCCAACGAAATCCTCAGAGCCAGCCAAATATCCACTTGCAGATTCTACAAAAAGAGTGTTTCAAAACCGCTCAATGAAAAGAAAGGTTCAGCTCTGTTAGTTAAGCACACACATCACAAACTAGTTTATGAGAATGCTTCCGTCTAGTTTTTATGGGAAGATATTTCGTTTCTCAACATAGGCCTGAAAGCGCTCCAAATGTCCACTTCCAGATACTACAAAAAGAGTGTTTCAAATCTGCTCTATGAATGGGAATGTTCTACTCTGTGACTTGAATGCAACATCCCAAAGAAGTTTCTGAGAATGCTTCTGTCTAGAGTTTATGTGAAGACATACCCGTTTCCAACGAAATCCTCAAAGCTATCCAAATATCCTCTTGCAGATTCTACAAAAAGAGTGTTTCAAAGCTGCTCTTTGCAAAGAAAGGTTCAACTCTGTCAGTAGAGGGCACACATCACAAACAAGTTTCTGAGAATGCTTCTGTCTAGTTTTTATGGGAAGATATTTCCTTTCTCACGTTAGGCCTGAAAGCACGCCAAATGTTCAATTATAGACACTACAAAAAGAGTGTTTCAAACCTGCTCTGTGAAAGGGAATGTTCAACACTGTGACTTCAATTGAAACATCCCAAAGAAGTTTCTGAGAATGCTTCTGTCTAGAGTTTATCTGAAGACATTCCCGTTTCCCAAGAAATCCTCAAAGCTATCCAAATATCCTCTTGCAGATTCTACAAAAAGAGTGTTTCAAAACTGCTCTTTGCAAAGAAAGGTTCAACTCTGTCAGTAGAGGGCAGACATCACAAACAAGTTTCTGAGAATGCTTCTGTCTAGTTTTTATGGGAAGATATTTCCTTTTTCACCTTAGGCCTGAAAGCAATCCAAATGTTCACTTACAGACACTACAAAAAGAGTGTTTCAAACCTGCTCTGTGAAAGGGAGTGTTCAGTTCTGTGACTTGAATGCAAACATCACAAAGTAGTTTCTGACAATGCTGCTGTCTGCTTTTTATACGTATTCCCGTTTCCAACGAAATCCTCCAAGCTGGCCTAATACCCACTTGCATATTCCACAAAAAGAGTGTTTCAAAACTGCTCTCTCAAAAGAAAGGTTCAACTCTGTTTGCTGAGTAGATACATCATGAAAAAAGTTCTGACATTGCTTCTATCTAGTTTTTATTGGAAGATATCTCCTTTTTCACCGTAGACCTGAAAGCGCTCCAAATGTCCACTTCCAGATAGTACAAAAAGAGTGTTTCAAACCTGCTCTATGAATGGGAATGTTCAACACTGGGACTTCAATTGAAACATCCCAAAGCAGTTTCTGAGAATGCTTCTGTGTAGAGTTTACATGAAGACATTCCCGTTTCCAACGAAATCCTCAAAGCTATCCAAATATCCTCTTGCAGATTTTACAAAAGGTGTGTTTCAGAACTGCTCTATCAAAACAAAGGTTCAACACTGTCAGTTGAGGGCACACATCACAAATAAGTTTCTGAGAATGCTTCTGTCTAGTTTTCATGGGAAGATATTTCCTTTTTCACCATAGGCCTGAAAGCGATCCAAATGTCCACATCCAGATACTACAAAAAGAGTGTTTCAAACCTGCTCTATGAAAGGGAATGTTCAACTCTGTGACTTGAATGCAAACATCACAAAGAAGTTTCTGAGAATGCTGCTGTCTGCTTTTTGTATGTAATCCCGTTTCCAACGAAATCCTCCCAGCTAGCCAAATATCCACTTGCAGATTCCGCAAAAAGAGTGTTTCAAAACTGCTCCTTCAAAACGATGGTTTAGTTCTGTTAGTTGAGTACATACATCACAGATAAGTTTCTGAGAATGCTTCTGTCTAGTTTTTATGGGAGGATATTTCCTTTTTCAACACAAGCCTGAATGCGCTCCGAATGGACACTTCCAGATATGACAAAAGGCGTGTTTCAAACCTGCTCTCTCAAAGGGAATGTTCAACTCTGTGACTTCAATGCAAACATCACAAAGAAGTTTCTGAGAACGCTGCTGTCTGCTTTTTACATGTATTCCCGTTTCCAACGAAATCCTCAAAGCTGCCCTAATATCCACTTGCATATTCCACAAAAAGAGTGTTGCAAAACTGCTCTCTCAAAAGAAAGGTTCAACTCTGTTAGCTGAGTAGATCCATCACATAAAAGTTTCTGACATTGCTTCTATCTAGATTTTCTTGGAAGATATTTCCATTTTCACCGTCGTCCTGAAAGCGCTCCAAATGTCCACTTCCAGGGAATGCAGAAAGAGTGTTTCCAACCTGCTCTATAAAAGGGAATGTTCAACACTGGGACTTCAATCGAAACATCCCAACGAAGTTTCTCACAATGCTTCTGTCTAGAGTTTATATGAAGCCACTCCCGTTTGCAACGAAATCCTCAAAGCTATCCAAATATCCTCTTGCAGATTTTACAAAAAGAGTGTTTCAAAACTGCTCTATCAAAAGAAAGGTTCAACTCTGTTAGTTGAGGGCACACATCACAAATAAATTTCTGAGAATGCTTCTGTCTAGTTTTTACGGGAAGATATTTCCTTTTTCACCATACGCCTGAAAGCGCTCCAAATGTCCTCATCCAGATACTACAAAAAGAGTGTTTCCAACCTGCTCTATGAAAGGGAATGCTCAACTCTGTGATTTGAATGCAGACATCACAAAGAAGTTTCTGAGAATGCTGCTGTCTCCTTTTTATATGTAATCCCGTTTCCAACGAAATCCTCAAAGCTAGCCAAATATCCACTTGCAGATTCCACGAAAACAGTGTTTCAAAACTGCTCCTTCAAAACGATGGTTCAATTCTGTTAGTTGAGCAAACACATCACAAGTAAGTTTCTGAGAATGCTTCCGTCTAGTTTTTATGGGAAGATATTTCCTTTTTCAACATAGGCCTGAAAGCGCTCCAAATGTCCACTTCCAGATACTACAAAAAGAGTGTTTCAAATCTGCTCTATGAATGGGAATGTTCTACTCTGTGACTTGAATGCAACATCCCAAAGAAGTTTCTGAGAATGCTTCTGTCTAGAGTTTATCTGAAGACATACCCGTTTCCAACGAAATCCTCCAAGCTATCCAAATATCCTCTTGCAGATTCTACAAAAAGAGTGTTTCAAAGCTGCTCTTTGCAAAGAAAGGTTCAACTCTGTCAGTAGAGGGGACACATCAAGAACAAGTTTCTGAGAATGCTTCTGTCTAGTTTTTATGGGAAGATATTTCCTTTTTCACGTTAGGCCTGAAGCACGCCAAATGTTCACTTATAGACACTACAAAAAGAGTGTTTCAAACCTGCTCTGTGAAAGGGAATGTTCAACACTGTGACTTCAATTGAAACATCCCAAAGAAGTTTCTGAGAATGCTTCTGTCTAGAGTTTTTCTGAAGACATTCCCGTTTCCCAAGAAATCCTCAAAGCTATCCAAATATCCTCTTGCAGATTCTACAAAAAGAGTGTTTCAAAACTGCTCTTTGCAAAGAAAGGTTCAACTCTGTCAGTAGAGGGCACACATCACAAACAAGTTTCTGAGAATGCTTCTGTCTAGTTTTTATGGGAAGATATTTCCTTTTTCACCTTAGGCCTGAAAGCAATCCAAATGTTCACTTACAGACACTACAAAAAGAGTGTTTCAAACCTGCTCTGTGAAAGGGAGTGTTCAATTCTGTGACTTGAATGCAAACATCACAAAGTAGTTTCTGACAATGCTGCTGTCTGCTTTTTATACGTATTCCCGTTTCCAACGAAATCCTCCAAGCTGGCCTAATACCCACTTGCATATTCCACAAAAAGAGTGTTTCAAAACTGCTCTCTCAAAAGAAAGGTTCAACTCTGTGTGCTGAGTAGATACATCATGAAAAAAGTTCTGACATTGCTTCTATCTAGTTTTTATTGGAAGATATCTCCTTTTTCACCGTAGACCTGAAAGCGCTCCAAATGTCCACTTCCAGATAGTACAAAAAGAGTGTTTCAAACCTGCTCTATGAATGGGAATGTTCAACACTGGGACTTCAATTGAAACATCCCAAAGCAGTTTCTGAGAATGCTTCTGTGTAGAGTTTACATGAAGACATTCCCGTTTCCAACGAAATCCTCAAAGCTATCCAAATATCCTCTTGCAGATTTTACAAAAAGTGTGTTTCAGAACTGCTCTATCAAAACAAAGGTTCAACACTGTCAGTTGAGGGCACACATCACAGATAAGTTTCTGAGAATGCTTCTGTCTAGTTTTCATGGGAAGATATTTCCTTTTTCACCATAGGCCTGAAAGCGATCCAAATGTCCACATCCAGATACTACAAAAAGAGTGTTTCAAACCTGCTCTATGAAAGGGAATGTTCAACTCTGTGACTTGAATGCAAACATCACAAAGAAGTTTCTGAGAATGCTGCTGTCTGCTTTTTGTATGTAATCCCGTTTCCAACGAAATCCTCCCAGCTAGCCAAATATCCACTTGCAGATTCCGCAAAAAGAGTGTTTCAAAACTGCTCCTTCAAAACGATGGTTTAGTTCTGTTAGTTGAGTACATACATCACAAATCAGTTTCTGAGAATGCTTCTGTATAGTTTTTATGGGAGGATATTTCCTTTTTCAACACAAGCCTGAATGCGCTCCGAATGGACACTTCCAGATATGACAAAAGGCGTGTTTCAAACCTGCTCTCTCAAAGGGAATGTTCAACTCTGTGACTTCAATGCAAACATCACAAAGAAGTTTCTGAGAATGCTGCTGTCTGCTTTTTACATGTATTCCCGTTTCCAACGAAATCCTCAAAGCTGCCCTAATATCCACTTGCATATTCCACAAAAAGAGTGTTGCAAAACTGCTCTCTCAAAAGAAAGGTTCAACTCTGTTAGCTGAGTAGATCCATCACAGAAAAGTTTCTGACATTGCTTCTATCCAGATTTTATTGGAAGATATTTCCATTTTCACCGTCGTCCTGAAAGCGCTCCAAATGTCCACTTCCAGGGAATGCAGAAAGAGTGTTTCCAACCTGCTCTATAAAAGGGAATGTTCAACACTGGGACTTCAATCGAAACATCCCGACGAAGTTTCTGAGAATGCTTCTGTCTAGAGTTTATATGAAGCCATTCCCGTTTGCAACGAAATCCTCAAAGCTATCCAAATATCCTCTTGCAGATTTTACAAAAAGAGTGTTTCAAAACTGCTCTATCAAAAGAAAGGTTCAACTCTGTTAGTTGAGGGCACACATCAGAAATAAACTTCTGAGAATGCTTCTGTCTAGTTTTTACCGGAAGATATTTCCTTTTTCACCATACGCCTGAAAGCGCTCCAAATGTCCTCATCCAGATACTACAAAAAGAGTGTTTCCAACGTGCTCTATGAAAGGGAATGCTCAACTCTGTGAATTGAATGCAGACATCACAAAGAAGTTTCTGAGAATGCTGCTGTCTCCTTTTTATATGTAATCCCGTTTCCAACGAAATCCTCAAAGCTAGCCAAATATCCACTTGCAGATTCCACGAAAACAGTGTTTCAAAACTGCTCCTTCAAAACGATGGTTCAATCCTGTTAGTTGAGCAAACACATCACAAATAAGTTTCTGAGAATGCTTCCGTCTAGTTTTTATGGGAAGATATTTCCTTTTTCAACATAGGCCTGAAAGCGCTCCAAATGTCCACTTCCAGATACTACAAAAAGAGTGTTTCAAATCTGCTCTATGAATGGGAATGTTCTACTCTGTGACTTGAATGCAACATCCCAAAGAAGTTTCTGAGAATGCTTCTGTCTAGAGTTTATCTGAAGACATACCCGTTTCCAACGAAATCCTCCAAGCTATCCAAATATCCTCTTGCAGATTCTACAAAAAGAGTGTTTCAAAGCTGCTCTTTGCAAAGAAAGGTTCAACTCTGTCAGTAGAGGGGACACATCAAGAACAAGTTTCTGAGAATGCTTCTGTCTAGTTTTTATGGGAAGATATTTCCTTTTTCACGTTAGGCCTGAAAGCACGCCAAATGTTCACTTATAGACACTACAAAAAGAGTGTTTCAAACCTGCTCTGTGAAAGGGAATGTTCAACACTGTGACTTCAATTGAAACATCCCAAAGAAGTTTCTGAGAATGCTTCTGTCTAGAGTTTATCTGAAGACATTCCCGTTTCCCAAGAAATCCTCAAAGCTATCCAAATATCCTCTTGCAGATTCTACAAAAAGAGTGTTTCAAAACTGCCCTTTGCAAAGAAAGGTTCAACTCTGTCAGTAGAGGGCACACATCACAAACAAGTTTCTGAGAATGCTTCTGTCTAGTTTTTATGGGAAGATATTTCCTTTTTCACCTTAGGCCTGAAAGCAATCCAAATGTTCACTTACAGACACTACAAAAAGAGTGTTTCAAACCTGCTCTGTGAAAGGGAGTGTTCAATTCTGTGACTTGAATGCAAACATCACAAAGTAGTTTCTGACAATGCTGCTGTCTGCTTTTTATACGTATTGCCGTTTCCAACGAAATCCTCCAAGCTGGCCTAATACCCACTTGCATATTCCACAAAAAGAGTGTTTCAAAACTGCTCTCTCAAAAGAAAGGTTCAACTCTGTTTGCTGAGTAGATACATCATGAAAAAAGTTCTGACATTGCTTCTATCTAGTTTTTATTGGAAGATATCTCCTTTTTCACCGTAGACCTGAAAGCGCTCCAAATGTCCACTTCCAGATAGTACAAAAAGAGTGTTTCAAACCTGCTCTATGAAAGGGAATGTTCAACACTGGGACTTCAATTGAAACATCCCAAAGCAGTTTCTGAGAATGCTTCTGTCTAGAGTTTACATGAAGACATTCCCGTTTCCAACGAAATCCTCAAAGCTATCCAAATATCCTCTTGCAGATTTTACAAAAAGTGTGTTTCAGAACTGCTCTATCAAAACAAAGGTTCAACACTGTCAGTTGAGGGCACACATCACAAATAAGTTTCTGAGAATGCTTCTGTCTAGTTTTCATGGGAAGATATTTCCTTTTTCACCATAGGCCTGAAAGCGATCCAAATGTCCACATCCAGATACTACAAAAAGAGTGTTTCAAACCTGCTCTATGAAAGGGAATGTTCAACTCTGTGACTTGAATGCAAACATCACAAAGAAGTTTCTGAGAATGCTGCTGTCTGCTTTTTGTATGTAATCCCGTTTCCAACGAAATCCTCCAAGCTAGCCAAATATCCAGTTGCAGATTCCGCAAAAAGAGTGTTTCAAAACTGCTCCTTCAAAACGATGGTTTAGTTCTGTTAGTTGAGTACATACATCACAAATAAGTTTCTGAGAATGCTTCTGTCTAGTTTTTATGGGAGGATATTTCCTTTTTCAACACAAGCCTGAATGCGCTCCGAATGGACACTTCCAGATATGACAAAAGGCGTGTTTCAAACCTGCTCTCTCAAAGGGAATGTTCAACTCTGTGACTTCAATGCAAACATCACAAAGAAGTTTCTGAGAATGCTGCTGTCTGCTTTTTACATGTATTCCCGTTTCCAACGAAATCCTCAAAGCTGCCCTAATATCCACTTGCATATTCCACAAAAAGAGTGTTGCAAAACTGCTCTCTCAAAAGAAAGGTTCAACTCTGTTAGCTGAGTAGATCCATCACAGAAAAGTTTCTGACGGTTGCTCTATCCAGATTTTATTGGAAGATATTTCCATTTTCACCGTCGTCCTGAAAGCGCTCCAATTGTCCACTTCCAGGGAATGCAGAAAGAGTGTTTCCAACCTGCTCTATAAAAGGGAATGTTCAACACTGGGACTTCAATCGAAACATCCCGACGAAGTTTCTGAGAATGCTTTCTGTCTAGAGTTTATATGAAGCCATTCCCGTTTGCAACGAAATCCTCAAAGCTATCCAAATATCCTCTTGCAGATTTTACAAAAAGAGTGTTTCAAAACTGCTCTATCAAAAGAAAGGTTCAACTCTGTTAGTTGAGGGCACACATCACAAATAAACTTCTGAGAATGCTTCTGTCTAGTTTTCATGGGAAGATATTTCCTTTTTCACCATAGGCCTGAAAGCGATCCAAATGTCCACATCCAGATACTACAAAAAGAGTGTTTCAAACCTGTTCTATGAAAGGGAATGTTCAACTCTGTGACTTGAATGCAAACATCACAAAGAAGTTCATGAGAATGCTGCTGTCTGGTTTTTATATGTAATCCCGTTTCCAACGAAATCCTCCAAGCTAGGCAAATATCCACTTGCAGATTCCGCAAAAAGAGTGTTTCAACACTGCTTCTTCAAAACGGTGGTTTAGTTCTGTTAGTTGAGTACATACATCACAGATAAGTTTCTCAGAATGCTTCTGTCTAGTTTTTATGGGAGGATATTTCCTTTCTCAACACAAGCCTGAATGCGTTCCGAATGGACACTTCCAGATATGACAGAAGGCGTGTTTCAAACCTGCTCTCTCAAAGGGAATGTTCAACTCTGTGACTTCAATGCAAACATCACAAAGAAGTTTCTGAGAATGCTGCTGTCTGCTTTTTACATGTATTCCCGTTTCCAACGAAATCCTCAAAGCTGCCCTAATATGCACTTGCATATTCCACAAAAAGAGTGTTGCAAAACTCTCTCTCAAAAGAAAGGTTCAACTCTGTTAGCTGAGTAGATCCATCACAGAAAAGTTTCTGACATTGCTTCTATCTAGATTTTGCTTGGAAGATATTTCCATTTTCACCGTCGTCCTGAAAGCGCTCCAAATGTCCACTTCCAGGGAATGCAGAAAGAGTGTTTCCAACCTGCTCTATAAAAGGGAATGTTCAACACTGGGACTTCAATCGAAACATCCCAACGAAGTTTCTGAGAATGCTTCTGTCTAGAGTTTATACGAAGCCATTCCCGTTTGCAACGAAATCCTCAAAGCTATCCAAATATCCTCTTGCAGATTTTACAAAAAGAGTGTTTCAAAACTGCTCTATCAAAAGAAAGGTTCAACTCTGTTAGTTGAGGGCACACATCACAAATAAATTTCTGAGAATCTTCTGTCTAGTTTTTACGGGAAGATATTTCCTTTTTCACCATACGCCTGAAAGCGCTCCAAATGTCCTCATCCAGATACTACAAAAAGAGTGTTTCCAACCTGCTCTATGAAAGGGAATGCTCAACTCTGTGACTTGAATGCAGACATCACAAAGAAGTTTCTGAGAATGCTGCTGTCTCCTTTTTATATGTAATCCCGTTTCCAACGAAATCCTCAAAGCTAGCCAAATATCCACTTGCAGATTCTACGAAAACAGTGTTTCAAAACTGCTCCTTCAAAACGATGGTTCAATTCTGTTAGTTGAGCAAACACATCACAAGTAAGTTTCTGAGAATGCTTCCGTCTAGTTTTTATGGGAAGATATTTCCTTTTTCAACATAGGCCTGAAAGCGCTCCAAATGTCCACTTCCAGATACTACAAAAAGAGTGTTTCAAATCTGCTCTATGAATGGGAATGTTCTACTCTGTGACTTGAATGCAACATCCCAAAGAAGTTTCTGAGAATGCTTCTGTCTAGAGTTTATCTGAAGACATACCCGTTTCCAACGAAATCCTCCAAGCTATCCAAATATCCTCTTGCAGATTCTACAAAAAGTGTGTTTCAAAGCTGCTCTTTGCAAAGAAAGGTTCAACTCTGTCTGTAGAGGGCACACATCACGAACAAGTTTCTGAGAATGCTTCTGTCTAGTTTTTATGGGAAGATATTTCCTTTTTCACGTTAGGCCTGAAAACACGCCAAATGTTCACTTATAGACACTACAAAAAGAGTGTTTCAAACCTGCTCTGTGAAAGGGAATGTTCAACACTGTGACTTCAATTGAAACATCCCAAAGAAGTTTCTGAGAATGCTGCTGTCTAGAGTTTATCTGAAGACATTCCCGTTTCCCAAGAAATCCTCAAAGCTATCCAAATATCCTCTTGCAGATTCTACAAAAAGATGGTTTCAAAACTGCTCATTGCAAAGAAAGGTTCAACTCCGTCAGTAGAGGGCACACATCACAAACGAGTTTCTGAGAATGCTTCTGTCAAGTTTTTATGGGAAGATATTTCCTTTTTCACCTTAGCCCTGAAAGCAATCCAAATGTTCACTTACAGACACTACAAAAAGAGTGTTTCAAATCTGCTCTGTGAAAGGGAGTGTTGAATTCTGTGACTTGAATGCAAACATCACAAAGAAGTTTCTGACAATGCTGCTGTGTGCTTTTATACGTATTCCCGTTTCCAACGAAATCCTCCAAGCTGACCTAATATCCACTTGCATATTCCACAAAAAGAGTGTTTCAAAACTGCTCTCTCAAAAGAAAGGTTCAACTCTGTTGGCTGAGTAGATACATCATGATAAAGTTTCTGACATTGCTTTTATCTAGTTTTTATTGGAAGATATCTCCTTTTTCACCGTAGACCTGAAAGCGCTCCAAATATCCACTTCCAGATACAACAAAAAGAGTGTTTCAAATCTGCTGTATGAATGGGAATGTTCTACTCTGTGACTTGAATGCAACATCCCAAAGAAGTTTCTGAGAATGCTTCTGTCTAGAGTTTATCTGAAGACATTCCCGTTTCCCAAGAAATCCTCAAATCTATCCAAATATCCTCTTGCAGATTCTACAAAAAGTGGGTTTCAAAACTGCTCTTTGCAATGAAAGGTTCAACTCTGTCAGTAGAGGGCACACATCACACACAAGTTTCTGAGAATGCTTCTGTCTAGTTTTTATGGGAAGATATTTCCTTTTTCACCTTAGGCCTGAAAGCAATCCAAATGTTCACTTACAGACACTACAAAAAGAGTGTTTCAAACCTGCTCTGTGAAAGGGAGTGTTCAATTCTGTGACTTGAATGCAAACATCACAAAGTAGTTTCTGACAATGCTGCTGTCTGCTTTTTATACGTATTCCCGTTTCCAAGGGAAATCCTCCAAGCTGGCCTAATACCCACTTGCATATTCCACAAAAAGAGTGTTTCAAAACTGCTCTCTCAAAAGAAAGGTTCAACTCTGTTTGCTGAGTAGATACATCATGAAAAAAGTTCTGACATTGCTTCTATCTAGTTTTTATTGGAAGATATCTCCTTTTTCACCGTAGACCTGAAAGCGCTCCAAATGTCCACTTCCAGATAGTACAAAAAGAGTGTTTCAAACCTGCTCTATGAAAGGGAATGTTCAACACTGGGACTTCAATTGAAACATCCCAAAGCAGTTTCTGAGAATGCTTCTGTCTAGAGTTTACATGAAGACATTCCCGTTTCCAACGAAATCCTCAAAGCTATCCAAATATCCTCTTGCAGATTTTACAAAAAGTGTGTTTCAGAACTGCTCTATCAAAACAAAGGTTCAACACTGTCAGTTGAGGGCACACATCACAAATAAGTTTCTGAGAATGCTGCTGTCTGCTTTTTGTATGTAATCCCGTTTCCAACGAAATCCTCCCAGCTAGCCAAATATCCACTTGCAGATTCCGCAAAAAGAGTGTTTCAAAATTGCTCCTTCAAAACGATGGTTTAGTTCTGTTAGTTGAGTACATACATCACAGATAAGTTTCTGAGAATGCTTCTGTCTAGTTTTTATGGGAGGATATTTCCTTTTTCAACACAAGCCTGAATGCGCTCCGAATGGACACTTCCAGATATGACAAAAGGCGTGTTTCAAACCTGCTCTCTCAAAGGGAATGTTCAACTCTGTGACTTCAATGCAAACATCACAAAGAAGTTTCTGAGAATGCTGCTGTCTGCTTTTTACATGTATTCCCGTTTCCAACGAAATCCTCAAAGCTGCCCTAATATCCACTTGCATATTCCACAAAAAGAGTGTTGCAAAACTGCTCTCTGAAAAGAAAGGTTCAACTCTGTTAGCTGAGTAGATCCATCACATAAAAGTTTCTGACATTGCTTCTATCTAGATTTTCTTGGAAGATATTTCCATTTTCACCGTCGTCCTGAAAGCGCTCCAAATGTCCACTTCCAGGGAATGCAGAAAGAGTGTTTCCAACCTGCTCTATAAAAGGGAATGTTCAACACTGGGACTTCAATCGAAACATCCCAACGAAGTTTCTGAGAATGCTTCTGTCTAGAGTTTATATGAAGCCATTCCCGTTTGCAACGAAATCCTCAAAGCTATCCAAATATCCTCTTGCAGATTTTACAAAAAGAGTGTTTCAAAACTGCTCTATCAAAAGAAAGGTTCAACTCTGTTAGTTGAGGGCACACATCACAAATAAATTTCTGAGAATGCTTCTGTCTAGTTTTTACGGGAAGATATTTCCTTTTTCACCATACGCCTGAAAGCGCTCCAAATGTCCACATCCAGATACTACAAAAAGAGTGTTTCCAACCTGCTCTATGAAAGGGAATGCTCAACTCTGTGACTTGAATGCAGACATCACAAAGAAGTTTCTGAGAATGCTGCTGTCTCCTTTTTATATGTAATCCCGTTTCCAACGAAATCCTCAAAGCTAGCCAAATATCCACTTGCAGATTCCACGAAAACAGTGTTTCAAAACTGCTCCTTCAAAACGATGGTTCAATCCTGTTAGTTGAGCAAACACATCACAAATAAGTTTCTGAGAATGCTTCCGTCTAGTTTTTATGGGAAGATATTTCCTTTTTCAACATAGGCCTGAAAGCGCTCCAAATGTCCACTTCCAGATACTACAAAAAGAGTGTTTCAAATCTGCTCTATGAATGGGAATGTTCTACTCTGTGACTTGAATGCAACATCCCAAAGAAGTTTCTGAGAATGCTTCTGTCTAGAGTTTATCTGAAGACATACCCGTTTCCAACGAAATCCTCCAAGCTATCCAAATATCCTCTTGCAGATTCTACAAAAAGAGTGTTTCAAAGCTGCTCTTTGCAAAGAAAGGTTCAACTCTGTCAGTAGAGGGCACACATCATGAACAAGTTTCTGAGAATGCTTCTGTCTAGTTTTTATGGGAAGATATTTCCTTTTTCACGTTAGGCCTGAAAGCACGCGAAATGTTCACTTATACACACTACAAAAAGAGTGTTTCAAACCTGCTCTGTGAAAGGGAATGTTCAACACTGTGACTTCAATTGAAACATCCCAAAGAAGTTTCTGAGAATGCTTCTGTCTAGAGTTTATCTGAAGACATTCCCGTTTCCCAAGAAATCCTCAAAGCTATCCAAATATCCTCTTGCAGATTCTACAAAAAGAGTGTTTCAAAACTGCTCTTTGCAAAGAAAGGTTCAACTCTGTCAGTAGAGGGCACACATCACAAACAAGTTTCTGAGAATGCTTCTGTCTAGTTTTTATGGGAAGATATTTCCTTTTTCACCATAGGCCTGAAAGCAATCCAAATGTTCACTTACAGACACTACAAAAAGAGTGTTTCAAACCTGCTCTGTGAAAGGGAGTGTTCAATTCTGTGACTTGAATGCAAACATCACAAAGTAGTTTCTGACAATGCTGCTGTCTGCTTTTTATACGTATTCCCGTTTCCAACGAAATCCTCCAAGCTGGCCTAATACCCACTTGCATATTCCACAAAGACTGTGTCAAAACTGCTCTCTCAAAAGAAAGGTTCAACTCTGTTTGCTGAGTAGATACATCATGAAAAAAGTTCTGACATTGCTTCTATCTAGTTTTTATTGGAAGATATCTCCTTTTTCACCGTAGACCTGAAAGCGCTCCAAATGTCCACTTCCAGATAGTACAAAAAGAGTGTTTCAAACCTGCTCTATGAAAGGGAATATTCAACACTGGGACTTCAATTGAAACATCCCAAAGCAGTTTCTGAGAATGCTTCTGTCTAGAGTTTACATGAAGACATTCCCGTTTCCAACGAAATCCTCAAAGCTATCCAAATATCCTCTTGCAGATTTTACAAAAAGTGTGTTTCAGAACTGCTCTATCAAAACAAAGGTTCAACACTGTCAGTTGAGGGCACACATCACAAATAAGTTTCTGAGAATGCTTCTGTCTAGTTTTCATGGGAAGATATTTCCTTTTTCACCATAGGCCTGAAAGCGATCCAAATGTCCACATCCAGATACTACAAAAAGAGTGTTTCAAACCTGCTCTATGAAAGGGAATGTTCAACTCTGTGACTTGAATGCAAACATCACAAAGAAGTTTCTGAGAATGCTGCTGTCTGCTTTTTGTATGTAATCCCGTTTCCAACGAAATCCTCCCAGCTAGCCAAATATCCACTTGCAGATTCCGCAAAAAGAGTGTTTCAAAACTGCTCCTTCAAAACGATGGTTTAGTTCTGTTAGTTGAGTACATACATCACAGATAAGTTTCTGAGAATGCTTCTGTCTAGTTTTTATGGGAGGATATTTCCTTTTTCAACACAAGCCTGAATGCGCTCCGAATGGACACTTCCAGATATGACAAAAGGCGTGTTTCAAACCTGCTCTCTCAAAGGGAATGTTCAACTCTGTGACTTCAATGCAAACATCACAAAGAAGTTTCTGAGAACGCTGCTGTCTGCTTTTTACATGTATTCCCGTTTCCAACGAAATCCTCAAAGCTGCCCTAATATCCACTTGCATATTCCACAAAAAGAGTGTTGCAAAACTGCTCTCTCAAAAGAAAGGTTCAACTCTGTTAGCTGAGTAGATCCATCACAGAAAAGTTTCTGACGTTGCTTCTATCTAGATTTTCTTGGAAGATATTTCCATTTTCACCGTCGTCCTGAAAGCGCTCCAAATGTCCACTTCCAGGGAATGCAGAAAGAGTGTTTCCAACCTGCTCTATAAAAGGGAATGTTCAACACTGGGACTTCAATCGAAACATCCCAACGAAGTTTCTGAGAATGCTTCTGTCTAGAGTTTATATGAAGCCATTCCCGTTTGCAACGAAATCCTCAAAGCTATCCAAATATCCTCTTGCAGATTTTACAAAAAGAGTGTTTCAAAACTGCTCTATCAAAAGAAAGGTTCAACTCTGTTAGTTGAGGGCACACATCACAAATAAACTTCTGAGAATGCTTCTGTCTAGTTTTTACGGGAAGATATTTCCTTTTTCACCATACGCCTGAAAGCGCTCCAAATGTCCTCATCCAGATACTACAAAAAGAGTGTTTCCAACCTGCTCTATGAAAGGGAATGCTCAACTCTGTGAATTGAATGCAGACATCACAAAGAAGTTTCTGAGAATGCTGCTGTCTCCTTTGTATATGTAATCCCGTTTCCAACGAAATCCTCAAAGCTAGCCAAATATCCACTTGCAGATTCCACGAAAACAGTGTTTCAAAACTGCTCCTTCAAAACGATGGTTCAATCCTGTTAGTTGAGCAAACACATCACAAATAAGTTTCTGAGAATGCTTCCGTCTAGTTTTTATGGGAAGATATTTCCTTTTTCAACATAGGCCTGAAAGCGCTCCAAATGTCCACTTCCAGATACTACAAAAAGAGTGTTTCAAATCTGCTCTATGAATGGGAATGTTCTACTCTGTGACTTGAATGCAACATCCCAAAGAAGTTTCTGAGAATGCTTCTGTCTAGAGTTTATCTGAAGACATACCCGTTTCCAACGAAATCCTCAAAGCTATCCAAATATCCTCTTGCAGATTCTACAAAAAGTGTGTTTCAAAGCTGCTCTTTGCAAAGAAAGGTTCAACTCTGTCAGTAGAGGGCACACATCACGAACAAGTTTCTGAGAATGCTTCTGTCTAGTTTTTATGGGAAGATATTTCCTTTTTCACGTTAGGCCTGAAAGCACGCCAAATGTTCACTTATAGACACTACAAAAAGAGTGTTTCAAACCTGCTCTGTGAAAGGGAATGTTCAACACTGTGACTTCAATTGAAACATCCCAAAGAAGTTTCTGAGAATGCTTCTGTCTAGAGTTTATCTGAAGACATTCCCGTTTCCCAAGAAATCCTCAAAGCTATCCAAATATCCTCTTGCAGATTCTACAAAAAGAGTGTTTCAAAACTGCTCTTTGCAAAGAAAGGTTCAACTCTGTCAGTAGAGGGCACACATCACAAACAAGTTTCTGAGAATGCTTCTGTCTAGTTTTTATGGGAAGATATTTCCCTTTTTCACCTTAGGCCTGAAAGCAATCCAAATGTTCACTTACAGACACTACAAAAAGAGTGTTTCAAACCTGCTCTGTGAAAGGGAGTGTTCAATTCTGTGACTTGAATGCAAACATCACAAAGTAGTTTCTGACAATGCTGCTGTCTGCTTTTTATACGTATTCCCGTTTCCAACGAAATCCTCCAAGCTGGCCTAATACCCACTTGCATATTCCACAAAAAGAGTGTTTCAAAACTGCTCTCTCAAAAGAAAGGTTCAACTCTGTTTGCTGAGTAGATACATCATGAAAAAAGTTCTGACATTGCTTCTATCTAGTTTTTATTGGAAGATATCTCCTTTTTCACCGTAGACCTGAAAGCGCTCCAAATGTCCACTTCCAGATAGTAGAAAAAGAGTGTTTCAAACCTGCTCTATGAATGGGAATGTTCAACACTGGGACTTCAATTGAAACATCCCAAAGCAGTTTCTGAGAATGCTTCTGTCTAGAGTTTACATGAAGACATTCCCGTTTCCAACGAAATCCTCAAAGCTATCCAAATATCCTCTTGCAGATTTTACAAAAAGTGTGTTTCAGAACTGCTCTATCAAAACAAAGGTTCAACACTGTCAGTTGAGTGCACACATCACAAATAAGTTTCTGAGAATGCTTCTGTCTAGTTTTCATGGGAAGATATTTCCTTTTTCACCATAGGCCTGAAAGCGATCCAAATGTCCACATCCAGATACTACAAAAAGAGGGTTTCCAACCTGCTCTATGAAAGGGAATGCTCAACTCTGTGAATTGAATGCAGACATCACAAAGAAGTTTCTGAGAATGCTGCTGTCTCCTTTTTATATGTAATCCCGTTTCCAACGAAATCCTCAAAGCTAGCCAAATATCCACTTGCAGATTCCACGAAAACAGTGTTTCAAAACTGCTCCTTCAAAACGATGGTTCAATCCTGTTAGTTGAGCAAACACATCACAAGTAAGTTTCTGAGAATGCTTCCGTCTAGTTTTTATGGGAAGATATTTCCTTTTTCAACATAGGCCTGAAAGCGCTCCAAATGTCCACTTCCAGATACTACAAAAAGAGTGTTTCAAATCTGCTCTATGAATGGGAATGTTCTACTCTGTGACTTGAATGCAACATCCCAAAGAAGTTTCTGAGAATGCTTCTGTCTAGAGTTTATCTGAAGACATACCCGTTTCCAACGAAATCCTCCAAGCTATCCAAATATCCTCTTGCAGATTCTACAAAAAGAGTGTTTCAAAGCTGCTCTTTGCAAAGAAAGGTTCAACTCTGTCAGTAGAGGGCACACATCACGAACAAGTTTCTGAGAATGCTTCTGTCTAGTTTTTATGGGAAGATATTTCCTTTTTCACGTTAGGCCTGAAAGCACGCCAAATGTTCACTTATAGACACTACAAAAAGAGTGTTTCAAACCTGCTCTGTGAAAGGGAATGTTCAACACTGTGACTTCAATTGAAACATCCCAAAGAAGTTTCTGAGAATGCTTCTGTCTAGAGTTTATCTGAAGACATTCCCGTTTCCCAAGAAATCCTCAAAGCTATCCAAATATCCTCTTGCAGATTCTACAAAAAGAGTGTTTCAAAACTGCTCTTTGCAAAGAAAGGTTCAACTCTGTCAGTAGAGGGCACACATCACAAACAAGTTTCTGAGAATGCTTCTGTCTAGTTTTTATGGGAAGATATTACCTTTTTCACCATAGGCCTGAAAGCAATCCAAATGTTCACTTACAGACACTACAAAAAGAGTGTTTCAAACCTGCTCTGTGAAAGGGAGTGTTCAATTCTGTGACTTGAATGCAAACATCACAAAGTAGTTTCTGACAATGCTGCTGTCTGCTTTTTATACGTATTCCCGTTTCCAACGAAATCCTCCAAGCTGGCCTAATACCCACTTGCATATTCCACAAAAAGAGTGTTTCAAAACTGCTCTCTCAAAAGAAAGGTTCAACTCTGTTTGCTGAGTAGATACATCATGAAAAAAGTTCTGACATTGCTTCTATCTAGTTTTTACTGGAAGATATCTCCTTTTTCACCGTAGACCTGAAAGCGCTCAAAATGTCCACTTCCAGATAGTACAAAAAGAGTGTTTCAAACCTGCTCTATGAATGGGAAGGTTCAACACTGGGACTTCAATTGAAACATCCCAAAGCAGTTTCTGAGAATGCTTCTGTCTAGAGTTTACATGAAGACATTCCCGTTTCCAACGAAATCCTCAAAGCTATCCAAATATCCTCTTGCAGATTTTACAAAAAGTGTGTTTCAGAACTGCTCTATCAAAACAAAGGTTCAACACTGTCAGTTGAGGGCACACATCACAAATAAGTTTCTGAGAATGCTTCTGTCTAGTTTTCATGGGAAGATATTTCCTTTTTCACCATAGGCCTGAAAGCGATCCAAATGTCCACATCCAGATACTACAAAAAGAGTGTTTCAAACCTGCTCTATGAAAGGGAATGTTCAACTCTGTGACTTGAATGCAAACATCACAAAGAAGTTTCTGAGAATGCTGCTGTCTGCTTTTTGTATGTAATCCCGTTTCCAACGAAATCCTCCCAGCTAGCCAAATATCCACTTGCAGATTCCGCAAAAAGAGTGTTTCAAAACTGCTCCTTCAAAACGATGGTTTAGTTCTGTTAGTTGAGTACATACATCACAGATAAGTTTCTGAGAATGCTTCTGTCTAGTTTTTATGGGAGGATATTTCCTTTTTCAACACAAGCCTGAATGCGCTCCGAATGGACACTTCCAGATATGACAAAAGGCGTGTTTCAAACCTGCTCTCTCAAAGGGAATGTTCAACTCTGTGACTTCAATGCAAACATCACAAAGAAGTTTCTGAGAATGCTGCTGTCTGCTTTTTACATGTATTCCCGTTTCCAACGAAATCCTCAAAGCTGCCCTAATATCCACTTGCATATTCCACAAAAAGAGTGTTGCAAAACTGCTCTCTCAAAAGAAAGGTTCAACTCTGTTAGCTGAGTAGATCCATCACATAAAAGTTTCTGACATCGCTTCTATCTAGATTTTCTTGGAAGATATTTCCATTTTCACCGTCGTCCTGAAAGCGCTCCAAATGTCCACTTCCAGGGAATGCAGAAAGAGTGTTTCCAACCTGCTCTATAAAAGGGAATGTTCAACACTGGGACTTCAATCGAAACATCCCAACGAAGTTTCTGAGAATGCTTCTGTCTAGAGTTTATATGAAGCCATTCCCGTTTGCAACGAAATCCTCAAAGCTATCCAAATATCCTCTTGCAGATTTTACAAAAAGAGTGTTTCAAAACTGCTCTATCAAAAGAAAGGTTCAACTCTGTTAGCTGAGGGCACACATCACAAATAAACTTCTGAGAATGCTTCTGTCTAGTTTTTACGGGAAGATATTTCCTTTTTCACCATACGCCTGAAAGCGCTCCAAATGTCCTCATCCAGATACTACAAAAAGAGTGTTTCCAACCTGCTCTATGAAAGGGAATGCTCAACTCTGTGAATTGAATGCAGACATCACAAAGAAGTTTCTGAGAATGCTGCTGTCTGCTTTTTATATGTAATCCCGTTTCCAACGAAATCCTCAAAGCTAGACAAATATCCACTTGCAGATTCCACAAAAGGAGTGTTTCAAAACTGCTCTTTCAAAACGATGGTTCAATTCTGTTAGTTGAGTACACACATCACAAATAAGTTTCTGAGAATGCTTCTATCTAGTTTTTATGGGAGGATATTTCCTTTTTCAACACAAGCCGGAATGCCCTCCAAATGGACAACTTCCAGATATGACAAAAGGCGTGTTTCAAACCTGCTTTATGAAAGGGAATGTTCACATCTGGGACTTCAATGCAAACATCACAAAGAAGTTTCTGAGAATGCTGCTGTCTGCTTTTTATATGGATTCCCGTTTCCAACGAAATCCTCCAAGCTGGCTTAATATCCACTTGCATATTCCCCAAAAAGACAGTTTTAAAACTGCTCTCTCAAAAGAAAGATTCAACTCTGTTAGCTGAGTAGATACATCATGAAAAAGTTTCTGACATTGCTTCTATCTAGTTTTTATTGGAAGATATCTCCTTTTTCACCGTAGACCTGAAAGCGCTCCAAATGTCGACTTCCAGATAGTAGAAAAAGAGTGTTTCAAACCTGCTCTATGAATGGGAATGTTCAACACTGGGACTTCAATTGAAACATCCCAAAGCAGTTTCTGAGAATGCTTCTGTCTAGAGTTTACATGAAGACATTCCCGTTTCCAACGAACTCCTCAAAGCTATCCAAATATCCTCTTGCAGATTTTACAAAAAGTGTGTTTCAGAACTGCTCTATCAAAACAAAGGTTCAACACTGTCAGTTGAGGGCACACATCACAAATAAGTTTCTGAGAATGCTTCTGTCTAGTTTTCATGGGAAGATATTTCCTTTTTCACCATAGGCCTGAAAGCGATCCAAATGTCCACATCCAGATACTACAAAAAGAGTGTTTCAAACCTGCTCTATGAAAGGGAATGTTCAACTCTGTGACTTGAATGCAAACATCACAAAGAAGTTTCTGAGAATGCTGCTGTCTGCTTTTTGTATGTAATCCCGTTTCCAACGAAATCCTCCCAGCTAGCCAAATATCCACTTGCAGATTCCGCAAAAAGAGTGTTTCAAAACTGCTCCTTCAAAACGATGGTTTAGTTCTGTTAGTTGAGTACATACATCACAGATAAGTTTCTGAGAATGCTTCTGTCTAGTTTTTATGGGAGGATATTCCCTTTTTCAACACAAGCCTGAATGCGCTCCGAATGGACACTTCCAGATATGACAAAAGGCGTGTTTCAAACCTGCTCTCTCAAAGGGAATGTTCAACTCTGTGACTTCAATGCAAACATCACAAAGAAGTTTCTGAGAATGCTGCTGTCTGCTTTTTACATGTATTCCCGTTTCCAACGAAATCCTCAAAGCTGCCCTAATATCCACTTGCATATTCCACAAAAAGAGTGTTGCAAAACTGCTCTCTCAAAAGAAAGGTTCAACTCTGTTAGCTGAGTAGATCCATCACAGAAAAGTTTCTGACGTTGCTTCTATCTAGATTTTCTTGGAAGATATTTCCATTTTCACCGTCGTCCTGAAAGCGCTCCAAATGTCCACTTCCAGGGAATGCAGAAAGAGTGTTTCCAACCTGCTCTATAAAAGGGAATGTTCAACACTGGGACTTCAATCGAAACATCCCAACGAAGTTTCTGAGAATGCTTCTGTCTAGAGTGTATATGAAGCCATTCCCGTTTGCAACGAAATCCTCAAAGCTATCCAAATATCCTCTTGCAGATTTTACAAAAAGAGTGTTTCAAAACTGCTCTATCAAAAGAAAGGTTCAACTCTGTTAGTTGAGGGCACACATCACAAATAAATTTCTGAGAATGCTTCTGTCTAGTTTTCATGGGAAGATATTTCCTTTTTCACCATAGGCCTGAAAGCGATCCAAATGTCCACATCCAGATACTACAAAAAGAGTGTTTCAAACCTGCTCTATGAAAGGGAATGTTCAACTCTGTGACTTGAATGCAAACATCACAAAGTAGTTTCTGAGAATGCTGCTGTCTGCTTTTTGTATGTAATCCCGTTTCCAACGAAATCCTCCCAGCTAGCCAAATATCCACTTGCAGATTCCGCAAAAAGAGTGTTTCAAAACTGCTCCTTCAAAACGATGGTTTAGTTCTGTTAGTTGAGTACATACATCACAGATAAGTTTCTGAGAATGCTTCTGTCTAGTTTTTATGGGAGGATATTTCCTTTTTCAACACAAGCCTGAATGCGCTCCGAATGGACACTTCCAGATATGACAAAAGGCGTGTTTCCAACCTGCTCTCTCAAAGGGAATGTTCAACTCTGTGACTTCAATGCAAACATCACAAAGAAGTTTCTGAGAATGCTGCTGTCTGCTTTTTACATGTATTCCCGTTTCCAACGAAATCCTCAAAGCTGCCCTAATATCCACTTGCATATTCCACAAAAAGAGTGTTGCAAAACTGCTCTCTCAAAAGAAAGGTTCAACTCTGTTAGCTGAGTAGATCCATCACATAAAAGTTTCTGACATTGCTTCTATCTAGATTTTCTTGGAAGATATTTCCATTTTCACCGTCGTCCTGAAAGCGCTCCAAATGTCCACTTCCAGGGAATGCAGAAAGAGTGTTTCCAACCTGCTCTATAAAAGGGAATGTTCAACACTGGGACTTCAATCGAAACATCCCAACGAAGTTTCTGAGAATGCTTCTGTCTAGAGTTTATATGAAGCCATTCCCGTTTGCAACGAAATCCTCAAAGCTATCCAAATATCCTCTTGCAGATTTTACAAAAAGAGTGTTTCAAAACTGCTCTATCAAAAGAAAGGTTCAACTCTGTTAGTTGAGGGCACACAACACAAATAAATTTCTGAGAATGCTTCTGTCTAGTTTTTACGGGAAGATATTTCCTTTTTCACCATATGCCTGAAAGCGCTCCAAATGTCCTCATCCAGATACTACAAAAAGAGTGTTTCCAACCTGCTCTATGAAAGGGAATGCTCAACTCTGTGACTTGAATGCAGACATCACAAAGAAGTTTCTGAGAATGCTGCTGTCTCCTTTTTATATGTAATCCCGTTTCCAACGAAATCCTCAAAGCTAGCCAAATATCCACTTGCAGATTCCACGAAAACAGTGTTTCAAAACTGCTCCTTCAAAACGATGGTTCAATTCTGTTAGTTGAGCAAACACATCACAAGTAAGTTTCTGAGAATGCTTCTGTCTAGTTTTTATGGGAAGATATTTCCTTTTTCAACATAGGCCTGAAAGCGCTCCAAATGTCCACTTCCAGATACTACAAAAAGAGTGTTTCAAATCTGCTCTATGAATGGGAATGTTCTACTCTGTGACTTGAATGCAACATCCCAAAGAAGTTTCTGAGAATGCTTCTGTCTAGAGTTTATCTGAAGACATACCCGTTTCCAACGAAATCCTCAAAGCTATCCAAATATCCTCTTGCAGATTCTACAAAAAGAGTGTTTCAAAGCTGCTCTTTGCAAAGAAAGGTTCAACTCTGTCAGTAGAGGGCACACATCACGAACAAGTTTCTGAGAATGCTTCTGTCTAGTTTTTATGGGAAGATATTTCCTTTTTCACCTTAGGCCTGAAAGCACGCCAAATGTTCACTTATAGACACTACAAAAAGAGTGTTTCAAACCTGCTCTGTGAAAGGGAATGTTCAACACTGTGACTTCAATTGAAACATCCCAAAGAAGTTTCTGAGAATGCTTCTGTCTAGAGTTTATCTGAAGACATACCCGTTTCCAACGAAATCCTCAAAGCTATCCACATATCCTCTTGCAGATTCTACAAAAAGAGTGTTTCAAAGATGCTCTTTGCAAAGAAAGGTTCAACTCTGTCAGTAGAGGGCACACATCACGAACAAGTTTCTGAGAATGCTTCTGTCTAGTTTTTATGGGAAGATATTTCCTTTTTCACGTTAGGCCTGAAAGCACGCCAAATGTTCAATTATAGACACTACAAAAAGAGTGTTTCAAACCTGCTCTGTGAAAGGGAATGTTCAACACTGTGACTTCAATTGAAACATCCCAAAGAAGTTTCTGAGAATGCTTCTGTCTAGAGTTTATCTGAAGACATTCCCGTTTCCCAAGAAATCCTCAAAGCTATCCAAATATCCTCTTGCAGATTCTACAAAAAGAGTGTTTCAAAACTGCTCTTTGCAAAGAAAGGTTCAACTCTGTCAGTAGAGGGCACACATCACAAACAAGTTTCTGAGAATGCTTCTGTCTAGTTTTTATGGGAAGATATTTCCTTTTTCACCTTAGGCCTGAAAGCAATCCAAATGTTCACTTACAGACACTACAAAAAGAGTGTTTCAAACCTGCTCTGTGAAAGGGAGTGTTCAATTCTGTGACTTGAATGCAAACATCACAAAGTAGTTTCTGACAATGCTGCTGTCTGCTTTTTATACGTATTCCCGTTTCCAACGAAATCCTCCAAGCTGGCCTAATACCCACTTGCATATTCCACAAAAAGAGTGTTTCAAAACTGCTCTCTCAAAAGAAAGGTTCAACTCTGTTTGCTGAGTAGATACATCATGAAAAAAGTTCTGACATTGCTTCTATCTAGTTTTTATTGGAAGATATCTCCTTTTTCACCGTAGACCTGAAAGCGCTCCAAATGTCCACTTCCAGATAGTACAAAAAGAGTGTTTCAAACCTGCTCTATGAAAGGGAATGTTCAACACTGGGACTTCAATTGAAACATCCCAAAGCAGTTTCTGAGAATGCTTCTGTCTAGAGTTTACATGAAGACATTCCCGTTTCCAACGAAATCCTCAAAGCTATCCAAATATCCTCTTGCAGATTTTACAAAAAGTGTGTTTCAGAACTGCTCTATCAAAACAAAGGTTCAACACTGTCAGTTGAGGGCACACATCACAAATAAGTTTCTGAGAATGCTGCTGTCTGCTTTTTGTATGTAATCCCGTTTCCAACGGAAATCCTCCCAGCTAGCCAAATATCCACTTGCAGATTCCGCAAAAAGAGTGTTTCAAAACTGCTCCTTCAAAACGATGGTTTAGTTCTGTTAGTTGAGTACATACATCACAGATAAGTTTCTGAGAATGCTTCTGTCTAGTTTTTATGGGAGGATATTTCCTTTTTCAACACAAGCCTGAATGCGCTCCGAATGGACACTTCCAGATATGACAAAAGGCGTGTTTCAAACCTGCTCTCTCAAAGGGAATGTTCAACTCTGTGACTTCAATGCAAACATCACAAAGAAGTTTCTGAGAATGCTGCTGTCTGCTTTTTACATGTATTCCCGTTTCCAACGAAATCCTCAAAGCTGCCCTAATATCCACTTGCATATTCCACAAAAAGAGTGTTGCAAAACTGCTCTCTCAAAAGAAAGGTTCAACTCTGTTAGCTGAGTAGATCCATCACATAAAAGTTTCTGACATTGCTTCTATCTAGATTTTGCTTGGAAGATATTTCCATTTTCACCGTCGTCCTGAAAGCGCTCCAAATGTCCACTTCCAGGGAATGCAGAAAGAGTGTTTCCAACCTGCTCTATAAAAGGGAATGTTCAACACTGGGACTTCAATCGAAACATCCCAACGAAGTTTCTGAGAATGCTTCTGTCTAGAGTTTATATGAAGCCATTCCCGTTTGCAACGAAATCCTCAAAGCTATCCAAATATCCTCTTGCAGATTTTACAAAAAGAGTCTTTCAAAACTGCTCTATCAAAAGAAAGGTTCAACTCTGTTAGTTGACGGCACACATCACAAATAAATTTCTGAGAATGCTTCTGTCTAGTTTTCATGGGAAGATATTTCCTTTTTCACCATACGCCTGAAAGCGATCCAAATGTCCACATCCAGATACTACAAAAAGAGTGTTTCCAACCTGCTCTATGAAAGGGAATGCTCAACTCTGTGACTTGAATGCAAACATCACAAAGAAGTTTCTGAGAATGCTGCTGTCTGCTTTTTGTATGTAATCCCGTTTCCAACGAAATCCTCCCAGCTAGCCAAATATCCACTTGCAGATTCCGCAAAAAGAGTGTTTCAAAACTGCTCCTTCAAAACGATGGTTTAGTTCTGTTAGTTGAGTGCATACATCACAGATAAGTTTCTGAGAATGCTTCTGTCTAGTTTTTATGGGAGGATATTTCCTTTTTCAACACAAGCCTGAATGCGCTCCGAATGGACACTTCCAGATATGACAAAAGGCGTGTTTCAAACCTGCTCTCTCAAAGGGAATGTTCAACTCTGTGACTTCAATGCAAACATCACAAAGAAGTTTCTGAGAATGCTGCTGTCTGCTTTTTACATGTATTCCCGTTTCCAACGAAATCCTCAAAGCTGCCCTAATATCCACTTGCATATTCCACAAAAAGAGTGTTGCAAAACTGCTCTCTCAAAAGAAAGGTTCAACTCTGTTAGCTGAGTAGATCCATCACATAAAAGTTTCTGACATTGCTTCTATCCAGATTTTATTGGAAGATATTTCCATTTTCACCGTCGTCCTGAAAGCGCTCCAATTGTCCACTTCCAGGGAATGCAGAAAGAGTGTTTCCAACCTGCTCTATAAAAGGGAATGTTCAACACTGGGACTTCAATCGAAACATCCCAACGAAGTTTCTGAGAATGCTTCTGTCTAGAGTTTATATGAAGCCATTCCCGTTTGCAACGAAATCCTCAAAGCTATCCAAATATCCTCTTGCAGATTTTACAAAAAGAGTGTTTCAAAACTGCTCTATCAAAAGAAAGGTTCAACTCTGTTAGTTGAGGGCACACATCACAAATAAATTTCTGAGAATGCTTCTGTCTAGTTTTTACGGGAAGATATTTCCTTTTTCACCATAGGCCTGAAAGCGCTCCAAATGTCCTCATCCAGATACTACAAAAAGAGTGTTTCCAACCTGCTCTATGAAAGGGAATGCTCAACTCTGTGATTTGAATGCAGACATCACAAAGAAGTTTCTGAGAATGCTGCTGTCTCCTTTTTATATGTAATCCCGTTTCCAACGAAATCCTCAAAGCTAGCCAAATATCCACTTGCAGATTCCACGAAAACAGTGTGTCAAAACTGCTCCTTCAAAACGATGGTTCAATTCTGTTAGTTGAGAAAACACATCACAAGTAAGTTTCTGAGAATGCTTCCGTCTAGTTTTTATGGGAAGATATTTCCTTTTTCAACATAGGCCTGAAAGCGCTCCAAATGTCCACTTCCAGATACTACAAAAAGAGTGTTTCAAATCTGCTCTATGAATGGGAATGTTCTACTCTGTGACTTGAATGCAACATCCCAAAGAAGTTTCTGAGAATGCTTCTGTCTAGAGTTTATCTGAAGACATACCCGTTTCCAACGAAATCCTCAAAGCTATCCAAATATCCTCTTGCAGATTCTACAAAAAGAGTGTTTCAAAGCTGCTCTTTGCAAAGAAAGGTTCAACTCTGTCAGTAGAGGGCACACATCACAAACCAAGTTTCTGAGAATGCTTCTGTCTAGTTTTTATGGGAAGATATTTCCTTTTTCACGTTAGGCCTGAAAGCACGCCAAATGTTCAATTATAGACACTACAAAAAGAGTGTTTCAAACCTGCTCTGTGAAAGGGAATGTTCAACACTGTGACTTCAATTGAAACATCCCAAAGAAGTTTCTGAGAATGCTTCTGTCTAGAGTTTATCTGAAGACATTCCCGTTTCCCAAGAAATCCTCAAAGCTATCCAAATATCCTCTTGCAGATTCTACAAAAAGAGTGTTTCAAAACTGCTCTTTGCAAAGAAAGGTTCAACTCTGTCAGTAGAGGGCACACATCACAAACAAGTTTCTGAGAATGCTTCTGTCTAGTTTTTATGGGAAGATATTTCCTTTTTCACCTTAGGCCTGAAAGCAATCCAAATGTTCACTTACAGACACTACAAAAAGAGTGTTTCAAACCTGCTCTGTGAAAGGGAGTGTTCAATTCTGTGACTTGAATGCAAACATCACAAAGTAGTTTCTGACAATGCTGCTGTCTGCTTTTTATACGTATTCCCGTTTCCAACGAAATCCTCCAAGCTGGCCTAATACCCACTTGCATATTCCACAAAAAGAGTGTTTCAAAACTGCTCTCTCAAAAGAAAGGTTCAACTCTGTTTGCTGAGTAGATACATCATGAAAAAAGTTCTGACATTGCTTCTATCTAGTTTTTATTGGAAGATATCTCCTTTTTCACCGTAGACCTGAAAGCGCTCCAAATGTCCACTTCCAGATAGTACAAAAAGAGTGTTTCAAACCTGCTCCTATGAAAGGGAATGTTCAACACTGGGACTTCAATTGAAACATCCCAAAGCAGTTTCTGAGAATGCTTCTGTCTAGAGTTTACATGAAGACATTCCCGTTTCCAACGAAATCCTCAAAGCTATCCAAATATCCTCTTGCAGATTTTACAAAAAGTGTGTTTCAGAACTGCTCTATCAAAACAAAGGTTCAACACTGTCAGTTGAGGGCACACATCACAAATAAGTTTCTGAGAATGCTTCTGTCTAGTTTTCATGGGAAGATATTTCCTTTTTCACCATAGGCCTGAAAGCGATCCAAATGTCCACATCCAGATACTACAAAAAGAGTGTTTCAAACCTGCTCTATGAAAGGGAATGTTCAACTCTGTGACTTGAATGCAAACATCACAAAGAAGTTTCTGAGAATGCTGCTCTCTGCTTTTTGTATGTAATCCCGTTTCCAACGAAATCCTCCCAGCTAGCCAAATATCCACTTGCAGATTCCGCAAAAAGAGTGTTTCAAAACTGCTCCTTCAAAACGATGGTTTAGTTCTGTTAGTTGAGTACATACATCACAGATAAGTTTCTGAGAATGCTTCTGTCTAGTTTTTATGGGAGGATATTTCCTTTTTCAACACAAGCCTGAATGCGCTCCGAATGGACACTTCCAGATATGACAAAAGGCGTGTTTCAAACCTGCTCTCTCAAAGGGAATGTTCAACTCTGTGACTTCAATGCAAACATCACAAAGAAGTTTCTGAGAACGCTGCTGTCTGCTTTTTACATGTATTCCCGTTTCCAACGAAATCCTCAAAGCTGCCCTAATATCCACTTGCATATTCCACAAAAAGAGTGTTGCAAAACTGCTCTCTCAAAAGAAAGGTTCAACTCTGTTAGCTGAGTAGATCCATCACATAAAAGTTTCTGACGTTGCTTCTATCTAGATTTTATTGGAAGATATTTCCATTTTCACCGTCGTCCTGAAAGCGCTCCAAATGTCCACTTCCAGGGAATGCAGAAAGAGTGTTTCCAACCTGCTCTATAAAAGGGAATGTTCAACACTGGGACTTCAATCAAAACATCCCAACGAAGTTTCTGAGAATGCTTCTGTCTAGAGTTTATATGAAGCCATTCCCGTTTGCAACGAAATCCTCAAAGCTATCCAAATATCCTCTTGCAGATTTTACAAAAAGAGTGTTTCAAAACTGCTCTATCAAAAGAAAGGTTCAACTCTGTTAGTTGAGGGCACACATCACAAATAAATTTCTGAGAATGCTTCTGTCTAGTTTTTACGGGAAGATATTTCCTTTTTCACCATACGCCTGAAAGCGCTCCAAATGTCCTCATCCAGATACTACAAAAAGAGTGTTTCCAACGTGCTCTAGGAAAGGGAATGCTCAACTCTGTGAATTGAATGCAGACATCACAAAGAAGTTTCTGAGAATGCTGCTGTCTCCTTTTTATATGTAATCCCGTTTCCAACGAAATCCTCAAAGCTAGCCAAATATCCACTTGCAGATTCCACGAAAACAGTGTTTCAAAACTGCTCCTTCAAAACGATGGTTCAATCCTGTTAGTTGAGCAAACACATCACAAATAAGTTTCTGAGAATGCTTCCGTCTAGTTTTTATGGGAAGATATTTCCTTTTTCAACATAGGCCTGAAAGCGCTCCAAATGTCCACTTCCAGATACTACAAAAAGAGTGTTTCAAATCTGCTCTATGAATGGGAATGTTCTACTCTGTGACTTGAATGCAACATCCCAAAGAAGTTTCTGAGAATGCTTCTGTCTAGAGTTTATCTGAAGACATACCCGTTTCCAACGAAATCCTCCAAGCTATCCAAATATCCTCTTGCAGATTCTACAAAAAGAGTGTTTCAAAGCTGCTCTTTGCAAAGAAAGGTTCAACTCTGTCAGTAGAGGGGACACATCAAGAACAAGTTTCTGAGAATGCTTCTGTCTAGTTTTTATGGGAAGATATTTCCTTTTTCACGTTAGGCCTGAAAGCACGCCAAATGTTCACTTATAGACACTACAAAAAGAGTGTTTGAAACCTGCTCTGTGAAAGGGAATGTTCAACACTGTGACTTCAATTGAAACATCCCAAAGAAGTTTCTGAGAATGCTTCTGTCTAGAGTTTATCTGAAGACATTCCCGTTTCCCAAGAAATCCTCAAAGCTATCCAAATATCCTCTTGCAGATTCTACAAAAAGACTGTTTCAAAACTGCTCTTTGCAAAGAAAGGTTCAACTCTGTCAGTAGAGGGCACACATCACAAACAAGTTTCTGAGAATGCTTCTGTCTAGTTTTTATGGGAAGATATTTCCTTTTTCACCTTAGGCCTGAAAGCAATCCATATGTTCACTTACAGACACTACAAAAACAGTGTTTGAAACCTGCTCTGTGAAAGGGAGTGTTCAATTCTGTGACTTGAATGCAAACATCACAAAGTAGTTTCTGACAATGCTGCTGTCTGCTTTTTATACGTATTCCCGTTTCCAACGAAATCCTCCAAGCTGGCCTAATACCCACTTGCATATTCCACAAAAAGAGTGTTTCAAAACTGCTCTCTCAAAAGAAAGGTTCAACTCTGTTTGCTGAGTAGATACATCATGAAAAAAGTTCTGACATTGCTTCTATCTAGTTTTTATTGGAAGATATCTCCTTTTTCACCGTAGACCTGAAAGCGCTCTAAATGTCCACTTCCAGATAGTACAAAAAGAATGTTTCAAACCTGCTCTATGAAAGGGAATGTTCAACACTGGGACTTCAATTGAAACATCCCAAAGCAGTTTCTGAGAATGCTTCTGTCTAGAGTTTACATGAAGACATTCCCGTTTCCAACGAAATCCTCAAAGCTATCCAAATATCCTCTTGCAGATTTTACAAAAAGTGTGTTTCAGAACTGCTCTATCAAAACAAAGGTTCAACACTGTCAGTTGAGGGCACACATCACAAATAAGTTTCTGAGAATGCTTCTGTCTAGTTTTCATGGGAAGATATTTCCTTTTTCACCATAGGCCTGAAAGCGATCCAAATGTCCACATCCAGATACTACAAAAAGAGTGTTTCCAACCTGCTCTATGAAAGGGAATGCTCAACTCTGTGAATTGAATGCAAACATCACAAAGAAGTTTCTGAGAATGCTGCTGTCTCCTTTTTATATGTAATCCCGTTTCCAACGAAATCCTCAAAGCTAGCCAAATATCCACTTGCAGATTCCACGAAAACAGTGTTTCAAAACTGCTCCTTCAAAACGATGGTTCAATCCTGTTAGTTGAGCAAACACATCACAAATAAGTTTCTGAGAATGCTTCTGTCTAGTTTTTATGGGAAGATATTTCCTTTTTCAACATAGGCCTGAAAGCGCTCCAAATGTCCACTTCCAGATACTACAAAAAGAGTGTTTCAAATCTGCTCTATGAATGGGAATGTTCTACTCTGTGACTTGAATGCAACATCCCAAAGAAGTTTCTGAGAATGCTTCTGTCTAGAGTTTATCTGAAGACATACCCGTTTCCAACGAAATCCTCCAAGCTATCCAAATATCCTCTTGCAGATTCTACAAAAAGTGTGTTTCAAAGCTGCTCTTTGCAAAGAAAGGTTCAACTCTGTCAGTAGAGGGCACACATCACGAACAAGTTTCTGAGAATGCTTCTGTCTAGTTTTTATGGGAAGATATTTCCTTTTTCACCTTAGGCCTGAAAGCAATCCATATGTTCACTTACAGACACTACAAAAAGAGTGTTTCAAACCTGCTCTGTGAAAGGGAGTGTTCAATTCTGTGACTTGAATGCAAACATCACAAAGTAGTTTCTGACAATGCTGCTGTCTGCTTTTTATACGTATTCCCGTTTCCAACGAAATCCTCCAAGCTGGCCTAATACCCACTTGCATATTCCACAAAAAGAGTGTTTCAAAACTGCTCTCTCAAAAGAAAGGTTCAACTCTGTTAGCTGAGTAGATACATCATGAAAAAAGTTCTGACATTGCTTCTATCTAGTTTTTATTGGAAGATATCTCCTTTTTCACCGTAGACCTGAAAGCGCTCCAAATGTCCACTTCCAGATAGTACAAAAAGAGTGTTTCAAACCTGCTCTATGAAAGGGAATGTTCAACACTGGAACTTCAATTGAAACATCCCAAAGCAGTTTCTGAGAATGCTTCTGTCTAGAGTTTACATGAAGACATTCCCGTTTCCAACGAAATCCTCAAAGCTATCCAAATATCCTCTTGCAGATTTTACAAAAAGTGTGTTTCAGAACTGCTCTATCAAAACAAAGGTTCAACACTGTCAGTTGAGGGCACACATCACAAATAAGTTTCTGAGAATGCTTCTGTCTAGTTTTCATGAGAAGATATTTCCTTTTTCACCATAGGCCTGAAAGCGATCCAAATGTCCACATCCAGATACTACAAAAAGAGTGTTTCAAACCTGCTCTATGAAAGGGAATGTTCAACTCTGTGACTTGAATGCAAACATCACAAAGAAGTTTCTGAGAATGCTGCTGTCTGCTTTTTGTATGTAATCCCGTTTCCAACGAAATCCTCCCAGCTAGCCAAATATCCACTTGCAGATTCCGCAAAAAGAGTGTTTCAAAACTGCTCCTTCAAAACGATGGTTTAGTTCTGTTAGTTGAGTACATACATCTCAGATAAGTTTCTGAGAATGCTTCTGTCTAGTTTTTCTGGGAGGATATTTCCTTTTTCAACACAAGCCTGAATGCGCTCCGAATGGACACTTCCAGATATGACAAAAGGCGTGTTTCAAACCTGCTCTCTCAAAGGGAATGTTCAACTCTGTGACTTCAATGCAAACATCACAAAGAAGTTTCTGAGAATGCTGCTGTCTGCTTTTTACATGTATTCCCGTTTCCAACGAAATCCTCAAAGCTGCCCTAATATCCACTTGCATATTCCACAAAAAGAGTGTTGCAAAACTGCTCTCTCAAAAGAAAGGTTCAACTCTGTTAGCTGAGTAGATCCATCACAGAAAAGTTTCTGACGTTGCTTCTATCTAGATTTTCTTGGAAGATATTTCCATTTTCACCGTCGTCCTGAAAGCGCTCCAAATGTCCACTTCCAGGGAATGCAGAAAGAGTGTTTCCAACCTGCTCTATAAAAGGGAATGTTCAACACTGGGACTTCAATCGAAACATCCCAACGAAGTTTCTGAGAATGCTTCTGTCTAGAGTTTATATGAAGCCATTCCCGTTTGCAACGAAATCCTCAAAGCTATCCAAATATCCTCTTGCAGATTTTACAAAAAGAGTGTTTCAAAACTGCTCTATCAAAAGAAAGGTTCAACTTCTGTTAGTTGAGGGCACACATCACAAATAAACTTCTGAGAATGCTTCTGTCTAGTTTTTACGGGAAGATATTTCCCTTTTCACCATACGCCTGAAAGCGCTCCAAATGTCCTCATCCAGATACTACAAAAAGAGTGTTTCCAACCTGCTCTATGAAAGGGAATGCTCAACTCTGTGAATTGAATGCAGACATCACAAAGTAGTTTGCTGAGAATGCTGCTGTCTCCTTTTTATATGTAATCCCGTTTCCAACGAAATCCTCAAAGCTAGCCAAATATCCACTTGCAGATTCCACGAAAACAGTGTTTCAAAACTGCTCCTTCAAAACGATGGTTCAATTCTGTTAGTTGAGCAAACACATCACAAGTAAGTTTCTGAGAATGCTTCCGTCTAGTTTTTATGGGAAGATATTTCCTTTTTCAACATAGGCCTGAAAGCGCTCCAAATGTCCACTTCCAGATACTACAAAAAGAGTGTTTCAAATCTGCTCTATGCATGGGAATGTTCTACTCTGTGACTTGAATGCAACATCCCAAAGAAGTTTCTGAGAATGCTTCTGTCTAGAGTTTATCTGAAGACATACCCGTTTCCAACGAAATCCTCAAAGCTATCCAAATATCCTCTTGCAGATTCTACAAAAAGAGTGTTTCAAAGCTGCTCTTTGCAAAGAAAGGTTCAACTCTGTCAGTAGAGGGCACACATCACGAACAAGTTTCTGAGAATGCTTCTGTCTAGTTTTTATGGGAAGATATTTCCTTTTTCACGTTAGGCCTGAAAGCACGCCAAATGTTCACTTATAGACACTACAAAAAGAGTGTTTCAAACCTGCTCTGTGAAAGGGAATGTTCAACACTGTGACTTCAATTGAAATATCCCAAAGAAGTTTCTGAGAATGCTTCTGTCTAGAGTTTATCTGAAGACATTCCCGTTTCCCAAGAAATCCTCAAAGCTATCCAAATATCCTCTTGCAGATTCTACAAAAAGAGTGTTTCAAAACTGGTCTTTGCAAAGAAAGGTTCAACTCTGTCAGTAGAGGGCACACATCACAAACAAGTTTCTGAGAATGCTTCTGTCTAGTTTTTATGGGAAGATATTTCCTTTTTCACCTTAGGCCTGAAAGCAATCCATATGTTCACTTACAGACACTACAAAATGAGTGTTTCAAACCTGCTCTGTGAAAGGGAGTGTTCAATTCTGTGACTTGAATGCAAACATCACAAAGTAGTTTCTGACAATGCTGCTGTCTGCTTTTTATACGTATTCCCGTTTCCAACGAAATCCTCCAAGCTGGCCTAATACCCACTTGCATATTCCACAAAAAGAGTGTTTCAAAACTGCTCTCTCAAAAGAAAGGTTCAACTCTGTTTGCTGAGTAGATACATCATGAAAAAAGTTCTGACATTGCTTCTATCTAGTTTTTATTGGAAGATATCTCCTTTTTCACCGTACACCTGAAAGCGCTCCAAATGTCCACTTCCAGATAGTACAAAAAGAGTGTTTCAAACCTGCTCTATGAATGGGAATGTTCAACACTGGGACTTCAATTGAAACATCCCAAAGCAGTTTCTGAGAATGCTTCTGTGTAGAGTTTACATGAAGACATTCCCGTTTCCAACGAAATCCTCAAAGCTATCCAAATATCCTCTTGCAGATTTTACAAAAAGTGTGTTTCAGAACTGCTCTATCAAAACAAAGGTTCAACACTGTCAGTTGAGGGCACACATCACAAATAAGTTTCTGAGAATGCTGCTGTCTGCTTTTTGTATGTAATCCCGTTTCCAACGAAATCCTCCCAGCTAGCCAAATATCCACTTGCAGATTCCGCAAAAAGAGTGTTTCAAAACTGCTCCTTCAAAACGATGGTTTAGTTCTGTTAGTTGAGTACATACATCACAAATAAGTTTCTGAGAATGCTTCTGTCTAGTTTTTCTGGGAGGATATTTCCTTTTTCAACACAAGCCTGAATGCGCTCCGAATGGACACTTCCAGATATGACAAAAGGCGTGTTTCAAACCTGCTCTCTCAAAGGGAATGTTCAACTCTGTGACTTCAATGCAAACATCACAAAGAAGTTTCTGAGAATGCTGCTGTCTGCTTTTTACATGTATTCCCGTTTCCAACGAAATCCTCAAAGCTGCCCTAATATCCACTTGCATATTCCACAAAAAGAGTGTTGCAAAACTGCTCTCTCAAAAGAAAGGTTCAACTCTGTTAGCTGAGTAGATCCATCACAGAAAAGTTTCTGACGTTGCTTCTATCTAGATTTTCTTGGAAGATATTTCCATTTTCACCGTCGTCCTGAAAGCGCTCCAAATGTCCACTTCCAGGGAATGCAGAAAGAGTGTTTCCAACCTGCTCTATAAAAGGGAATGTTCAACACTGGGACTTCAATCGAAACATCCCAACGAAGTTTCTGAGAATGCTTCTGTCTAGAGTTTATATGAAGCCATTCCCGTTTGCAACGAAATCCTCAAAGCTATCCAAATATCCTCTTGCAGATTTTACAAAAAGAGTGTTTCAAAACTGCTCTATCAAAAGAAAGGTTCAACTCTGTTAGTTGAGGGCACACATCACAAATAAAATTCTGAGAATGCTTCTGTCTAGTTTTTACGGGAAGATATTTCCTTTTTCACCATAGGCCTGAAAGCGCTCCAAATGTCCTCATCCAGATACTACAAAAAGAGTGTTTCCAACCTGCTCTATGAAAGGGAATGCTCAACTCTGTGACTTGAATGCAGACATCACAAAGAAGTTTCTGAGAATGCTGCTGTCTCCTTTTTATATGTAATCCCGTTTCCAACGAAATCCTCAAAGCTAGCCAAATATCCACTTGCAGATTCCACGAAAACAGTGTTTCAAAACTGCTCCTTCAAAACGATGGTTCAATCCTGTTAGTTGAGCAAACACATCACAAATAAGTTTCTGAGAATGCTTCCGTCTAGTTTTTATGGGAAGATATTTCCTTTTTCAACATAGGCCTGAAAGCGCTCCAAATGTCCACTTCCAGATACTACAAAAAGAGTGTTTCAAATCTGCTCTATGAATGGGAATGTTCTACTCTGTGACTTGAATGCAACATCCCAAAGAAGTTTCTGAGAATGCTTCTGTCTAGAGTTTATTTGAAGACATACCCGTTTCCAACGAAATCCTCAAAGCTATCCAAATATCCTCTTGCAGATTCTACAAAAAGTGTGTTTCAAAGCTGCTCTTTGCAAAGAAAGGTTCAACTCTGTCAGTAGAGGGCACACATCACGAACAAGTTTCTGAGAATGCTTCTGTCTAGTTTCTATGGGAAGATATTTCCTTTTTCACGTTAGGCCTGAAAGCACGCCAAATGTTCACTTATAGACACTACAAAAAGAGTGTTTCAAACCTGCTCTGTGAAAGGGAATGTTCAACACTGTGACTTCAATTGAAACATCCCAAAGAAGTTTCTGAGAATGCTTCTGTCTAGAGTTTATCTGAAGACATTCCCGTTTCCCAAGAAATCCTCAAAGCTATCCAAATATCCTCTTGCAGATTCTACAAAAAGAGTGTTTCAAAACTGCTCTTTGCAAAGAAAGGTTCAACTCTGTCAGTAGAGGGCACACATCACAAACAAGTTTCTGAGAATGCTTCTGTCTAGTTTTTATGGGAAGATATTTCCTTTTTCACCTTAGGCCTGAAAGCAATCCAAATGTTCACTTACAGACACTACAAAAAGAGTGTTTCAAACCTGCTCTGTGAAAGGGAGTGTTCAATTCTGTGACTTGAATGCAAATATCACAAAGTAGTTTCTGACAATGCTGCTGTCTGCTTTTTATACGTATTCCCGTTTCCAACGAAATCCTCCAAGCTGGCCTAATACCCACTTGCATATTCCACAAAAAGAGTGTTTCAAAACTGCTCTCTCAAAAGAAAGGTTCAACTCTGTTTGCTGAGTAGATACATCATGAAAAAAGTTCTGACATTGCTTCTATCTAGTTTTTTTTGGAAGATATCTCCTTTTTCACCGTAGACCTGAAAGCGCTCCAAATGTCCACTTCCAGATAGTACAAAAAGAGTGCTTCAAACCTGCTCTATGAATGGGAATGTTCAACACTGGGACTTCAATTGAAACATCCCAAAGCAGTTTCTGAGAATGCTTCTGTGTAGAGTTTACATGAAGACATTCCCGTTTCCAACGAAATCCTCAAAGCTATCCAAATATCCTCTTGCAGATTTTACAAAAAGTGTGTTTCAGAACTGCTCTATCAAAACAAAGGTTCAACACTGTCAGTTGAGGGCACACATCACAAATAAGTTTCTGAGAATGCTTCTGTCTAGTTTTCATGGGAAGATATTTCCTTTTTCACCATAGGCCTGAAAGCGATCCAAATGTCCACATCCAGATACTACAAAAAGAGTGTTTCAAACCTGCTCTATGAAAGGGAATGTTCAACTCTGTGACTTGAATGCAAACATCACAAAGAAGTTTCTGAGAATGCTGCTGTCTGCTTTTTGTATGTAATCCCGTTTCCAACGAAATCCTCCCAGCTAGCCAAATATCCACTTGCAGATTCCGCAAAAAGAGTGTTTCAAAACTGCTCCTTCAAAACGATGGTTTAGTTCTGTTAGTTGAGTACATACATCACAGATAAGTTTCTGAGAATGCTTCTGTCTAGTTTTTATGGGAGGATATTTCCTTTTTCAACACAAGCCTGAATGCGCTCCGAATGGACACTTCCAGATATGACAAAAGGCGTGTTTCAAACCTGCTCTCTCAAAGGGAATGTTCAACTCTGTGACTTCAATGCAAACATCACAAAGAAGTTTCTGAGAATGCTGCTGTCTGCTTTTTACATGTATTCCCGTTTCCAACGAAATCCTCAAAGCTGCCCTAATATCCACTTGCATATTCCACAAAAAGAGTGTTGCAAAACTGCTCTCTCAAAAGAAAGGTTCAACTCTGTTAGCTGAGTAGATCCATCACAGAAAAGTTTCTGACGTTGCTTCTATCTAGATTTTCTTGGAAGATATTTCCATTTTCACCGTCGTCCTGAAAGCGCTCCAAATGTCCACTTCCAGGGAATGCAGAAAGAGTGTTTCCAACCTGCTCTATAAAAGGGAATGTTCAACACTGGGACTTCAATCGAAACATCCCAACGAAGTTTCTGAGAATGCTTCTGTCTAGAGTTTATATGACGCCATTCCCGTTTGCAACGAAATCCTCAAAGCTATCCAAATATCCTCTTGCAGATTTTACAAAAAGAGTGTTTCAAAACTGCTCTATCAAAAGAAAGGTTCAACTCTGTTAGTTGAGGGCACACATCACAAATAAACTTCTGAGAATGCTTCTGTCTAGTTTTTACGGGAAGATATTTCCTTTTTCACCATAGGCCTGAAAGCGCTCCAAATGTCCTCATCCAGATACTACAAAAAGAGTGTTTCCAACCTGCTCTATGAAAGGGAATGCTCAACTCTGTGACTTGAATGCAGACATCACAAAGAAGTTTCTGAGAATGCTGCTGTCTCCTTTGTATATGTAATCCCGTTTCCAACGAAATCCTCAAAGCTAGCCAAATATCCACTTGCAGATTCCACGAAAACAGTGTTTCAAAACTGCTCCTTCAAAACGATGGTTCAATCCTGTTAGTTGAGCAAACACATCACAAATAAGTTTCTGAGAATGCTTCCGTCTAGTTTTTATGGGAAGATATTTCCTTTTTCAACATAGGCCTGAAAGCGCTCCAAATGTCCACTTCCAGATACTACAAAAAGAGTGTTTCAAATCTGCTCTATGAATGGGAATGTTCTACTCTGTGACTTGAATGCAACATCCCAAAGAAGTTTCTGAGAATGCTTCTGTCTAGAGTTTATCTGAAGACATACCCGTTTCCAACGAAATCCTCCAAGCTATCCAAATATCCTCTTGCAGATTCTACAAAAAGTGTGTTTCAAAGCTGCTCTTTGCAAAGAAAGGTTCAACTCTGTCAGTAGAGGGCACACATCACGAACAAGTTTCTGAGAATGCTTCTGTCTAGTTTTTATGGGAAGATATTTCCTTTTTCACGTTAGGCCTGAAAGCACGCCAAATGTTCACTTATAGACACTACAAAAAGAGTGTTTCAAACCTGCTCTGTGAAAGGGAATGTTCAACACTGTGACTTCAATTGAAACATCCCAAAGAAGTTTCTGAGAATGCTTCTGTCTAGAGTTTATCTGAAGACATTCCCGTTTCCCAAGAAATCCTCAAAGCTATCCAAATATCCTCTTGCAGATTCTACAAAAAAAGTGTTTCAAAACTGCTCTTTGCAAAGAAAGGTTCAACTCTGTCAGTAGAGGGCACACATCACAAACAAGTTTCTGAGAATGCTTCTGTCTAGTTTTTATGGGATGATATTTCCTTTTTCACCTTAGGCCTGAAAGCAATCCAAATGTTCACTTACAGACACTACAAAAAGAGTGTTTCAAACCTGCTCTGTGAAAGGGAGTGTTCAATTCTGTGACTTGAATGCAAACATCACAAAGTAGTTTCTGACAATGCTGCTGTCTGCTTTTTATACGTATTCCCGTTTCCAACGAAATCCTCCAAGCTGGCCTAATACCCACTTGCATATTCCACAAAAAGAGTGTTTCAAAACTGCTCTCTCAAAAGAAAGGTTCAACTCTGTTTGCTGAGTAGATACATCATGAAAAAAGTTCTGACATTGCTTCTATCTAGTTTTTATTGGAAGATATCTCCTTTTTCACCGTAGACCTGAAAGCGCTCCAAATGTCCACTTCCAGATACTACAAAAAGAGTGTTTCAAACCTGCTCTATGAAAGGGAATGTTCAACACTGGGACTTCAATTGAAACATCCCAAAGCAGTTTCTGAGAATGCTTCTGTCTAGAGTTTACATGAAGACATTCCCGTTTCCAACGAAATCCTCAAAGCTATCCAAATATCCTCTTGCAGATTTTACAAAAAGTGTGTTTCAGAACTGCTCTATCAAAACAAAGGTTCAACACTGTCAGTTGAGGGCACACATCACAAATAAGTTTCTGAGAATGCTTCTGTCTAGTTTTCATGGGAAGATATTTCCTTTTTCACCATAGGCCTGAAAGCGATCCAAATGTCCACATCCAGATACTACAAAAAGAGTGTTTCAAACCTGCTCTATGAAAGGGAATGTTCAACTCTGTGACTTGAATGCAAACATCACAAAGAAGTTTCTGAGAATGCTGCTGTCTCCTTTTTATATGTAATCCCGTTTGCAACGAAATCCTCAAAGCTAGCCAAATATCCACTTGCAGATTCCACGAAATCAGTGTTTCAAAACTGCTCCTTCAAAACGATGGTTCAATTCTGTTAGTTGAGCAAACACATCACAAGTAAGTTTCTGAGAATGCTTCCGTCTAGTTTTTATGGGAAGATATTTCCTTTTTCAACATAGGCCTGAAAGCGCTCCAAATGTCCACTTCCAGATACTACAAAAAGAGTGTTTCAAATCTGCTCTATGCATGGGAATGTTCTACTCTGTGACTTGAATGCAACATCCCAAAGAAGTTTCTGAGAATGCTTCTGTCTAGAGTTTATCTGAAGACATACCCGTTTCCAACGAAATCCTCAAAGCTATCCAAATATCCTCTTGCAGATTCTACAAAAAGAGTGTTTCAAAGCTGCTCTTTGCAAAGAAAGGTTCAACTCTGTCAGTAGAGGGCACACATCACGAACAAGTTTCTGAGAATGCTTCTGTCTAGTTTTTATGGGAAGATATTTCCTTTTTCACGTTAGGCCTGAAAGCACGCCAAATGTTCAATTATAGACACTACAAAAAGAGTGTTTCAAACCTGCTCTGTGAAAGGGAATGTTCAACACTGTGACTTCAATTGAAACATCCCAAAGAAGTTTCTGAGAATGCTTCTGTCTAGAGTTTATCTGAAGACATTCCCGTTTCCCAAGAAATCCTCAAAGCTATCCAAATATCCTCTTGCAGATTCTACAAAAAGAGTGTTTCAAAACTGCTCTTTGCAAAGAAAGGTTCAACTCTGTCAGTAGAGGGCACACATCACAAACAAGTTTCTGAGAATGCTTCTGTCTAGTTTTTATGGGAAGATATTTCCTTTTTCACCTTAGGCCTGAAAGCAATCCAAATGTTCACTTACAGACACTACAAAAAGAGTGTTTCAAACCTGCTCTGTGAAAGGGAGTGTTCAGTTCTGTGACTTGAATGCAAACATCACAAAGTAGTTTCTGACAATGCTGCTGTCTGCTTTTTATACGTATTCCCGTTTCCAACGAAATCCTCCAAGCTGGCCTAATACCCACTTGCATATTCCACAAAGACTGTTTCAAAACTGCTCTCTCAAAAGAAAGGTTCAACTCTGTTTGCTGAGTAGATACATCATGAAAAAAGTTCTGACATTGCTTCTATCTAGTTTTTATTGGAAGATATCTCCTTTTTCACCGTAGACCTGAAAGCGCTCCAAATGTCCACTTCAAGATAGTACAAAAAGAGTGTTTCAAACCTGCTCTATGAATGGGAATGTTCAACACTGGGACTTCAATTGAAACATCCCAAAGCAGTTTCTGAGAATGCTTCTGTCTAGAGTTGACATGAAGACATTCCCGTTTCCAACGAAATCCTCAAAGCTATCCAAATATCCTCTTGCAGATTTTACAAAAAGTGTGTATCAGAACTGCTCTATCAAAACAAAGGTTCAACACTGTCAGTTGAGGGCACACATCACAAATAAGTTTCTGAGAATGCTGCTGTCTGCTTTTTGTATGTAATCCCGTTTCCAACGAAATCCTCCCAGCTAGCCAAATATCCACTTGCAGATTCCGCAAAAAGAGTGTTTCAAAACTGCTCCTTCAAAACGGATGGTTTAGTTCTGTTAGTTGAGTACATACATCACAGATAAGTTTCTGAGAATGCTTCTGTCTAGTTTTTATGGGAGGATATTTCCTTTTTCAACACAAGCCTGAATGCGCTCCGAATGGACACTTCCAGATATGACAAAAGGCGTGTTTCAAACCTGCTCTCTCAAAGGGAATGTTCAACTCTGTGACTTCAATGCAAACATCACAAAGAAGTTTCTGAGAATGCTGCTGTCTGCTTTTTACATGTATTCCCGTTTCCAACGAAATCCTCAAAGCTGCCCTAATATCCACTTGCATATTCCACAAAAAGAGTGTTGCAAAACTGCTCTCTCAAAAGAAAGGTTCAACTCTGTTAGCTGAGTAGATCCATCACATAAAAGTTTCTGACGTTGCTTCTATCTAGATTTTATTGGAAGATATTTCCATTTTCACCGTCGTCCTGAAAGCGCTCCAAATGTCCACTTCCAGGGAATGCAAAAAGAGTGTTTCCAACGTGCGCTATAAAAGGGAATGTTCAACACTGGGACTTCAATCGAAACATCCCAACGAAGTTTCTGAGAATGCTTCTGTCTAGAGTTTATATGAAGCCATTCCCGTTTGCAATGAAATCCTCAAAGCTATCCAAATATCCTCTTGCAGATATTACAAAAAGAGTGTTTCAAAACTGCTCTATCAAAAGAAAGGTTCAACTCTGTTAGTTGAGGGCACACATCACAAATAAATTTCTGAGAATGCTTCTGTCTAGTTTTTACGGGAAGATATTTCCTTTTTCACCATAGGCCTGAAAGCGCTCCAAATGTCCTCATCCAGATACTACAAAAAGAGTGTTTCCAACCTGCTCTATGAAAGGGAATGCTCAACTCTGTGACTTGAATGCAGACATCACAAAGAAGTTTCTGAGAATGCTGCTGTCTCCTTTTTATATGTAATCCCGTTTCCAACGAAATCCTCAAAGCTAGCCAAATATCCACTTGCAGATTCCACGAAAACAGTGTTTCAAAACTGCTCCTTCAAAACGATGGTTCAATTCTGTTAGTTGAGCAAACACATCACAAGTAAGTTTCTGAGAATGCTTCCGTCTAGTTTTTATGGGAAGATATTTCCTTTTTCAACATAGGCCTGAAAGCGCTCCAAATGTCCACTTCCAGATACTACAAAAAGAGTGTTTCAAATCTGCTCTATGAATGGGAATGTTCTACTCTGTGACTTGAATGCAACATCCCAAAGAAGTTTCTGAGAATGCTTCTGTCTAGAGTTTATCTGAAGACATACCCGTTTCCAACGAAATCCTCCAAGCTATCCAAATATCCTCTTGCAGATTCTACAAAAAGTGTGTTTCAAAGCTGCTCTTTGCAAAGAAAGGTTCAACTCTGTCAGTAGAGGGCACACATCACGAACAAGTTTCTGAGAATGCTTCTGTCTGGTTTTTATGGGAAGATATTTCCTTTTTCACGTTACGCCTGAAAGCACGCCAAATGTTCACTTATAGACACTACAAAAAGAGTGTTTCAAACCTGCTCTGTGAAAGGGAATGTTCAACACTGTGACTTCAATTGAAACATCCCAAAGAAGTTTCTGAGAATGCTTCTGTCTAGAGTTTATCTGAAGACATTCCCGTTTCCCAAGAAATCCTCAAAGCTATCCAAATATCCTCTTGCAGATTCTACAAAAAGAGTGTTTCAAAACTGCTCTTTGCAAAGAAAGGTTCAACTCTGTCAGTAGAGGGCACACATCACAAACAAGTTTCTGAGAATGCTTCTGTCTAGTTTTTATGGGAAGATATTTCCTTTTTCACCTTAGGCCTGAAAGCAATCCAAATGTTCACTTACAGACACTACAAAAAGAGTGTTTCAAACCTGCTCTGTGAAAGGGAGTGTTCAGTTCTGTGACTTGAATGCAAACATCACAAAGTAGTTTCTGACAATGCTGCTGTCTGCTTTTTATACGTATTCCCGTTTCCAACGAAATCCTCCAAGCTGGCCTAATACCCACTTTCATATTCCACAAAAAGAGTGTTTCAAAACTGCTCTCTCAAAAGAAAGGTTCAACTCTGTTTGCTGAGTAGATACATCATGAAAAAAGTTCTGACATTGCTTCTATCTAGTTTTTATTGGAAGATATCTCCTTTTTCACCGTAGACCTGAAAGCGCTCCAAATGTCCACTTCCAGATAGTACAAAAAGAGTGTTTCAAACCTGCTCTATGAATGGGAATGTTCAACACTGGGACTTCAATTGAAACATCCCAAAGCAGTTTCTGAGAATGCTTCCTGTCTAGAGTTTACATGAAGACATTCCCGTTTCCAACGAAATCCTCAAAGCTATCCAAATATCCTCTTGCAGATTTTACAAAAAGTGTGTTTCAGAACTGCTCTATCAAAACAAAGGTTCAACACTGTCAGTTGAGGGCACACATCACAAATAAGTTTCTGAGAATGCTTCTGTCTAGTTTTCATGGGAAGATATTTCCTTTTTCACCATAGGCCTGAAAGCGATCCAAATGTCCACATCCAGATACTACAAAAAGAGTGTTTCCAACCTGCTCTATGAAAGGGAATGCTCAACTCTGTGAATTGAATGCAGACATCACAAAGAAGTTTCTGAGAATGCTGCTGTCTCCTTTTTATATGTAATCCCGTTTCCAACGAAATCCTCAAAGCTAGCCAAATATCCACTTGCAGATTCCACGAAAACAGTGTTTCAAAACTGCTCCTTCAAAACGATGGTTCAATCCTGTTAGTTGAGCAAACACATCACAAATAAGTTTCTGAGAATGCTTCCGTCTAGTTTTTATGGGAAGATATTTCCTTTTTCAACATAGGCCTGAAAGCGCTCCAAATGTCCACTTCCAGATACTACAAAAAGAGTGTTTCAAATCTGCTCTATGAATGGGAATGTTCTACTCTGTGACTTGCATGCAACATCCCAAAGAAGTTTCTGAGAATGCTTCTGTCTAGAGTTTATCTGAAGACATACCCGTTTCCAACGAAATCCTCAAAGCTATCCAAATATCCTCTTGCAGATTCTACAAAAAGTGTGTTTCAAAGCTGCTCTTTGCAAAGAAAGGTTCAACTCTGTCAGTAGAGGGCACACATCACGAACAAGTTTCTGAGAATGCTTCTGTCTAGTTTTTATGGGAAGATATTTCCTTTTTCACGTTAGGCCTGAAAGCACGCCAAATGTTCACTTATAGACACTACAAAAAGAGTGTTTCAAACCTGCTCTGTGAAAGGGAATGTTCAACACTGTGACTTCAATTGAAACATCCCAAAGAAGTTTCTGAAAATGCTTCTGTCTAGAGTTTATCTGAAGACATTCCCGTTTCCCAAGAAATCCTCAAAGCTATCCAAATATCCTCTTGCAGATTCTACAAAAAGAGTGTTTCAAAACTGCTCTTTGCAAAGAAAGGTTCAACTCTGTCAGTAGAGGGCACACATCACAAACAAGTTTCTGAGAATGCTTCTGTCTAGTTTTTATGGGAAGATATTTCCTTTTTCACCTTAGGCCTGAAAGCAATCCAAATGTTCACTTACAGACACTACAAAAAGAGTGTTTCAAACCTGCTCTGTGAAAGGGAGTGTTCAATTCTGTGACTTGAATGCAAACATCACAAAGTAGTTTCTGACAATGCTGCTGTCTGCTTTTTATACGTATTCCCGTTTCCAACGAAATCCTCCAAGCTGGCCTAATACCCACTTGCATATTCCACAAAAAGAGTGTTTCAAAACTGCTCTCTCAAAAGAAAGGTTCAACTCTGTTTGCTGAGTAGATACATCATGAAAAATGTTCTGACATTGCTTCTATCTAGTTTTTATTGGAAGATATCTCCTTTTTCACCGTAGACCTGAAAGCGCTCCAAATGTCCACTTCCAGATAGTACAAAAAGAGTGTTTCAAACCTGCTCTATGAATGGGAATGTTCAACACTGGGACTTCAATTGAAACATCCCAAAGCAGTTTCTGAGAATGCTTCTGTCCAGAGTTTACATGAAGACATTCCCGTTTCCAACGAAATCCTCAAAGCTATCCAAATATCCTCTTGCAGATTTTACAAAAAGTGTGTTTCAGAACTGCTCTATCAAAACAAAGGTTCAACACTGTCAGTTGAGGGCACACATCACAAATAAGTTTCTGAGAATGCTTCTGTCTAGTTTTCATGGGAAGATATTTCCTTTTTCACCATAGGCCTGAAAGCGATCCAAATGTCCACATCCAGATACTACAAAAAGAGTGTTTCCAACCTGCTCTATGAAAGGGAATGTTCAACTCTGTGACTTGAATGCAAACATCACAAAGAAGTTTCTGAGAATGCTGCTGTCTGCTTTTTGTATGTAATCCCGTTTCCAACGAAATCCTCCCAGCTAGCCAAATATCCACTTGCAGATTCCGCAAAAAGAGTGTTTCAAAACTGCTCCTTCAAAACGATGGTTTAGTTCTGTTAGTTGAGTACATACATCACAGATAAGTTTCTGAGAATGCTTCTGTCTAGTTTTTATGGGAGGATATTTCCTTTTTCAACACAAGCCTGAATGCGTTCCGAATGGACACTTCCAGATATGACAAAAGGCGTGTTTCAAACCTGCTCTCTCAAAGGGAATGTTCAACTCTGTGACTTCAATGCAAACATCACAAAGAAGTTTCTGAGAATGCTGCTGTCTGCTTTTTACATGTATTCCCGTTTCCAACGAAATCCTCAAAGCTGCCCTAATATCCACTTGCATATTCCACAAAAAGAGTGTTGCAAAACTGCTCTCTCAAAAGAAAGGTTCAACTCTGTTAGCTGAGTAGATCCATCACATAAAAGTTTCTGACATTGCTTCTATGCAGATTTTATTGGAAGATATTTCCATTTTCACCGTCGTCCTGAAAGCGCTCCAAATGTCCACTTCCAGGGAATGCAGAAAGAGTGTTTCCAACCTGCTCTATAAAAGGGAATGTTCAACACTGGGACTTCAATCGAAACATCCCGACGAAGTTTCTGAGAATGCTTCTGTCTAGAGTTTATATTAAGCCATTCCCGTTTGCAACGAAATCCTCAAAGCTATCCAAATATCCTCTTGCAGATTTTACAAAAAGAGTGTTTCAAAACTGCTCTATCAAAAGAAAGGTTCAACTCTGTTAGTTGAGGGCACACATCACAAATAAACTTCTGAGAATGCTTCTGTCTAGTTTTTACGGGAAGATATTTCCTTTTTCACCATACGCCTGAAAGCGCTCCAAATGTCCTCATCCAGATACTACAAAAAGAGTGTTTCCAACCTGCTCTATGAAAGGGAATGCTCAACTCTGTGAATTGAATGCAGACATCACAAAGAAGTTTCTGAGAATGCTGCTGTCTCCTTTTTATATGTAATCCCGTTTCCAACGAAATCCTCAAAGCTAGCCAAATATCCACTTGCAGATTCCACGAAAACAGTGTTTCAAAACTGCTCCATCAAAACGATGGTTCAATTCTGTTAGTTGAGCAAACACATCACAAGTAAGTTTCTGAGAATGCTTCCGTCTAGTTTTTATGGGAAGATATTTCCTTTTTCAACATAGGCCTGAAAGCGCTCCAAATGTCCACTTCCAGATACTACAAAAAGAGTGTTTCAAATCTGCTCTATGAATGGGAATGTTCTACTCTGTGACTTGAATGCAACATCCCAAAGAAGTTTCTGAGAATGCTTCTGTCTAGAGTTTATCTGAAGACATACCCGTTTCCAACGAAATCCTCAAAGCTATCCAAATATCCTCTTGCAGATTCTACAAAAAGAGTGTTTCAAAGCTGCTCTTTGCAAAGAAAGGTTCAACTCTGTCAGTAGAGGGCACACATCATGAACAAGTTTCTGAGAATGCTTCTGTCTAGTTTTTATGGGAAGATATTTCCTTTTTCACGTTAGGCCTGAAAGCACGCCAAATGTTCACTTATAGACACTACAAAAAGAGTGTTTCAAACCTGCTCTGTGAAAGGGAATGTTCAACACTGTGACTTCAATTGAAACATCCCAAAGAAGTTTCTGAGAATGCTTCTGTCTAGAGTTTATCTGAAGACATTCCCGTTTCCCAAGAAATCTTCAAAGCTATCCAAATATCCTCTTGCAGATTCTACAAAAAGAGTGTTTCAAAACTGCTCTTTGCAAAGAAAGGTTCAACTCTGTCAGTAGAGGGCACACATCACAAACAAGTTTCTGAGAATGCTTCTGTCTAGTTTTTATGGGAAGATATTTCCTTTTTCACCTTAGGCCTGAAAGCAATCCATATGTTCACTTACAGACACTACAAAAAGAGTGTTTCAAACCTGCTCTGTGAAAGGGAGTGTTCAATTCTGTGACTTGAATGCAAACATCACAAAGTAGTTTCTGACAATGCTGCTGTCTGCTTTTTATACGTATTCCCGTTTCCAACGAAATCCTCCAAGCTGGCCTAATACCCACTTGCATATTCCACAAAAAGAGTGTTTCAAAACTGCTCTCTCAAAAGAAAGGTTCAACTCTGTTTGCTGAGTAGATACATCATGAAAAAAGTTCTGACATTGCTTCTATCTAGTTTTTATTGGAAGATATATCCTTTTTCACCGTAGACCTGAAAGCGCTCCAAATGTCCACTTCCAGATAGTACAAAAAGAGTGTTTCAAACCTGCTCTATTAAAGGGAATGTTCAACACTGGGACTTCAATTGAAACATCCCAAAGCAGTTTCTGAGAATGCTTCTGTGTAGAGTTTACATGAAGACATTCCCGTTTCCAACGAAATCCTCAAATCTATCCAAATATCCTCTTGCAGATTTTACAAAAAGTGTGTTTCAGAACTGCTCTATCAAAACAAAGGTTCAACACTGTCAGTTGAGGGCACACATCACAAATAAGTTTCTGAGAATGCTTCTGTCTAGTTTTCATGGGAAGATATTTCCTTTTTCACCATAGGCCTGAAAGCGATCCAAATGTCCACATCCAGATACTACAAAAAGAGTGTTTCAAACCTGCTCTATGAAAGGGAATGTTCAACTCTGTGACTTGAATGCAAACATCACAAAGAAGTTTCTGAGAATGCTGCTGTCTGCTTTTTGTATGTAATCCCGTTTCCAACGAAATCCTCCCAGCTAGCCAAATATCCACTTGCAGATTCCGCAAAAAGAGTGTTTCAAAACTGCTCCTTCAAAACGATGGTTTAGTTCTGTTAGTTGAGTACATACATCACAGATAAGTTTCTGAGAATGCTTCTGTCTAGTTTTTATGGGAGGATATTTCCTTTTTCAACACAAGCCTGAATGCGCTCCGAATGGACACTTCCAGATATGACAAAAGGCGTGTTTCAAACCTGCTCTCTCAAAGGGAATGTTCAACTCTGTGACTTCAATGCAAACATCACAAAGAAGTTTCTGAGAATGCTGCTGTCTGCTTTTTACATGTATTCCCGTTTCCAACGAAATCCTCAAAGCTGCCCTAATATCCACTTGCATATTCCACAAAAAGAGTGTTGCAAAACTGCTCTCTCAAAAGAAAGGTTCAACTCTGTTAGCTGAGTAGATCCATCACAGAAAAGTTTCTGACGTTGCTTCTATCTAGATTTTCTTGGAAGATATTTCCATTTTCACCGTCGTCCTGAAAGCGCTCCAAATGTCCACTTCCAGGGAATGCAGAAAGAGTGTTTCCAACCTGCTCTATAAAAGGGAATGTTCAACACTGGGACTTCAATCGAAACATCCCAACGAAGTTTCTGAGAATGCTTCTGTCTAGAGTTTATATGAAGCCATTCCCGTTTGCAACGAAATCCTCAAAGCTATCCAAATATCCTCTTGCAGATTTTACAAAAAGAGTGTTTCAAAACTGCTCTATCAAAAGAAAGGTTCAACTCTGTTAGTTGAGGGCACACATCACAAATAAACTTCTGAGAATGCTTCTGTCTAGTTTTTACGGGAAGATATTTCCTTTTTCACCATACGCCTGAAAGCGCTCCAAATGTCCTCATCCAGATACTACAAAAAGAGTGTTTCCAACCTGCTCTATGAAAGGGAATGCTCAACTCTGTGAATTGAATGCAGACATCACAAAGAAGTTTCTGAGAATGCTGCTGTCTCCTTTTTATATGTAATCCCGTTTCCAACGAAATCCTCAAAGCTAGCCAAATATCCACTTGCAGATTCCACGAAAACAGTGTTTCAAAACTGCTCCTTCAAAACGATGGTTCAATCCTGTTAGTTGAGCAAACACATCACAAATAAGTTTCTGAGAATGCTTCCGTCTAGTTTTTATGGGAAGATATTTCCTTTTTCAACATAGGCCTGAAAGCGCTCCAAATGTCCACTTCCAGATACTACAAAAAGAGTGTTTCAAATCTGCTCTATGAATGGGAATGTTCTACTCTGTGACTTGAATGCAACATCCCAAAGAAGTTTCTGAGAATGCTTCTGTCTAGAGTTTATCTGAAGACATACCCGTTTCCAACGAAATCCTCCAAGCTATCCAAATATCCTCTTGCAGATTCTACAAAAAGTGTGTTTCAAAGCTGCTCTTTGCAAAGAAAGGTTCAACTCTGTCAGTAGAGGGCACACATCACGAACAAGTTTCTGAGAATGCTTCTGTCTGGTTTTTATGGGAAGATATTTCCTTTTTCACGTTACGCCTGAAAGCACGCCAAATGTTCACTTATAGACACTACAAAAAGAGTGTTTCAAACCTGCTCTGTGAAAGGGAATGTTCAACACTGTGACTTCAATTGAAACATCCCAAAGAAGTTTCTGAGAATGCTTCTGTCTAGAGTTTATCTGAAGACATTCCCGTTTCCCAAGAAATCCTCAAAGCTATCCAAATATCCTCTTGCAGATTCTACAAAAAGAGTGTTTCAAAACTGCTCTTTGCAAAGAAAGGTTCAACTCTGTCAGTAGAGGGCACACATCACAAACAAGTTTCTGAGAATGCTTCTGTCTAGTTTTTATGGGAAGATATTTCCTTTTTCACCTTAGGCCTGAAAGCAATCCAAATGTTCACTTACAGACACTACAAAAAGAGTGTTTCAAACCTGCTCTGTGAAAGGGAGTGTTCAATTCTGTGACTTGAATGCAAACATCACAAAGTAGTTTCTGACAATGCTGCTGTCTGCTTTTTATACGTATTCCCGTTTCCAACGAAATCCTCCAAGCTGGCCTAATACCCACTTGCATATTCCACAAAAAGAGTGTTTCAAAACTGCTCTCTCAAAAGAAAGGTTCAACTCTGTTTGCTGAGTAGATACATCATGAAAAAAGTTCTGACATTGCTTCTATCTAGTTTTTATTGGAAGATATCTCCTTTTTCACCGTAGACCTGAAAGCGCTCCAAATGTCCACTTCCAGATAGTACAAAAAGAGTGTTTCAAACCTGCTCTATGAAAGGGAATGTTCAACACTGGGACTTCAATTGAAACATCCCAAAGCAGTTTCTGAGAATGCTTCTGTCCAGAGTTTACATGAAGACATTCCCGTTTCCAACGAAATCCTCAAAGCTATCCAAATATCCTCTTGCAGATTTTACAAAAAGTGTGTTTCAGAACTGCTCTATCAAAACAAAGGTTCAACACTGTCAGTTGAGGGCACACATCGCAAATAAGTTTCTGAGAATGCTTCTGTCTAGTTTTCATGGGAAGATATTTCCTTTTTCACCATAGGCCTGAAAGCGATCCAAATGTCCACATCCAGATACTACAAAAAGATTGTTTCAAACCTGCTCTATGAAAGGGAATGTTCAACTCTGTGACTTGAATGCAAACATCACAAAGAAGTTTCTGAGAATGCTGCTGTCTGCTTTTTGTATGTAATCCCGTTTCCAACGAAATCCTCCCAGCTAGCCAAATATCCACTTGCAGATTCCGCAAAAAGAGTGTTTCAAAACTGCTCCTTCAAAACGATGGTTTAGTTCTGTTAGTTGAGTACATACATCACAGATAAGTTTCTGAGAATGCTTCTGTCTAGTTTTTATGGGACGATATTTCCTTTTTCAACACAAGCCTGAATGCGCTCCGAATGGACACTTCCAGATATGACAAAAGGCGTGTTTCAAACCTGCTCTCTCAAAGGGAATGTTCAACTCTGTGACTTCAATGCAAACATCACAAAGAAGTTTCTGAGAATGCTGCTGTCTGCTTTTTACATGTATTCCCGTTTCCAACGAAATCCTCAAAGCTGCCCTAATATCCACTTGCATATTCCACAAAAAGAGTGTTGCAAAACTGCTCTCTCAAAAGAAAGGTTCAACTCTGTTAGCTGAGTAGATCCATCACAGAAAAGTTTCTGACGTTGCTTCTATCTAGATTTTCTTGGAAGATATTTCCATTTTCACCGTCGTCCTGAAAGCGCTCCAAATGTCCACTTCCAGGGAATGCAGAAAGAGTGTTTCCAACCTGCTCTATAAAAGGGAATGTTCAACACTGGGACTTCAATCGAAACATCCCAACGAAGTTTCTGAGAATGCTTCTGTCTAGAGTTTATATGAAGCCATTCCCGTTTGCAACGAAATCCTCAAAGCTATCCAAATATCCTCTTGCAGATTTTACAAAAAGAGTGTTTCAAAACTGCTCTATCAAAAGAAAGGTTCAACTCTGTTAGTTGAGGGCACACATCACAAATAAATTTCTGAGAATGCTTCTGTCTAGTTTTTACGGGAAGATATTTCCTTTTTCACCATACGCCTGAAAGCGCTCCAAATGTCCTCATCCAGATACTACAAAAAGAGTGTTTCCAACCTGCTCTATGAAAGGGAATGCTCAACTCTGTGACTTGAATGCAGACATCACAAAGAAGTTTCTGAGAATGCTGCTGTCTCCTTTTTATATGTAATCCCGTTTCCAACGAAATCCTCAAAGCTAGCCAAATATCCACTTGCAGATTCCACGAAAACAGTGTTTCAAAACTGCTCCTTCCAAACGATGGTTCAATCCTGTTAGTTGAGCAAACACATCACAAATAAGTTTCTGAGAACGCTTCCGTCTAGTTTTTATGGGAAGATATTTCCTTTTTCAACATAGGCCTGAAAGCGCTCCAAATGTCCACTTCCAGATACTACAAAAAGAGTGTTTCAAATCTGCTCTATGAATGGGAATGTTCTACTCTGTGACTTGAATGCAACATCCCAAAGAAGTTTCTGAGAATGCTTCTGTCTAGAGTTTATCTGAAGTACATACCCGTTTCCAACGAAATCCTCAAAGCTATCCAAATATCCTCTTGCAGATTCTACAAAAAGAGTGTTTCAAAGCTGCTCTTTGCAAAGAAAGGTTCAACTCTGTCAGTAGAGGGCACACATCATGAACAAGTTTCTGAGAATGCTTCTGTCTAGTTTTTATGGGAAGATATTTCCTTTTTCACGTTAGGCCTGAAAGCACGCCAAATGTTCACTTATAGACACTACAAAAAGAGTGTTTCAAACCTGCTCTGTGAAAGGGAATGTTCAACACTGTGACTTCAATTGAAACATCCCAAAGAAGTTTCTGAGAATGCTTCTGTCTAGAGTTTATCTGAAGACATTCCCGTTTCCCAAGAAATCCTCAAAGCTATCCAAATATCCTCTTGCAGATTCTACAAAAAGAGTGTTTCAAAACTGCTCTTTGCAAAGAAAGGTTCAACTCTGTCAGTAGAGGGCACACATCACAAACAAGTTTCTGAGAATGCTTCTGTCTAGTTTTTATGGGAAGATATTTCCTTTTTCACCTTAGGCCTGAAAGCAATCCAAATGTTCACTTACAGACACTACAAAAAGAGTGTTTCAAACCTGCTCTGTGAAAGGGAGTGTTCAATTCTGTGACTTGAATGCAAACATCACAAAGTAGTTTCTGACAATGCTGCTGTCTGCTTTTTATACGTATTCCCGTTTCCAACGAAATCCTCCAAGCTGGCCTAATACCCACTTGCATATTCCACAAAAATAGTGTTTCAAAACTGCTCCCTCAAAAGAAAGGTTCAACTCTGTTTGCTGAGTAGATACATCATGAAAAAAGTTCTGACATTGCTTCTATCTAGTTTTTATTGGAAGATATCTCCTTTTTTCACCGTAGACCTGAAAGCGCTCCAAATGTCCACTTCCAGATAGTACAAAAAGAGTGTTTCAAACCTGCTCTATGAAAGGGAATGTTCAACACTGGGACTTCAATTGAAACATCCCAAAGCAGTTTCTGAGAATGCTTCTGTCTAGAGTTTACATGAAGACATTCCCGTTTCCAACGAAATCCTCAAAGCTATCCAAATATCCTCTTGCAGATTTTACAAAAAGTGTGTCTCAGAACTGCTCTATCAAAACAAAGGTTCAACACTGTCAGTTGAGGGCACACATCACAAATAAGTTTCTGAGAATGCTTCTGTCTAGTTTTCATGGGAAGATATTTCCTTTTTCACCATAGGCCTGAAAGCGATCCAAATGTCCACATCCAGATACTACAAAAAGAGTGTTTCAAACCTGCTCTATGAAAGGGAATGTTCAACTCTGTGACTTGAATGCAAACATCACAAAGAAGTTTCTGAGAATGCTGCTGTCTCCTTTTTATATGTAATCCCGTTTCCAACGAAATCCTCAAAGCTAGCCAAATATCCACTTGCAGATTCCATGAAAACAGTGTTTCAAAACTGCTCCTTCAAAACGATGGTTCAATCCTGTTAGTTGAGCAAGCACATCACAAATAAGTTTCTGAGAATGCTTCCGTCTAGTTTTTATGGGAAGATATTTCCTTTTTCAACATAGGCCTGAAAGCGCTCCAAATGTCCACTTCCAGATACTACAAAAAGAGTGTTTCAAATCTGCTCTATGAATGGGAATGTTCTACTCTGTGACTTGAATGCAACATCCCAAAGAAGTTTCTGAGAATGCTTCTGTCTATAGTTTATCTGAAGACATACCCGTTTCCAACGAAATCCTCCAAGCTATCCAAATATCCTCTTGCAGATTCTACAAAAAGAGTGTTTCAAAGCTGCTCTTTGCAAAGAAAGGTTCAACTCTGTCAGTAGAGGGCACACATCACGAACAAGTTTCTGAGAATGCTTCTGTCTAGTTTTTATGGGAAGATATTTCCTTTTTCACGTTAGGCCTGAAAGCACGCCAAATGTTCACTTATAGACACTACAAAAAGAGTGTTTCAAACCTGCTCTGTGAAAGGGAATGTTCAACACTGTGACTTCAATTGAAATATCCCAAAGAAGTTTCTGAGAATGCTTCTGTCTAGAGTTTATCTGAAGACATTCCCGTTTCCCAAGAAATCCTCAAAGCTATCCAAATATCCTCTTGCAGATTCTACAAAAAGAGTGTTTCAAAACTGGTCTTTGCAAAGAAAGGTTCAACTCTGTCAGTAGAGGGCACACATCACAAACAAGTTTCTGAGAATGCTTCCGTCTAGTTTTTATGGGAAGATATTTCCTTTTTCAACATAGGCCTGAAAGCGCTCCAAATGTCCACTTCCAGATACTACAAAAAGAGTGTTTCAAATCTGCTCTATGAATGGGAATGTTCTACTCTGTGACTTGAATGCAACATCCCAAAGAAGTTTCTGAGAATGCTTCTGTCTAGAGTATATCTGAAGACATACCCGTTTCCAACGAAATCCTCAAAGCTATCCAAATATCCTCTTGCAGATTCTACAAAAAGTGTGTTTCAAAGCTGCTCTTTGCAAAGAAAGGTTCAACTCTGTCAGTAGAGGGCACACATCACGAACAAGTTTCTGAGAATGCTTCTGTCTGGTTTTTATGGGAAGATATTTCCTTTTTCACGTTACGCCTGAAAGCACGCCAAATGTTCACTTATAGACACTACAAAAAGAGTGTTTCAAACCTGCTCTGTGAAAGGGAATGTTCAACACTGTGACTTCAATTGAAACATCCCAAAGAAGTTTCTGAGAATGCTTCTGTCTAGAGTTTATCTGAAGACATTCCCGTTTCCCAAGAAATCCTCAAAGCTATCCAAATATCCTCTTGCAGATTCTACAAAAGGAGTGTTTCAAAACTGCTCTTTGCAAAGAAAGGTTCAACTCTGTCAGTAGAGGGCACACATCACAAACAAGTTTCTGAGAGTGCTTCTGTCTAGTTTTTATGGGAAGATATTTCCTTTTTCACGTTACGCCTGAAAGCACGCCAAATGTTCACTTATAGACACTACAAAAAGAGAGTTTCAAACCTGCTCTGTGAAAGGGAGTGTTCAATTCTGTGACTTGAATGCAAACATCACAAAGTAGTTTCTGACAATGCTGCTGTCTGCTTTTTATACGTATTCCCGTTTCCAACGAAATCCTCCAAGCTGGCCTAATACCCACTTGCATATTCCACAAAAGGAGTGTTTCAAAACTGCTCTCTCAAAAGAAAGGTTCAACTCTGTTTGCTGAGTAGATACATCATGAAAAAAGTTCTGACATTGCTTCTATCTAGTTTTTATTGGAAGATATCTCCTTTTTCACCGTAGACCTGAAAGCGCTCCAAATGTCCACTTCCAGATAGTACAAAAAGAGTGTTTCAAACCTGCTCTATGAAAGGGAATGTTCAACACTGGGACTTCAATTGAAACATCCCAAAGCAGTTTCTGAGAATGCTTCTGTCTAGAGTTTACATGAAGACATTCCCGTTTCCAACGAAATCCTCAAAGCTATCCAAATATCCTCTTGCAGATTTTACAAAAAGTGTGTTTCAGAACTGCTCTATCAAAACAAAGGTTCAACACTGTCAGTTGAGTGCACACATCACAAATAAGTTTGCTGAGAATGCTTCTGTCTAGTTTTCATGGGAAGATATTTCCTTTTTCACCATAGGCCTGAAAGCGATCCAAATGTCCACATCCAGATACTACAAAAAGAGTGTTTCAAACCTGCTCTATGAAAGGGAATGTTCAACTCTGTGACTTGAATGCAAACATCACAAAGTAGTTTCTGAGAATGCTGCTGTCTGCTTTTTGTATGTAATCCCGTTTCCAACGAAATCCTCCCAGCTAGCCAAATATCCACTTGCAGATTCCGCAAAAAGAGTGTTTCAAAACTGCTCCTTCAAAACGATGGTTTAGTTCTGTTAGTTGAGTACATACATCACAGATAAGTTTCTGAGAATGCTTCTGTCTAGTTTTTATGGGAGGATATTTCCTTTTTCAACACAAGCCTGAATGCGCTCCGAATGGACACTTCCAGATATGACAAAAGGCGTGTTTCAAACCTGCTCTCTCAAAGGGAATGTTCAACTCTGTGACTTCAATGCAAACATCACAAAGAAGTTTCTGAGAATGCTGCTGTCTCCTTTTTACATGTATTCCCGTTTCCAACGAAATCCTCAAAGCTGCCCTAATATCCACTTGCATATTCCACAAAAAGAGTGTTGCAAAACTGCTCTCTCAAAAGAAAGGTTCAACTCTGTTAGCTGAGTAGATCCATCACAGAAAAGTTTCTGACATTGCTTCTATCTAGATTTTCTTGGAAGATATTTCCATTTTCACCGTCGTCCTGAAAGCGCTCCAAATGTCCACTTCCAGGGAATGCAGAAAGAGTGTTTCCAACCTGCTCTATAAAAGGGAATGTTCAACACTGGGACTTCAATCGAAACATCCCAACGAAGTTTCTGAGAATGCTTCTGTCTAGAGTTTATATGAAGCCATTCCCGTTTGCAACGAAATCCTCAAAGCTATCCAAATATCCTCTTGCAGATTTTACAAAAAGAGTGTTTCAAAACTGCTCTATCAAAAGAAAGGTTCAACTCTGTTAGTTGAGGGCACACATCACAAATAAACTTCTGAGAATGCTTCTGTCTAGTTTTTACGGGAAGATATTTCCTTTTTCACCATAGGCCTGAAAGCGCTCCAAATGTCCTCATCCAGATACTACAAAAAGAGTGTTTCCAACCTGCTCTATGAAAGGGAATGCTCAACTCTGTGAATTGAATGCAGACATCACAAAGAAGTTTCTGAGAATGCTGCTGTCTCCTTTTTATATGTAATCCCGTTTCCAACGAAATCCTCAAAGCTAGCCAAATATCCACTTGCAGATTCCACGAAAACAGTGTTTCAAAACTGCTCCTTCAAAACGATGGTTCAATCCTGTTAGTTGAGCAAACACATCACAAATAAGTTTCTGAGAATGCTTCCGTCTAGTTTTTATGGGAAGATATTTCCTTTTTCAACATAGGCCTGAAAGCGCTCCAAATGTCCACTTCCAGATACTACAAAAAGAGTGTTTCAAACCTGCTCTGTGAAAGGGAATGTTCAACACTGTGACTTCAATTGAAACATCCCAAAGAAGTTTCTGAGAATGCTTCTGTCTAGAGTTTATCTGAAGACATTCCCGTTTCCCAAGAAATCCTGAAAGCTATCCAAATATCCTCTTGCAGATTCTACAAAAAGAGTGTTTCAAAACTGCTCTTTGCAAAGAAAGGTTCAACTCTGTCAGTAGAGGGCACACATCACAAACAAGTTTCTGAGAATGCTTCTGTCTAGTTTTTATGGGAAGATATTTCCTTTTTCACCTTAGGCCTGAAAGCACGCCAAATGTTCACTTATAGACACTACAAAAAGAGTGTTTCAAACCTGCTCTGTGAAAGGGAGTGTTCAATTCTGTGACTTGAATGCAAACATCACAAAGTAGTTTCTGACAATGCTGCTGTCTGCTTTTTATACGTATTCCCGTTTCCAACGAAATCCTCCAAGCTGGCCTAATACCCACTTGCATATTCCACAAAAAGAGTGTTTCAAAACTGCTCTCTCAAAAGAAAGGTTCAACTCTGTTAGCTGAGTAGATACATCATGAAAAAAGTTCTGACATTGCTTCTATCTAGTTTTTATTGGAAGATATCTCCTTTTTCACCGTAGACCTGAAAGCGCTCCAAATGTCCACTTCCAGATAGTACAAAAAGAGTGTTTCAAACCTGCTCTATGAATGGGAATGTTCAACACTGGGACTTCAATTGAAACATCCCAAAGCAGTTTCTGAGAATGCTTCTGTGTAGAGTTTACATGAAGACATTCCCGTTTCCAACGAAATCCTCAAAGCTATCCAAATATCCTCTTGCAGATTTTACAAAAAGTGTGTTTCAGAACTGCTCTATCAAAACAAAGGTTCAACACTGTCAGTTGAGGGCACACATCACAAATAAGTTTCTGAGAATGCTTCTGTCTAGTTTTCATGGGAAGATATTTCCTTTTTCACCATAGGCCTGAAAGCGATCCAAATGTCCACATCCAGATACTACAAAAAGAGTGTTTCAAACCTGCTCTATGAAAGGGAATGTTCAACTCTGTGACTTGAATGCCAACATCACAAAGAAGTTTCTGAGAATGCTGCTGTCTGCTTTTTGTATGTAATCCCGTTTCCAACGAAATCCTCCCAGCTAGCCAAATATCCACTTGCAGATTCCGCAAAAAGAGTGTTTCAAAACTGCTCCTTCAAAACGATGGTTTAGTTCTGTTAGTTGAGTACATACATCACAGATAAGTTTCTGAGAATGCTTCTGTCTAGTTTTTATGGGAGGATATTTCCTTTTTCAACACAAGCCTGAATGCGCTCCGAATGGACACTTCCAGATATGACAAAAGGCGTGTTTCAAACCTGCTCTCTCAAAGGGAATGTTCAACTGCTGTGACTTCAATGCAAACATCACAAAGAAGTTTCTGAGAATGCTGCTGTCTGCTTTTTACATGTATTCCCGTTTCCAACGAAATCCTCAAAGCTGCCCTAATATCCACTTGCATATTCCACAAAAAGAGTGTTGCAAAACTGCTCTCTCAAAAGAAAGGTTCAACTCTGTTAGCTGAGTAGATCCATCACATAAAAGTTTCTGACATTGCTTCTATCCAGATTTTATTGGAAGATATTTCCATTTTCACCGTCGTCCTGAAAGCGCTCCAAATGTCCACTTCCAGGGAATGCAGAAAGAGTGTTTCCAACCTGCTCTATAAAAGGGAATGTTCAACACTGGGACTTCAATCGAAACATCCCGACGAAGTTTCTGAGAATGCTTCTGTCTAGAGTTTATATGAAGCCATTCCCGTTTGCAACGAAATCCTCAAAGCTATCCAAATATCCTCTTGCAGATTTTACAAAAAGAGTGTTTCAAAACTGCTCTATCAAAAGAAAGGTTCAACTCTGTTAGTTGAGGGCACACATCACAAATAAACTTCTGAGAATGCTTCTGTCTAGTTTTTACGGGAAGATATTTCCGTTTTCACCATACGCCTGAAAGCGCTCCAAATGTCCTCATCCAGATACTACAAAAAGAGTGTTTCCAACCTGCTCTATGAAAGGGAATGCTCAACTCTGTGACTTGAATGCAGACATCACAAAGAAGTTTCTGAGAATGCTGCTGACTCCTTTTTATATGTAATCCCGTTTCCAACGAAATCCTCAAAGCTAGCCAAATATCCACTTGCAGATTCCACGAAAACAGTGTTTCAAAACTGCTCCTTCAAAACGATGGTTCAATTCTGTTAGTTGAGCAAACACATCACACGTAAGTTTCTGAGAATGCTTCCGTCTAGTTTTTATGGGAAGATATTTCCTTTTTCAACATAGGCCTGAAAGCGCTCCAAATGTCCACTTCCAGATACTACAAAAAGAGTGTTTCAAATCTGCTCTATGAATGGGAATGTTCTACTCTGTGACTTGAATGCAACATCCCAAAGAAGTTTCTGAGAATGCTTCTGTCTAGAGTTTATCTGAAGACATACCCGTTTCCAACGAAATCCTCAAAGCTATCCAAATATCCTCTTGCAGATTCTACAAAAAGAGTGTTTCAAAGCTGCTCTTTGCAAAGAAAGGTTCAACTCTGTCAGTAGAGGGCACACATCATGAACAAGTTTCTGAGAATGCTTCTGTCTAGTTTTTATGGGAAGATATTTCCTTTTTCACGTTAGGCCTGAAAGCACGCCAAATGTTCACTTATAGACACTACAAAAAGAGTGTTTCAAACCTACTCTGTGAAAGGGAATGTTCAACACTGTGACTTCAATTGAAACATCCCAAAGAAGTTTCTGAGAATGCTTCTGTCTAGAGTTTATCTGAAGACATTCCCGTTTCCCAAGAAATCTTCAAAGCTATCCAAATATCCTCTTGCAGATTCTACAAAAAGAGTGTTTCAAAACTGCTCTTTGCAAAGAAAGGTTCAACTCTGTCAGTAGAGGGCACACAACACAAACAAGTTTCTGAGAATGCTTCTGTCTAGTTTTTATGGGAAGATATTTCCTTTTTCACCTTAGGCCTGAAAGCAATCCAAATGTTCACTTACAGACACTACAAAAAGAGTGTTTCAAACCTGCTCTGTGAAAGGGAGTGTTCAATTCTGTGACTTGAATGCAAACATCACAAAGTAGTTTCTGACAATGCTGCTGTCTGCTTTTTATACGTATTCCCGTTTCCAAGGGAAATCCTCCAAGCTGGCCTAATACCCACTTGCATATTCCACAAAAAGAGTGTTTCAAAACTGCTCTCTCAAAAGAAAGGTTCAACTCTGTTTGCTGAGTAGATACATCATGAAAAAAGTTCTGACATTGCTTCTATCTAGTTTTTATTGGAAGATATCTCCTTTTTCACCGTAGACCTGAAAGCGCTCCAAATGTCCACTTCCAGATAGTACAAAAAGAGTGTTTCAAACCTGCTCTATGAATGGGAATGTTCAACACTGGGACTTCAATTGAAACATCCCAAAGCAGTTTCTGAGAATGCTTCTGTCTAGAGTTTACATGAAGACATTCCCGTTTCCAACGAAATCCTCAAAGCTATCCAAATATCCTCTTGCAGATTTTACAAAAAGTGTGTTTCAGAACTGCTCTATCAAAACAAAGGTTCAACACTGTCAGTTGAGGGCACACATCACAAATAAGTTTCTGAGAATGCTTCTGTCTAGTTTTCATGGGAAGATATTTCCTTTTTCACCATAGGCCTGAAAGCGATCCAAATGTCCACATCCAGATACTACAAAAAGAGTGTTTCAAACCTGCTCTATGAAAGGGAATGTTCAACTCTGTGACTTGAATGCAAACATCACAAAGAAGTTTCTGAGAATGCTGCTGTCTGCTTTTTGTATGTAATCCCGTTTCCAACGAAATCCTCCCAGCTAGGCAAATATCCACTTGCAGATTCCGCAAAAAGAGTGTTTCAAAATTGCTCCTTCAAAACGATGGTTTAGTTCTGTTAGTTGAGTACATACATCACAGATAAGTTTCTGAGAATGCTTCTGTCTAGTTTTTATGGGAGGATATTTCCTTTTTCAACACAAGCCTGAATGCGCTCCGAATGGACACTTCCAGATATGACAAAAGGCGTGTTTCAAACCTGCTCTCTCAAAGGGAATGTTCAACTCTGTGACTTCAATGCAAACATCACAAAGAAGTTTCTGAGAATGCTGCTGTCTGCTTTTTACATGTATTCCCGTTTCCAACGAAATCCTCAAAGCTGCCCTAATATCCACTTGCATATTCCACAAAAAGAGTGTTGCAAAACTGCTCTCTCAAAAGAAAGGTTCAACTCTGTTAGCTGAGTAGATCCATCACATAAAAGTTTCTGACATTGCTTCTATCTAGATTTTCTTGGAAGATATTTCCATTTTCACCGTCGTCCTGAAAGCGCTCCAAATGTCCACTTCCAGGGAATGCAGAAAGAGTGTTTCCAACCTGCTCTATAAAAGGGAATGTTCAACACTGGGACTTCAATCGAAACATCCCAACGAAGTTTCTGAGAATGCTTCTGTCTAGAGTTTATATGAAGCCATTCCCGTTTGCAACGAAATCCTCAAAGCTATCCAAATATCGTCTTGCAGATTTTACAAAAAGAGTGTTTCAAAACTGCTCTATCAAAAGAAAGGTTCAACTCTGTTAGTTGAGGGCACACATCACAAATAAACTTCTGAGAATGCTTCTGTCTAGTTTTTACGGGAAGATATTTCCTTTTTCACCATACGCCTGAAAGCGCTCCAAATGTCCTCATCCAGATACTACAAAAAGAGTGTTTCCAACCTGCTCTATGAAAGGGAATGCTCAACTCTGTGAATTGAATGCAGACATCACAAAGAAGTTTCTGAGAATGCTGCTGTCTCCTTTGTATATGTAATCCCGTTTCCAACGAAATCCTCAAAGCTAGCCAAATATCCACTTGCAGATTCCACGAAAACAGTGTTTCAAAACTGCTCCTTCAAAACGATGGTTCAATCCTGTTAGTTGAGCAAACACATCACAAATAAGTTTCTGAGAATGCTTCCGTCTAGTTTTTATGGGAAGATATTTCCTTTTTCAACATAGGCCTGAAAGCGCTCCAAATGTCCACTTCCAGATACTACAAAAAGAGTGTTTCAAATCTGCTCTATGAATGGGAATGTTCTACTCTGTGACTTGAATGCAACATCCCAAAGAAGTTTCTGAGAATGCTTCTGTCTAGAGTTTATCTGAAGACATACCCGTTTCCAACGAAATCCTCCAAGCTATCCAAATATCCTCTTGCAGATTCTACAAAAAGAGTGTTTCAAAGCTGCTCTTTGCAAAGAAAGGTTCAACTCTGTCAGTAGAGGGCACACATCATGAACAAGTTTCTGAGAATGCTTCTGTCTAGTTGTTATGGGAAGATATTTCCTTTTTCACGTTAGGCCTGAAAGCACGCCAAATGTTCACTTATAGACACTACAAAAAGAGTGTTTCAAACCTGCTCTGTGAAAGGGAATGTTCAACACTGTGACTTCAATTGAAACATCCCAAAGAAGTTTCTGAGAATGCTTCTGTCTAGTTTTTATGGGAAGATATTTCCTTTTTCACCTTAGGCCTGAAAGCAATCCATATGTTCACTTACAGACACTACAAAAAGAGTGTTTCAAACCTGCTCTGTGAAAGGGAGTGTTCAATTCTGTGACTTGAATGCAAACATCACAAAGTAGTTTCTGACAATGCTGCTGTCTGCTTTTTATACGTATTCCCGTTTCCAACGAAATCCTCCAAGCTGGCCTAATACCCACTTGCATATTCCACAAAAAGAGTGTTTCAAAACTGCTCTCTCAAAAGAAAGGTTCAACTCTGTTAGCTGAGTAGATACATCATGAAAAAAGTTCTGACATTGCTTCTATCTAGTTTTTATTGGAAGATATCTCCTTTTTCACTGTAGACCTGAAAGCGCTCCAAATGTCCACTTCCAGATAGTACAAAAAGAGTGTTTCAAACCTGCTCTATGAATGGGAATGTTCAACACTGGGACTTCAATTGAAACATCCCAAAGCAGTTTCTGAGAATGCTTCTGTGTAGAGTTTACATGAAGACATTCCCGTTTCCAACGAAATCCTCAAAGCTATCCAAATATCCTCTTGCAGATTTTACAAAAAGTGTGTTTCAGAACTGCTCTATCAAAACAAAGGTTCAACACTGTCAGTTGAGGGCACACATCACAAATAAGTTTCTGAGAATGCTTCTGTCTAGTTTTCATGGGAAGATATTTCCTTTTTCACCATAGGCCTGAAAGCGATCCAAATGTCCACATCCAGATACTACAAAAAGAGTGTTTCAAACCTGCTCTATGAAAGGGAATGTTCAACTCTGTGACTTGAATGCAAACATCACAAAGAAGTTTCTGAGAATGCTGCTGTCTGCTTTTTGTATGTAATCCCGTTTCCAACGAAATCCTCCCAGCTAGCCAAATATCCACTTGCAGATTCCGCAAAAAGAGTGTTTCAAAACTGCTCCTTCAAAACGATGGTTTAGTTCTGTTAGTTGAGTACATACATCACAGATAAGTTTCTGAGAATGCTTCTGTCTAGTTTTTATGGGAGGATATTTTCCTTTTTCAACACAAGCCTGAATGCGCTCCGAATGGACACTTCCAGATATGACAAAAGGCGTGTTTCAAACCTGCTCTCTCAAAGGGAATGTTCAACTCTGTGACTTCAATGCAAACATCACAAAGAAGTTTCTGAGAATGCTTGCTGTCTGCTTTTTACATGTATTCCCGTTTCCAACGAAATCCTCAAAGCTGCCCTAATATCCACTTGCATATTCCACAAAAAGAGTGTTGCGAAACTGCTCTCTCAAAAGAAAGGTTCAACTCTGTTAGCTGAGTAGATCCATCACAGAAAAGTTTCTGACGTTGCTCTATCCAGATTTTATTGGAAGATATTTCCATTTTCACCGTCGTCCTGAAAGCGCTCCAATTGTCCACTTCCAGGGAATGCAGAAAGAGTGTTTCCAACCTGCTCTATAAAAGGGAATGTTCAACACTGGGACTTCAATCGAAACATCCCGACGAAGTTTCTGAGAATGCTTTCTGTCTAGAGTTTATATGAAGCCATTCCCGTTTGCAACGAAATCCTCAAAGCTATCCAAATATCCTCTTGCAGATTTTACAAAATGAGTGTTTCAAAACTGCTCTATCAAAAGAAAGTTTCAACTCTGTTAGTTGAGGGCACACATCACAAATAAACTTCTGAGAATGCTTCTGTCTAGTTTTTACGGGAAGATATTTCCTTTTTCACCATACGCCTGAAAGCGCTCCAAATGTCCTCATCCAGATACTACAAAAAGAGTGTTTCCAACCTGCTCTATGAAAGGGAATGCTCAACTCTGTGAATTGAATGCAGACATCACAAAGAAGTTTCTGAGAATGCTGCTGTCTCCTTTTTATATGTAATCCCGTTTGCAACGAAATCCTCAAAGCTATCCAAATATCCTCTTGCAGATTCTACAAAAAGTGTGTTTCAAAGCTGCTCTTTGCAAAGAAAGGTTCAACTCTGTCAGTAGAGGGCACACATCACGAACAAGTTTCTGAGAATACTTCTGTCTAGTTTTTATGGGAAGATATTTCCTTTTTCACGTTAGGCCTGAAAGCACGCCAAATGTTCACTTATAGACACTACAAAAAGAGTGTTTGAAACCTGCTCTGTGAAAGGGAATGTTCAACACTGTGACTTCAATTGAAACATCCCAAAGAAGTTTCTGAGAATGCTTCTGTCTAGAGTTTATCTGAAGACATTCCCGTTTCCCAAGAAATCCTCAAAGCTATCCAAATATCCTCTTGCAGATTCTACAAAAAGAGTGTTTCAAAACTGCTCTTTGCAAAGAAAGGTTCAACTCTGTCAGTAGAGGGCACACATCACAAACAAGTTTCTGAGAATGCTTCTGTCTAGTTTTTATGGGAAGATATTTCCTTTTTCACCTTAGGCCTGAAAGCAATGCAAATGTTCACTTACAGACACTACAAAAAGAGTGTTTCAAACCTGCTCTGTGAAAGGGAGTGTTCAATTCTGTGACTTGAATGCAAACATCACAAAGTAGTTTCTCACAATGCTGCTGTCTGCTTTTTATACGTATTCCCGTTTCCAACGAAATCCTCCAAGCTGGCCTAATACCCACTTGCATATTCCACACAAAGAGTGTTTCAAAACTGCTCTCTCAAAAGAAAGGTTCAACTACTGTTAGCTGAGTAGATACATCATGAAAAAAGTTCTGACATTGCTTCTATCTAGTTTTTATTGGAAGATATCTCCTTTTTCACCGTAGACCTGAAAGCGCTCCAAATGTCCACTTCCAGATAGTACAAAAAGAGTGTTTCAAACCTGCTCTATGAATGGGAATGTTCAACACTGGGACTTCAATTGAAACATCCCAAAGCAGTTTCTGAGAATGCTTCTGTCCAGAGTTTACATGAAGACATTCCCGTTTCCAACGAAATCCTCAAAGCTATCCAAATATCCTCTTGCAGATTTTACAAAAAGTGTGTTTCAGAACTGCTCTATCAAAACAAAGGTTCAACACTGTCAGTTGAGGGCACACATCACAAATAAGTTTCTGAGAATGCTTCTGTCTAGTTTTCATGGGAAGATATTTCCTTTTTCACCATAGGCCTGAAAGCGATCCAAATGTCCACATCCAGATACTACAAAAAGAGTGTTTCCAACCTGCTCTATGAAAGGGAATGCTCAACTCTGTGAATTGAATGCAGACATCACAAAGAAGTTTCTGAGAATGCTGCTGTCTCCTTTTTATATGTAATCCCGTTTCCAACGAAATCCTCAAAGCTAGCCAAATATCCACTTGCAGATTCCACGAAAACAGTGTTTCAAAACTGCTCCTTCAAAACGATGGTTCAATCCTGTTAGTTGAGCAAACACATCACAAATAAGTTTCTGAGAATGCTTCCGTCTAGTTTTTATGGGAAGATATTTCCTTTTTCAACATAGGCCTGAAAGCGCTCCAAATGTCCACTTCCAGATACTACAAAAAGAGTGTTTCAAATCTGCTCTATGAATGGGAATGTTCTACTCTGTGACTTGAATGCAACATCCCAAAGAAGTTTCTGGGAATGCTTCTGTCTAGAGTTTATCTGAAGACATACCCGTTTCCAACGAAATCCTCAAAGCTATCCAAATATCCTCTTGCAGATTCTACAAAAAGAGTGTTCCAAAGCTGCTCTTTGCAAAGAAAGGTTCAACTCTGTCAGTAGAGGGCACACATCACAAACAAGTTTCTGAGAATGCTTCTGTCTAGTTTTTATGGGAAGATATTTCCTTTTTCACGTTAGGCCTGAAAGCACGCCAAATGTTCACTTATAGACACTACAAAAAGAGTGTTTCAAACCTGCTCTGTGAAAGGGAATGTTCAACACTGTGACTTCAATTGAAACATCCCAAAGAAGTTTCTGAGAATGCTTCTTTCTAGAGTTTATCTGAAGACATTCCCGTTTCCCAAGAAATCCTCAAAGCTATCCAAATATCCTCTTGCAGATTCTACAAAAAGTGTGTTTCAAAACTGCTCTTTGCAAAGAAAGGTTCAACTCTGTCAGTAGAGGGCACACATCACAAACAAGTTTCTGAGAATGCTTCTGTCTAGTTTTTATGGGAAGATATTTCCTTTTTCACCTTAGGCCTGAAAGCAATCCATATGTTCACTTACAGACACTACAAAAAGAGTGTTTCAAACCTGCTCTGTGAAAGGGAGTGTTCAATTCTGTGACTTGAATGCAAACATCACAAAGTAGTTTCTGACAATGCTGCTGTCTGCTTTTTATACGTATTCCCGTTTCCAACGAAATCCTCCAAGCTGGCCTAATACCCACTTGCATATTCCACAAAGACAGTGTCAAAACTGCTCTCTCAAAAGAAAGGTTCAACTCTGTTTGCTGAGTAGATACATCATGAAAAAAGTTCTGACATTGCTTCTATCTAGTTTTTATTGGAAGATATCTCCTTTTTCACCGTAGACCTGAAAGCGCTCCAAATGTCCACTTCCAGATAGTACAAAAAGAGTGTTTCAAACCTGCTCTATGAAAGGGAATGTTCAACACTGGGACTTCAATTGAAACATCCCAAAGCAGTTTCTGAGAATGCTTCTGTCTAGAGTTTACATGAAGACATTCCCGTTTCCAACGAAATCCTCAAAGCTATGCAAATATCCTCTTGCAGATTTTACAAAAAGTGTGTTTCAGAACTGCTCTATCAAAACAAAGGTTCAACACTGTCAGTTGAGGGCACACATCACAAATAAGTTTCTGAGAATGCTTCTGTCTAGTTTTCATGGGAAGATATTTCCTTTTTCACCATAGGCCTGAAAGCGATCCAAATGTCCACATCCAGATACTACAAAAAGAGTGTTTCAAACCTGCTCTATGAAAGGGAATGTTCAACTCTGTGACTTGAATGCAAACATCACAAAGAAGTTTCTGAGAATGCTGCTGTCTGCTTTTTGTATGTAATCCCGTTTCCAACGAAATCCTCCCAGCTAGCCAAATATCCACTTGCAGATTCCGCAAAAAGAGTGTTTCAAAACTGCTCCTTCAAAACGATGGTTTAGTTCTGTTAGTTGAGTACATACATCACAGATAAGTTTCTGAGAATGCTTCTGTCTAGTTTTTATGGGAGGATATTTCCTTTTTCAACACAAGCCTGAATGCGCTCCGAATGGACACTTCCAGATATGACAAAAGGCGTGTTTCAAACCTGCTCTCTCAAAGGGAATGTTCAACTCTGTGACTTCAATGCAAACATCACAAAGAAGTTTCTGAGAATGGTGCTGTCTGCTTTTTACATGTATTCCCGTTTCCAACGAAATCCTCAAAGCTGCCCTAATATCCACTTGCATATTCCACAAAAAGAGTGTTGCAAAACTGCTCTCTCAAAAGAAAGGTTCAACTCTGTTAGCTGAGTAGATCCATCACATAAAAGTTTCTGACATTGCTTCTATCTAGATTTTCTTGGAAGATATTTCCATTTTCACCGTCGTCCTGAAAGCGCTCCAAATGTCCACTTCCAGGGAATGCAGAAAGAGTGTTTCCAACCTGCTCTATAAAAGGGAATGTTCAACACTGGGACTTCAATCGAAACATCCCAACGAAGTTTCTGAGAATGCTTCTGTCTAGAGTTTATATGAAGCCATTCCCGTTTGCAACGAAATCCTCAAAGCTATCCAAATATCCTCTTGCAGATTTTACAAAAAGAGTGTTTCAAAACTGCTCTATCAAAAGACAGGTTCAACTCTGTTAGTTGAGGGCACACATCACAAATAAACTTCTGAGAATACTTCTGTCTAGTTTTCATGGGAAGATATTTCCTTTTTCACCATAGGCCTGAAAGCGATCCAAATGTCCACATCCAGATACTACAAAAAGAGTGTTTCAAACCTGCTCTATGAAAGGGAATGCTCAACTCTGTGAATTGAATGCAGACATCACAAAGAAGTTTCTGAGAATGCTGCTGTCTCCTTTTTATATGTAATCCCATTTCCAACGAAATCCTCAAAGCTAGCCAAATATCCACTTGCAGATTCCACGAAAACAGTGTTTCAAAACTGCTCCTTCAAAACGATGGTTCAATCCTGTTAGTTGAGCAAACACATCACAAATAAGTTTCTGAGAATGCTTCCGTCTAGTTTTTATGGGAAGATATTTCCTTTTTCAACATAGGCCTGAAAGCGCTCCAAATGTCCACTTCCAGATACTACAAAAAGAGTGTTTCAAATCTGCTCTATGAATGGGAATGTTCTACTCTGTGACTTGAATGCAACATCCCAAAGAAGTTTCTGAGAATGCTTCTGTCTAGAGTTTATCTGAAGACATACCCGTTTCCAACGAAATCCTCAAAGCTATCCAAATATCCTCTTGCAGATTCTACAAAAAGTGTGTTTCAAAGCTGCTCTTTGCAAAGAAAGGTTCAACTCTGTCAGTAGAGGGCACACATCACGAACAAGTTTCTGAGAATGCTTCTGTCTAGTTTTTATGGGAAGATATTTCCTTTTTCACGTTAGGCCTGAAAGCACGCCAAATGTTCACTTATAGACACTACAAAAAGAGTGTTTCAAACCTGCTCTGTGAAAGGGAATGTTCAACACTGTGACTTCAATTGAAACATCCCAAAGAAGTTTCTGAGAATGCTTCTGTCTAGAGTTTATCTGAAGACATTCCCGTTTCCCAAGAAATCCTCAAAGCTATCCAAATATCCTCTTGCAGATTCTACAAAAAGAGTGTTTCAAAACTGCTCTTTGCAAAGAAAGGTTCAACTCTGTCAGTAGAGGGCACACATCACAAACAAGTTTCTGAGAATGCTTCTGTCTAGTTTTTATGGGAAGATATTTCCTTTTTCACCTTAGGCCTGAAAGCAATCCAAATGTTCACTTACAGACACTACAAAAAGAGTGTTTCAAACCTGCTCTGTGAAAGGGAGTGTTCAATTCTGTGACTTGAATGCAAACATCACAAAGTAGTTTCTGACAATGCTGCTGTCTGCTTTTTATACGTATTCCCGTTTCCAACGAAATCCTCCAAGCTGGCCTAATACCCACTTGCATATTCCACAAAAATAGTGTTTCAAAACTGCTCCCTCAAAAGAAAGGTTCAACTCTGTTTGCTGAGTAGATACATCATGAAAAAAGTTCTGACATTGCTTCTATCTAGTTTTTATTGGAAGATATCTCCTTTTTCACCGTAGACCTGAAAGCGCTCCAAATGTCCACTTCCAGATAGTACAAAAAGAGTGTTTCAAACCTGCTCTATGAAAGGGAATGTTCAACACTGGGACTTCAATTGAAACATCCCAAAGCAGTTTCTGAGAATGCTTCTGTCTAGAGTTTACATGAAGACATTCCCGTTTCCAACGAAATCCTCAAAGCTATCCAAATATCCTCTTGCAGATTTTACAAAAAGTGTGTTTCAGAACTGCTCTATCAAAACAAAGGTTCAACACTGTCAGTTGAGGGCACACATCACAAATAAGTTTCTGAGAATGCTTCTGTCTAGTTTTCATGGGAAGATATTTCCTTTTTCACCATAGGCCTGAAAGCGATCCAAATGTCCACATCCAGATACTACAAAAAGAGTGTTTCAAACCTGCTCTATGAAAGGGAATGTTCAACTCTGTGACTTGAATGCAAACATCACAAAGAAGTTTCTGAGAATGCTGCTGTCTGCTTTTTGTATGTAATCCCGTTTCCAACGAAATCCTCCCAGCTAGCCAAATATCCACTTGCAGATTCCGCAAAAAGAGTGTTTCAAAACTGCTCCTTCAAAACGATGGTTTAGTTCTGTTAGTTGAGTACATACATCACAGATAAGTTTCTGAGAATGCTTCTGTCTAGTTTTTCTGGGAGGATATTTCCTTTTTCAACACAAGCCTGAATGCGCTCCGAATGGACACTTCCAGATATGACAAAAGGCGTGTTTCAAACCTGCTCTCTCAAAGGGAATGTTCAACTCTGTGACTTCAATGCAAACATCACAAAGAAGTTTCTGAGAATGCTGCTGTGTGCTTTTTACATGTATTCCCGTTTCCAACGAAATCCTCAAAGCTGCCCTAATATCCACTTGCATATTCCACAAAAAGAGTGTTGCAAAACTGCTCTCTCAAAAGAAAGGTTCAACTCTGTTAGCTGAGTAGATCCATCACAGAAAAGTTTCTGACATTGCTTCTATCTAGATTTTATTGGAAGATATTTCCATTTTCACCGTCGTCCTGAAAGCGCTCCAAATGTCCACTTCCAGGGAATGCAAAAAGAGTGTTTCCAACCTGCTCTATAAAAGGGAATGTTCAACACTGGGACTTCAATCGAAACATCCCAACGAAGTTTCTGAGAATGCTTCTGTCTAGAGTTTATATGAAGCCATTCCCGTTTGCAATGAAATCCTCAAAGCTATCCAAATATCCTCTTGCAGATTTTACAAAAAGAGTGTTTCAAAACTGCTCTATCAAAAGAAAGGTTCAACTCTGTTAGTTGAGGGCACACATCACAAATAAATTTCTGAGAATGCTTCTGTCTAGTTTTTACGGGAAGATATTTCCTTTTTCACCATACGCCTGAAAGCGCTCCAAATGTCCTCATCCAGATACTACAAAAAGAGTGTTTCCAACCTGCTCTATGAAAGGGAATGCTCAACTCTGTGACTTGAATGCAGACATCACAAAGAAGTTTCTCAGAATGCTGCTGTCTCCTTTTTATATGTAATCCCGTTTCCAACGAAATCCTCAAAGCTAGCCAAATATCCACTTGCAGATTCCACGAAAACAGTGTTTCAAAACTGCTCCTTCAAAACGATGGTTCAATTCTGTTAGTTGAGCAAACACATCACAAGTAAGTTTCTGAGAATGCTTCCGTCTAGTTTTTATGGGAAGATATATCCTTTTTCAACATAGGCCTGAAAGCGCTCCAAATGTCCACTTCCAGATACTACAAAAAGAGTGTTTCAAATCTGCTCTATGAATGGGAATGTTCTACTCTGTGACTTGAATGCAACATCCCAAAGAAGTTTCTGAGAATGCTTCTGTCTAGAGTTTATCTGAAGACATACCCGTTTCCAACGAAATCCTCAAAGCTATCCAAATATCCTCTTGCAGATTCTACAAAAAGAGTGTTTCAAAGCTGCTCTTTGCAAAGAAAGGTTCAACTCTGTCAGTAGAGGGCACACATCACGAACAAGTTTCTGAGAATGCTTCTGTCTAGTGTTTATGGGAAGATATTTCCTTTTTCACGTTAGGCCTGAAAGCACGCCAAATGTTCACTTATAGACACTACAAAAAGAGTGTTTCAAACCTGCTCTGTGAAAGGGAATGTTCAACACTGTGACTTCAATTGAAACATCCCAAAGAAGTTTCTGAGAATGCTTCTGTCTAGAGTTTATCTGAGGACATTCCCGTTTCCCAAGAAATCCTCAAAGCTATCCAAATATCCTCTTGCAGATTCTACAAAAAGAGTGTTTCAAAACTGCTCTTTGCAAAGAAAGGTTCAACTCTGTCAGTAGAGGGCACACATCACAAACAAGTTTCTGAGAATGCTTCTGTCTAGTTTTTATGGGAAGATATTTCTTTTTTCACCTTAGGCCTGAAAGCAATCCAAATGTTCACTTACAGACACTACAAAAAGAGTGTTTCAAACCTGCTCTGTGAAAGGGAGTGTTCAATTCTGTGACTTGAATGCAAACATCACAAAGTAGTTTCTGACAATGCTGCTGTCTGCTTTTTATACGTATTCCCGTTTCCAACGAAATCCTCCAAGCTGGCCTAATACCCACTTGCATATTCCACAAAAAGAGTGTTTCAAAACTGCTCTCTCAAAAGAAAGGTTCAACTCTGTTTGCTGAGTAGATACATCATGAAAAAAGTTCTGACATTGCTTCTATCTAGTTTTTATTGGAAGATATCTCCTTTTTCACCGTAGACCTGAAAGCGCTCCAAATGTCCACTTCCAGATAGTACAAAAAGAGTGTTTCAAACCTGCTCTATGAATGGGAATGTTCAACACTAGGACTTCAATTGAAACATCCCAAAGCAGTTTCTGAGAATGCTTCTGTGTAGAGTTTACATGAAGACATTCCCGTTTCCAACGAAATCCTCAAAGCTATCCAAATATCCTCTTGCAGATTTTACAAAAAGTGTGTTTCAGAACTGCTCTATCAAAACAAAGGTTCAACACTGTCAGTTGAGGGCACACATCACAAATAAGTTTCTGAGAATGCTTCTGTCTAGTTTTCATGGGAAGATATTTCCTTTTTCACCATAGGCCTGAAAGCGATCCAAATGTCCACATCCAGATACTACAAAAAGAGTGTTTCAAACCTGCTCTATGAAAGGGAATGTTCAACTCTGTGACTTGAATGCAAACATCACAAAGAAGTTTCTGAGAATGCTGCTGTCTGCTTTTTGTATGTAATCCCGTTTCCAACGAAATCCTCCCAGCTAGCCAAATATCCACTTGCAGATTCCGCAAAAAGAGTGTTTCAAAACTGCTCCTTCAAAACGATGGTTTAGTTCTGTTAGTTGAGTACATACATCACAGATAAGTTTCTGAGAATGCTTCTGTCTAGTTTTTATGGGAGGATATTTCCTTTTTCAACACAAGCCTGAATGCGCTCCGAATGGACACTTCCAGATATGACAAAAGGCGTGTTTCAAACCTGCTCTCTCAAAGGGAATGTTCAACTCTGTGACTTCAATGCAAACATCACAAAGAAGTTTCTGAGAATGCTGCTGTCTGCTTTTTACATGTATTCCCGTTTCCAACGAAATCCTCAAAGCTGCCCTAATATCCACTTGCATATTCCACAAAAAGAGTGTTGCAAAACTGCTCTCTCAAAAGAAAGGTTCAACTCTGTTAGCTGAGTAGATCCATCACAGAAAAGTTTCTGACGTTGCTTCTATCTAGATTTTCTTGGAAGATATTTCCATTTTCACCGTCGTCCTGAAAGCGCTCCAAATGTCCACTTCCAGGGAATGCAGAAAGAGTGTTTCCAACCTGCTCTATAAAAGGGAATGTTCAACACTGGGACTTCAATCGAAACATCCCAACGAAGTTTCTGAGAATGCTTCTGTCTAGAGTTTATATGAAGCCATTCCCGTTTGCAACGAAATCCTCAAAGCTATCCAAATATCCTCTTGCAGATTTTACAAAAAGAGTGTTTCAAAACTGCTCTATCAAAAGAAAGGTTCAACTCTGTTAGTTGAGGGCACACATCACAAATAAACTTCTGAGAATGCTTCTGTCTAGTTTTTACGGGAAGATATTTCCTTTTTCACCATACGCCTGAAAGCGCTCCAAATGTCCTCATCCAGATACTACAAAAAGAGTGTTTCCAACCTGCTCTATGAAAGGGAATGCTCAACTCTGTGAATTGAATGCAGACATCACAAAGAAGTTTCTGAGAATGCTGCTGTCTCCTTTTTATATGTAATCCCGTTTCCAACGAAATCCTCAAAGCTAGCCAAATATCCACTTGCAGATTCCACGAAAACAGTGTTTCAAAACTGCTCCTTCAAAACGATGGTTCAATCCTGTTAGTTGAGCAAACACATCACAAATAAGTTTCTGAGAATGCTTCCGTCTAGTTTTTATGGGAAGATATTTCCTTTTTCAACATAGGCCTGAAAGCGCTCCAAATGTCCACTTCCAGATACTACAAAAAGAGTGTTTCAAATCTGCTCTATGAATGGGAATGTTCTACTCTGTGACTTGAATGCAACATCCCAAAGAAGTTTCTGAGAATGCTTCTGTCTAGAGTTTATCTGAAGACATACCCGTTTCCAAGGAAATCCTCCAAGCTATCCAAATATCCTCTTGTAGATTCTACAGAAAGAGTGTTTCAAAGCTGCTCTTTGCAAAGAAAGGTTCAACTCTGTCAGTAGAGGGCACACATCACGAACAAGTTTCTGAGAATGCTTCTGTCTAGTTTTTATGGGAAGATATTTCCTTTTTCACGTTAGGCCTGAAAGCACGCCAAATGTTCACTTATAGACACTACAAAAAGAGTGTTTCAAACCTGCTCTGTGAAAGGGAATGTTCAACACTGTGACTTCAATTGAAACATCCCAAAGAAGTTTCTGAGAATGCTTCTGTCTAGAGTTTATCTGAAGACATTCCCGTTTCCCAAGAAATCCTCAAAGCTATCCAAATATCCTCTTGCAGATTCTACAAAAAGAGTGTTTCAAAACTGCTCTTTGCAAAGAAAGGTTCAACTCTGTCAGTAGAGGGCACACATCACAAACAAGTTTCTGAGAATGCTTCTGTCTAGTTTTTATGGGAAGATATTTCCTTTTTCACCTTAGGCCTGAAGCAATCCAAATGTTCACTTACAGACACTACAAAAAGAGTGTTTCAAACCTGCTCTGTGAAAGGGAGTGTTCAATTCTGTGACTTGAATGCAAACATCACAAAGTAGTTTCTGACAATGCTGCTGTCTGCTTTTTATACGTATTCCCGTTTCCAACGAAATCCTCCAAGCTGGCCTAATACCCACTTGCATATTCCACAAAAAGAGTGTTTCAAAACTGCTCTCTCAAAAGAAAGGTTCAACTCTGTTTGCTGAGTAGATACATCATGAAAAAAGTTCTGACATTGCTTCTATCTAGTTTTTATTGGAAGATATCTCCTTTTTCACCGTAGACCTGAAAGCGCTCCAAATGTCCACTTCCAGATAGTACAAAAAGAGTGTTTCAAACCTGCTCTATGAATGGGAATGTTCAACACTGGGACTTCAATTGAAACATCCCAAAGCAGTTTCTGAGAATGCTTCTGTCTAGAGTTTACATGAAGACATTCCCGTTTCCAACGAAATCCTCAAAGCTATCCAAATATCCTCTTGCAGATTTTACAAAAAGTGTGTTTCAGAACTGCTCTATCAAAACAAAGGTTCAACACTGTCAGTTGAGGGCACACATCACAAATAAGTTTCTGAGAATGCTTCTGTCTAGTTTTCATGGGAAGATATTTCCTTTTTCACCATAGGCCTGAAAGCGATCCAAATGTCCACATCCAGATACTACAAAAAGAGTGTTTCAAACCTGCTCTATGAAAGGGAATGTTCAACTCTGTGACTTGAATGCAAACATCACAAAGAAGTTTCTGAGAATGCTGCTGTCTCCTTTTTATATGTAATCCCGTTTCCAACGAAATCCTCAAAGCTAGCCAAATATCCACTTGCAGATTCCATGAAAACAGTGTTTCAAAACTGCTCCTTCAAAACGATGGTTCAATCCTGTTAGTTGAGCAAGCACATCACAAATAAGTTTCTGAGAATGCTTCCGTCTAGTTTTTATGGGAAGATATTTCCTTTTTCAACATAGGCCTGAAAGCGCTCCAAATGTCCACTTCCAGATACTACAAAAAGAGTGTTTCAAATCTGCTCTATGAATGGGAATGTTCTACTCTGTGACTTGAATGCAACATCCCAAAGAAGTTTCTGAGAATGCTTCTGTCTATAGTTTATCTGAAGACATACCCGTTTCCAACGAAATCCTCCAAGCTATCCAAATATCCTCTTGCAGATTCTACAAAAAGAGTGTTTCAAAGCTGCTCTTTGCAAAGAAAGGTTCAACTCTGTCAGTAGAGGGCACACATCACGAACAAGTTTCTGAGAATGCTTCTGTCTAGTTTTTATGGGAAGATATTTCCTTTTTCACGTTACGCCTGAAAGCACGCCAAATGTTCACTTATAGACACTACAAAAAGAGTGTTTCAAACCTGCTCTGTGAAAGGGAATGTTCAACACTGTGACTTCAATTGAAATATCCCAAAGAAGTTTCTGAGAATGCTTCTGTCTAGAGTTTATCTGAAGACATTCCCGTTTCCCAAGAAATCCTCAAAGCTATCCAAATATCCTCTTGCAGATTCTACAAAAAGAGTGTTTCAAAACTGGTCTTTGCAAAGAAAGGTTCAACTCTGTCAGTAGAGGGCACACATCACAAACAAGTTTCTGAGAATGCTTCTGTCTAGTTTTTATGGGAAGATATTTCCTTTTTCACCTTAGGCCTGAAAGCAATCCATATGTTCACTTACAGACACTACAAAAAGAGTGTTTCAAACCTGCTCTGTGAAAGGGAGTGTTCAATTCTGTGACTTGAATGCAAACATCACAAAGTAGTTTCTGACAATGCTGCTGTCTGCTTTTTATACGTATTCCCGTTTCCAACGAAATCCTCCAAGCTGGCCTAATACCCACTTGCATATTCCACAAAAAGAGTGTTTCAAAACTGCTCTCTCAAAAGAAAGGTTCAACTCTGTTTGCTGAGTAGATACATCATGAAAAAAGTTCTGACATTGCTTCTGTCTAGTTTTTACGGGAAGATATTTCCTTTTTCACCAAACGCCTGAAAGCGCTCCAAATGTCCTCATCCAGATACTACAAAAAGAGTGTTTCAAACCTGCTCTATGAAAGGGAATGTTCAACACTGGGACTTCAATTGAAACATCCCAAAGCAGTTTCTGAGAATGCTTCTGTCTAGAGTTTACATGAAGACATTCCCGTTTCCAACGAAATCCTCAAAGCTATCCAAATATCCTCTTGCAGATTTTACAAAAAGTGTGTTTCAGAACTGCTCTATCAAAACAAAGGTTCAACACTGTCAGTTGAGGGCACACATCACAAATAAGTTTCTGAGAATGCTGCTCTCTGCTTTTTGTATGTAATCCCGTTTCCAACGAAATCCTCCCAGCTAGCCAAATATCCACTTGCAGATTCCGCAAAAAGAGTGTTTCAAAACTGCTCCGTCAAAACGATGGTTTAGTTCTGTTAGTTGAGTACATACATCACAAATAAGTTTCTGAGAATGCTTCTGTATACTTTTTATGGGAGGATATTTCCTTTTTCAACACAAGCCTGAATGCGCTCCGAATGGACACTTCCAGATATGACAAAAGGCGTGTTTCAATCCTGCTCTCTCAAAGGGAATGTTCAACTCTGTGACTTCAATGCAAACATCACAAAGAAGTTTACTGAGAATGCGCTGTCTGCTTTTTACATGTATTCCCGTTTCCAACGAAATCCTCAAAGCTGCCCTAATATCCACTTGCATATTCCACAAAAAGAGTGTTGCAAAACTGCTCTCTCAAAAGAAAGGTTCAACTCTGTTAGCTGAGTAGATCCATCACATAAACGTTTCTGACATTGCTTCTATCTAGATTTTATTAGAAGATATTTCCATTTTCACCGTCGTCCTGAAAGCGCTCCAAATGTCCACTTCCAGGGAATGCAGAAAGAGTGTTTCCAACCTGCTCTATAAAAGGGAATGTTCAACACTGGGACTTCAATCGAAACATCCCAACGAAGTTTCTGAGAATGCTTCTGTCTAGAGTTTATATGAAGCCATTCCCGTTTGCAACGAAATCCTCAAAGCTATCCAAATATCCTCTTGCAGATTTTACAAAAAGAGTGTTTCAAAACTGCTCTATCAAAAGAAAGGTTCAACTCTGTTAGTTGAGGGCACACATCACAAATAAATTTCTGAGAATGCTTCTGTCTAGTTTTTACGGGAAGATATTTCCTTTTTCACCATACGCCTGAAAGCGCTCCAAATGTCCTCATCCAGATACTACAAAAAGAGTGTTTCCAACGTGCTCTATGAAAGGGAATGCTCAACTCTGTGAATTGAATGCAGACATCACAAAGAAGTTTCTGAGAATGCTGCTGTCTCCTTTGTATATGTAATCCCGTTTCCAACGAAATCCTCAAAGCTAGCCAAATATCCACTTGCAGATTCCACGAAAACAGTGTTTCAAAACTGCTCCTTCAAAACGATGGTTCAATTCTGTTAGTTGAGCAAACACATCACAAGTAAGTTTCTGAGAATGCTTCCGTCTAGTTTTTATGGGAAGATATTTCCTTTTTCAACATAGGCCTGAAAGCGCTCCAAATGTCCACTTCCAGATACTACAAAAAGAGTGTTTCAAATCTGCTCTATGAATGGGAATGTTCTACTCTGTGACTTGAATGCAACATCCCAAAGAAGTTTCTGAGAATGCTTCTGTCTAGAGTTTATCTGAAGACATACCCGTTTCCAACGAAATCCTCCAAGCTATCCAAATATCCTCTTGCAGATTCTACAAAAAGAGTGTTTCAAAGCTGCTCTTTGCAAAGAAAGGTTCAACTCTGTCAGTAGAGGGCACACATCACGAACAAGTTTCTGAGAATGCTTCTGTCTAGTTTTTATGGGAAGATATTTCCTTTTTCACGTTAGGCCTGAAAGCACGCCAAATGTTCACTTATAGACACTACAAAAAGAGTGTTTCAAACCTGCTCTGTGAAAGGGAATGTTCAACACTGTGACTTCAATTGAAACATCCCAAAGAAGTTTCTGAGAATGCTTCTGTCTAGAGTTTATCTGAAGACATTCCCGTTTCCCAAGAAATCCTCAAAGCTATCCAAATATCCTCGTGCAGATTCTACAAAAAGAGTGTTTCAAAACTGCTCTTTGCAAAGAAAGGTTCAACTCTGTCAGTAGAGGGCACACATCACAAACAAGTTTCTGAGAATGCTTCTGTCTAGTTTTTATGGGAAGATATTACCTTTTTCACCATAGGCCTGAAAGCAATCCAAATGTTCACTTACAGACACTACAAAAAGAGTGTTTCAAACCTGCTCTGTGAAAGGGAGTGTTCAATTCTGTGACTTGAATGCAAACATCACAAAGTAGTTTCTGACAATGCTGCTGTCTGCTTTTTATACGTATTCCCGTTTCCAACGAAATCCTCCAAGCTGGCCTAATACCCACTTGCATATTCCACAAAGACTGTGTCAAAACTGCTCTCTCAAAAGAAAGGTTCAACTCTGTTTGCTGAGTAGATACATCATGAAAAAAGTTCTGACATTGCTTCTATCTAGTTTTTATTGGAAGATATCTCCTTTTTCACCGTAGACCTGAAAGCGCTCCAAATGTCCACTTCCAGATAGTACAAAAAGAGTGTTTCAAACCTGCTCTATGAATGGGAATGTTCAACGCTGGGACTTCAATTGAAACATCCCAAAGCAGTTTCTGAGAATGCTTCTGTGTAGAGTTTACATGAAGACATTCCCGTTTCCAACGAAATCCTCAAAGCTATCCAAATATCCTCTTGCAGATTTTACAAAAAGTGTGTTTCAGAACTGCTCTATCAAAACAAAGGTTCAACACTGTCAGTTGAGGGCACACATCACAAATAAGTTTCTGAGAATGCTTCTGTCTAGTTTTCATGGGAAGATATTTCCTTTTTCACCATAGGCCTGAAAGCGATCCAAATGTCCACATCCAGATACTACAAAAAGAGTGTTTCAAACCTGCTCTATGAAAGGGAATGTTCAACTCTGTGACTTGAATGCAAACATCACAAAGAAGTTTCTGAGAATGCTGCTGTCTGCTTTTTGTATGTAATCCCGTTTCCAACGAAATCCTCCCAGCTAGCCAAATATCCACTTGCAGATTCCGCAAAAAGAGTGTTTCAAAACTGCTCCTTCAAAACGATGGTTTAGTTCTGTTAGTTGAGTACATACATCACAGATAAGTTTCTGAGAATGCTTCTGTCTAGTTTTTATGGGAGGATATATCCTTTTTCAACACAAGCCTGAATGCGCTCCGAATGGACACTTCCAGATATGACAAAAGGCGTGTTTCAAACCTGCTCTCTCAAAGGGAATGTTCAACTCTGTGACTTCAATGCAAACATCACAAAGAAGTTTCTGAGAATGCTGCTGTCTGCTTTTTACATGTATTCCCGTTTCCAACGAAATCCTCAAAGCTGCCCTAATATCCACTTGCATATTCCACAAAAAGAGTGTTGCAAAACTGCTCTCTCAAAAGAAAGGTTCAACTCTGTTAGCTGAGTAGATCCATCACATAAAAGTTTCTGACATTGCTTCTATCTAGATTTTCTTGGAAGATATTTCCATTTTCACCGTCGTCCTGAAAGCGCTCAAAATGTCCACTTCCAGGGAATGCAGAAAGAGTGTTTCCAACCTGCTCTATAAAAGGGAATGTTCAACACTGGGACTTCAATCGAAACATCCCAACGAAGTTTCTGAGAATGCTTCTGTCTAGAGTTTATATGAAGCCATTCCCGTTTGCAACGAAATCCTCAAAGCTATCCAAATATCCTCTTGCAGATTTTACAAAAAGAGTGTTTCAAAACTGCTCTATCAAAAGAAAGGTTCAACTCTGTTAGTTGAGGGCACACATCACAAATAAACTTCTGAGAATGCTTCTGTCTAGTTTTTACGGGAAGATATTTCCTTTTTCACCATAGGCCTGAAAGCGCTCCAAATGTCCTCATCCAGATACTACAAAAAGAGTGTTTCCAACGTGCTCTATGAAAGGGAATGCTCAACTCTGTGAATTGAATGCAGACATCACAAAGAAGTTTCTGAGAATGCTGCTGTCTCCTTTTTATATGTAATCCCGTTTCCAACGAAATCCTCAAAGCTAGCCAAATATCCACTTGCAGATTCCACGAAAACAGTGTTTCAAAACTGCTCCTTCAAAACGATGGTTCAATCCTGTTAGTTGAGCAAACACATCACAAATAAGTTTCTGAGAATGCTTCCGTCTAGTTTTTATGGGAAGATATTTCCTTTTTCAACATAGGCCTGAAAGCGCTCCAAATGTCCACTTCCAGATACTACAAAAAGAGTGTTTCAAATCTGCTCTATGAATGGGAATGTTCTACTCTGTGACTTGAATGCAACATCCCAAAGAAGTTTCTGAGAATGCTTCTGTCTAGAGTTTATCTGAAGACATACCCGTTTCCAACGAAATCCTCCAAGCTATCCAAATATCCTCTTGCAGATTCTACAAAAAGAGTGTTTCAAAGCTGCTCTTTGCAAAGAAAGGTTCAACTCTGTCAGTAGAGGGCACACATCATGAACAAGTTTCTGAGAATGCTTCTGTCTAGTTTTTATGGGAAGATATTTCCTTTTTCACGTTAGGCCTGAAAGCACGCCAAATGTTCACTTATAGACACTACAAAAAGAGTGTTTCAAACCTGCTCTGTGAAAGGGAATGTTCAACACTGTGACTTCAATTGAAACATCCCAAAGAAGTTTCTGAGAATGCTTCTGTCTAGAGTTTATCTGAAGACATTCCCGTTTCCCAAGAAATCTTCAAAGCTATCCAAATATCCTCTTGCAGATTCTACAAAAAGAGTGTTTCAAAACTGCTCTTTGCAAAGAAAGGTTCAACTCTGTCAGTAGAGGGCACACATCACAAACAAGTTTCTGAGAATGCTTCTGTCTAGTTTTTATGGGAAGATATTTCCTTTTTCACCTTAGGCCTGAAAGCAATCCATATGTTCACTTACAGACACTACAAAAAGAGTGTTTCAAACCTGCTCTGTGAAAGGGAGTGTTCAATTCTGTGACTTGAATGCAAACATCACAAAGTAGTTTCTGACAATGCTGCTGTCTGCTTTTTATACGTATTCCCGTTTCCAACGAAATCCTCCAAGCTGGCCTAATACCCACTTGCATATTCCACAAAAAGAGTGTTTCAAAACTGCTCTCTCAAAAGAAAGGTTCAACTCTGTTAGCTGAGTAGATACATCATGAAAAAGTTCTGACATTGCTTCTATCTAGTTTTTATTGGAAGATATCTCCTTTTTCACCGTAGACCTGAAAGCGCTCCAAATGTCCACTTCCAGATAGTACAAAAAGAGTGTTTCAAACCTGCTCTATGAATGGGAATGTTCAACACTGGGACTTCAATTGAAACATCCCAAAGCAGTTTCTGAGAATGCTTCTGTGTAGAGTTTACATGAAGACATTCCCGTTTCCAACGAAATCCTCAAAGCTATCCAAATATCCTCTTGCAGATTTTACAAAAAGTGTGTTTCAGAACTGCTCTATCAAAACAAAGGTTCAACACTGTCAGTTGAGGGCACACATCACAAATAAGTTTCTGAGAATGCTTCTGTCTAGTTTTCATGGGAAGATATTTCCTTTTTCACCATAGGCCTGAAAGCGATCCAAATGTCCACATCCAGATACTACAAAAAGAGTGTTTCAAACCTGCTCTATGAAAGGGAATGTTCAACTCTGTGACTTGAATGCAAACATCACAAAGAAGTTTCTGAGAATGCTGCTGTCTGCTTTTTGTATGTAATCCCGTTTCCAACGAAATCCTCCCAGCTAGCCAAATATCCACTTGCAGATTCCGCAAAAAGAGTGTTTCAAAACTGCTCCTTCAAAACGATGGTTTAGTTCTGTTAGTTGAGTACATACATCACAGATAAGTTTCTGAGAATGCTTCTGTCTAGTTTTTATGGGAGGATATTTCCTTTTTCAACACAAGCCTGAATGCGCTCCGAATGGACACTTCCAGATATGACAAAAGGCGTGTTTCAAACCTGCTCTCTCAAAGGGAATGTTCAACTCTGTGACTTCAATGCAAACATCACAAACAAGTTTCTGAGAATGCTGCTGTCTGCTTTTTACATGTATTCCCGTTTCCAACGAAATCCTCAAAGCTGCCCTAATATCCACTTGCATATTCCACAAAAAGAATGTTGCAAAACTGCTCTCTCAAAAGAAAGCTTCAACTCTGTTAGCTGAGTAGATCCATCACATAAAAGTTTCTGACATTGCTTCTATCTAGATTTTCTTGGAAGATATTTCCATTTTCACCGTCGTCCTGAAAGCGCTCCAAATGTCCACTTCCAGGGAATGCAGAAAGAGTGTTTCCAACCTGCTCTATAAAAGGGAATGTTCAACACTGGGACTTCAATCGAAACATCCCAACGAAGTTTCTGAGAATGCTTCTGTCTAGAGTTTATATGAAGCCATTCCCGTTTGCAATGAAATCCTCAAAGCTATCCAAATATCCTCTTGCAGATTTTACAAAAAGAGTGTTTCACAACTGCTCTATCAAAAGAAAGGTTCAACTCTGTTAGTTGAGGGCACACATCACAAATAAATTTCTGAGAATGCTTCTGTCTAGTTTTTACGGGAAGATATTTCCTTTTTCACCATAGGCCTGAAAGCGCTCCAAATGTCCTCATCCAGATACTACAAAAAGAGTGTTTCCAACCTGCTCTATGAAAGGGAATGCTCAACTCTGTGAATTGAATGCAGACATCACAAAGAACTTTCTGAGAATGCTGCTGTCTCCTTTTTATATGTAATCCCGTTTCCAACGAAATCCTCAAAGCTAGCCAAATATCCACTTGCAGATTCCACGAAAACAGTGTTTCAAAACTGCTCCTTCAAAACGATGGTTCAATTCTGTTAGTTGAGCAAACACATCACAAGTAAGTTTCTGAGAATGCTTCCGTCTAGTTTTTATGGGAAGATATTTCCTTTTTCAACATAGGCCTGAAAGCGCTCCAAATGTCCACTTCCAGATACTACAAAAAGAGTGTTTCAAATCTACTCTATGAATGGGAATGTTCTACTCTGTGACTTGAATGCAACATCCCAAAGAAGTTTCTGAGAATGCTTCTGTCTAGAGTTTATCTGAAGACATACCCGTTTCCAACGAAATCCTCAAAGCTATCCAAATATCCTCTTGCAGATTCTACAAAAAGAGTGTTTCAAAGCTGCTCTTTGCAAAGAAAGGTTCAACTCTGTCAGTAGAGGGCACACATCACGAACAAGTTTCTGAGAATGCTTCTGTCTAGTTTTTATGGGAAGATATTTCCTTTTTCACGTTAGGCCTGAAAGCACGCCAAATGTTCAATTATAGACACTACAAAAAGAGTGTTTCAAACCTGCTCTGTGAAAGGGAATGTTCAACACTGTGACTTCAATTGAAACATCCCAAAGAAGTTTCTGAGAATGCTTCTGTCTAGAGTTTATCTGAAGACATTCCCGTTTCCCAAGAAATCCTCAAAGCTATCCAAATATCCTCTTGCAGATTCTACAAAAAGAGTGTTTCAAAACTGCTCTTTGCAAAGAAAGGTTCAACTCTGTCAGTAGAGGGCACACATCACAAACAAGTTTCTGAGAATGCTTCTGTCTAGTTTTTATGGGAAGATATTTCCTTTTTCACCATAGGCCTGAAAGCAATCCAAATGTTCACTTACAGACACTACAAAAAGAGTGTTTCAAACCTGCTCTGTGAAAGGGAGTGTTCAATTCTGTGACTTGAATGCAAACATCACAAAGTAGTTTCTGACAATGCTGCTGTCTGCTTTTTATACGTATTCCCGTTTCCAACGAAATCCTCCAAGCTGGCCTAATACCCACTTGCATATTCCACAAAGACTGTGTCAAAACTGCTCTCTCAAAAGAAAGGTTCAACTCTGTTTGCTGAGTAGATACATCATGAAAAAAGTTCTGACATTGCTTCTATCTAGTTTTTATTGGAAGATATCTCCTTTTTCACCGTAAACCTGAAAGCGCTCCAAATGTCCACTTCCAGATAGTAGAAAAAGAGTGTTTCAAACCTGCTCTATGAATGGGAATGTTCAACACTGGGACTTCAATTGAAACATCCCAAAGCAGTTTCTGAGAATGCTTCTGTCTAGAGTTTACATGAAGACATTCCCGTTTCCAACGAAATCCTCAAAGCTATCCAAATATCCTCTTGCAGATTTTACAAAAAGTGTGTTTCAGAACTGCTCTATCAAAACAAAGGTTCAACACTGTCAGTTGAGTGCACACATCACAAATAAGTTTCTGAGAATGCTGCTGTCTGCTTTTTGTATGTAATCCCGTTTCCAACGAAATCCTCCCAGCTAGCCAAATATCCACTTGCAGATTCCGCAAAAAGAGTGTTTCAAAACTGCTCCTTCAAAACGATGGTTTAGTTCGGTTAGTTGAGTACATACATCACAGATAAGTTTCTGAGAATGCTTCTGTCTAGTTTTTATGGGAGGATATTTCCTTTTTCAACACAAGCCTGAATGCGCTCCGAATGGACACTTCCAGATATGACAAAAGGCGTGTTTCAAACCTGCTCTCTCAAAGGGAATGTTCAACTCTGTGACTTCAATGCAAACATCACAAAGAAGTTTCTGAGAATGCTGCTGTCTGCTTTTTACATGTATTCCCGTTTCCAACGAAATCCTCAAAGCTGCCCTAATATCCACTTGCATATTCCACAAAAAGAGTGTTGCAAAACTGCTCTCTCAAAAGAAAGGTTCAACTCTGTTAGCTGAGTAGATCCATCACAGAAAAGTTTCTGACATTGCTTCTATCTAGATTATCTTGGAAGATATTTCCATTTTCACCGTCGTCCTGAAAGCGCTCCAAATGTCCACTTCCAGGGAATGCAGAAAGAGTGTTTCCAACCTGCTCTATAAAAGGGAATGTTCAACACTGGGACTTCAATCGAAACATCCCAACGAAGTTTCTGAGAATGCTTCTGTCTAGAGTTTATATGAAGCCATTCCCGTTTGCAACGAAATCCTCAAAGCTATCCAAATATCCTCTTGCAGATTTTACAAAAAGAGTGTTTCAAAACTGCTCTATCAAAAGAAAGGTTCAACTCTGTTAGTTGAGGGCACACATCACAAATAAACTTCTGAGAATGCTTCTGTCTAGTTTTTACGGGAAGATATTTCCCTTTTCACCATACGCCTGAAAGCGCTCCAAATGTCCTCATCCAGATACTACAAAAAGAGTGTTTCCAACCTGCTCTATGAAAGGGAATGCTCAACTCTGTGAATTGAATGCAGACATCACAAAGAAGTTTCTGAGAATGCTGCTGTCTCCTTTTTATATGTAATCCCGTTTCCAACGAAATCCTGAAAGCTAGCCAAATATCCACTTGCAGATTCCACGAAAACAGTGTTTCAAAACTGCTCCTTCAAAACGATGGTTCAATCCTGTTAGTTGAGCAAACACATCACAATTAAGTTTCTGAGAATGCTTCCGTCTAGTTTTTATGGGAAGATATTTCCTTTTTCAACATAGGCCTGAAAGCGCTCCAAATGTCCACTTCCAGATACTACAAAAAGAGTGTTTCAAATCTGCTCTATGAATGGGAATGTTCTACTCTGTGACTTGAATGCAACATCCCAAAGAAGTTTCTGAGAATGCTTCTGTCTAGAGTTTATCTGAAGACATACCCGTTTCCAACGAAATCCTCAAAGCTATCCAAATATCCTCTTGCAGATTCTACAAAAAGAGTGTTTCAAAGCTGCTCTTTGCAAAGAAAGGTTCAACTCTGTCAGTAGAGGGCACACATCATGAACAAGTTTCTGAGAATGCTTCTGTCTGGTTTTTATGGGAAGATATTTCCTTTTTCACGTTACGCCTGAAAGCACGCCAAATGTTCACTTATAGACACTACAAAAAGAGTGTTTCAAACCTGCTCTGTGAAAGGGAATGTTCAACACTGTGACTTCAATTGAAACATCCCAAAGAAGTTTCTGAGAATGCTTCTGTCTAGAGTTTATCTGAAGACATACCCGTTTCCAACGAAATCCTCAAAGCTATCCACATATCCTCTTGCAGATTCTACAAAAAGAGTGTTTCAAAGCTGCTCTTTGCAAAGAAAGGTTCAACTCTGTCAGTAGAGGGCACACATCACAAACAAGTTTCTGAGAATGCTTCTGTCTAGTTTTTATGGGAAGATATTTCCTTTTTCACGTTAGGCCTGAAAGCACGCCAAATGTTCAATTATAGACACTACAAAAAGAGTGTTTCAAACCTGCTCTGTGAAAGGGAATGTTCAACACTGTGACTTCAATTGAAACATCCCAAAGAAGTTTCTGAGAATGCTTCTGTCTAGAATTTATCTGAAGACATTCCCGTTTCCCAAGAAATCCTCAAAGCTATCCAAATATCCTCTTGCAGATTCTACAAAAAGAGTGTTTCAAAACTGCTCTTTGCAAAGAAAGGTTCAACTCTGTCAGTAGAGGGCACACATCACAAACAAGTTTCTGAGAATGCTTCTGTCTAGTTTTTATGGGAAGATATTTCCTTTTTCACCTTAGGCCTGAAAGCAATCCAAATGTTCACTTACAGACACTACAAAAAGAGTGTTTCAAACCTGCTCTGTGAAAGGGAGTGTTCAATTCTGTGACTTGAATGCAAACATCACAAAGTAGTTTCTGACAATGCTGCTGTCTGCTTTTTATACGTATTCCCGTTTCCAACGAAATCCTCCAAGCTGGCCTAATACCCACTTGCATATTCCACAAAAAGAGTGTTTCAAAACTGCTCTCTCAAAAGAAAGGTTCAACTCTGTTTGCTGAGTAGATACATCATGAAAAAAGTTCTGACATTGCTTCTGTCTAGTTTTTACGGGAAGATATTTCCTTTTTCACCAAACGCCTGAAAGCGCTCCAAATGTCCTCATCCAGATACTACAAAAAGAGTGTTTCAAACCTGCTCTATGAAAGGGAATGTTCAACACTGGGACTTCAATTGAAACATCCCAAAGCAGTTTCTGAGAATGCTTCTGTCTAGAGTTTACATGAAGACATTCCCGTTTCCAACGAAATCCTCAAAGCTATCCAAATATCCTCTTGCAGATTTTACAAAAAGTGTGTTTCAGAACTGCTCTATCAAAACAAAGGTTCAACACTGTCAGTTGAGGGCACACATCACAAATAAGTTTCTGAGAATGCTTCTGTCTAGTTTTCATGGGAAGATATTTCCTTTTTCACCATAGGCCTGAAAGCGATCCAAATGTCCACATCCAGATACTACAAAAAGAGTGTTTCAAACCTGCTCTATGAAAGGGAATGTTCAACTCTGTGACTTGAATGCAAACATCACAAAGAAGTTTCTGAGAATGCTGCTGTCTGCTTTTTGTATGTAATCCCGTTTCCAACGAAATCCTCCCAGCTAGCCAAATATCCACTTGCAGATTCCGCAAAAAGAGTGTTTCAAAACTGCTCCTTCAAAACGATGGTTTAGTTCTGTTAGTTGAGTACATACATCACAGATAAGTTTCTGAGAATGCTTCTGTCTAGTTTTTATGGGAGGATATTTCCTTTTTCAACACAAGCCTGAATGCGCTCCGAATGGACACTTCCAGATATGACAAAAGGCGTGTTTCAAACCTGCTCTCTCAAAGGGAATGTTCAACTCTGTGACTTCAATGCAAACATCACAAAGAAGTTTCTGAGAATGCTGCTGTCTGCTTTTTACATGTATTCCCGTTTCCAACGAAATCCTCAAAGCTGCCCTAATATCCACTTGCATATTCCACAAAAAGAGTGTTGCAAAACTGCTCTCTCAAAAGAAAGGTTCAACTCTGTTAGCTGAGTAGATCCATCACAGAAAAGTTTCTGACGTTGCTTCTATCTAGATTTTCTTGGAAGATATTTCCATTTTCACCGTCGTCCTGAAAGCGCTCCAAATGTCCACTTCCAGGGAATGCAGAAAGAGTGTTTCCAACCTGCTCTATAAAAGGGAATGTTCAACACTGGGACTTCAATCGAAACATCCCAACGAAGTTTCTGAGAATGCTTCTGTCTAGAGTTTATATGAAGCCATTCCCGTTTGCAACGAAATCCTCAAAGCTATCCAAATATCCTCTTGCAGATTTTACAAAAAGAGTGTTTCAAAACTGCTCTATCAAAAGAAAGTTTCAACTCTGTTAGTTGAGGGCACACATCTCAAATAAACTTCTGAGAATGCTTCTGTCTAGTTTTTACGGGAAGATATTTCCTTTTTCACCATACGCCTGAAAGCGCTCCAAATGTCCTCATCCAGATACTACAAAAAGAGTGTTTCCAACCTGCTCTATGAAAGGGAATGCTCAACTCTGTGAATTGAATGCAGACATCACAAAGAAGTTTCTGAGAATGCTGCTGTCTCCTTTTTATATGTAATCCCGTTTCCAACGAAATCCTCAAAGCTAGCCAAATATCCACTTGCAGATTCCACGAAAACAGTGTTTCAAAACTGCTCCTTCAAAACGATGGTTCAATCCTGTTAGTTGAGCAAACACATCACAAATAAGTTTCTGAGAATGCTTCCGTCTAGTTTTTATGGGAAGATATTTCCTTTTTCAACATAGGCCTGAAAGCGCTCCAAATGTCCACTTCCAGATACTACAAAAAGAGTGTTTCAAATCTGATTTATGAATGGGAATGTTCTACTCTGTGACTTGCATGCAACATCCCAAAGAAGTTTCTGAGAATGCTTCTGTCTAGAGTTTATCTGAAGACATTCCCGTTTCCCAAGAAATCCTCAAAGCTATCCAAATATCCTCTTGCAGATTCTACAAAAAGAGTGTTTCAAAACTGCTCTTTGCAAAGAAAGGTTCAACTCTGTCAGTAGAGGGCACACATCACAAACAAGTTTCTGAGAATGCTTCTGTCTAGTTTTTATGGGAAGATATTTCCTTTTTCACCTTACGCCTGAAAGCAATCCAAATGTTCACTTACAGACACTACAAAAAGAGTGTTTCAAACCTGCTCTGTGAAAGGGAGTGTTCAATTCTGTGACTTGAATGCAAACATCACAAAGTAGTTTCTGACAATGCTGCTGTCTGCTTTTTATACGTATTCCCGTTTCCAACGAAATCCTCCAAGCTGGCCTAATACCCACTTGCATATTCCACAAAAAGAGTGTTTCAAAACTGCTCTCTCAAAAGAAAGGTTCAACTCTGTTTGCTGAGTAGATACATCATGAAAAAAGTTCTGACATTGCTTCTATCTAGTTTTCATTGGAAGATATCTCCTTTTTCACCGCAGACCTGAAAGCGCTCCAAATGTCCACTTCCAGATACTACAAAAAGAGTGTTTCAAACCTGCTCTATGAAAGGGAATGTTCAACACTGTGACTTCAATTGAAACATCCCAAAGCAGTTTCTGAGAATGCTTCTGTGTAGAGTTTACATGAAGACATTCCCGTTTCCAACGAAATCCTCAAAGCTATCCAAATATCCTCTTGCAGATTTTACAAAAAGTGTGTTTCAGAACTGCTCTATCAAAACAAAGGTTCAACACTGTCAGTTGAGGGCACACATCACAAATAAGTTTCTGAGAATGCTTCTGTCTAGTTTTCATGGGAAGATATTTCCTTTTTCACCATAGGCCTGAAAGCGATCCAAATGTCCACATCCAGATACTACAAAAAGAGTGTTTCAAACCTGCTCTATGAAAGGGAATGTTCAACTCTGTGACTTGAATGCAAACATCACAAAGAAGTTTCTGAGAATGCTGCTGTCTGCTTTTTGTATGTAATCCCGTTTCCAACGAAATCCTCCCAGCTAGCCAAATATCCACTTGCAGATTCCGCAAAAAGAGTGTTTCAAAACTGCTCCTTCAAAACGATGGTTTAGTTCTGTTAGTTGAGTACATACATCACAGATAAGTTTCTGAGAATGCTTCTGTCTAGTTTTTATGGGAGGATATTTCCTTTTACAACACAAGCCTGAATGCGCTCCGAATGGACACTTCCAGATATGACAAAAGGCGTGTTTCAAACCTGCTCTCTCAAAGGGAATGTTCAACTCTGTGACTTCAATGCAAACATCACAAAGAAGTTTCTGAGAATGCTGCTGTCTGCTTTTTACATGTATTCCCGTTTCCAACGAAATCCTCAAAGCTGCCCTAATATCCACTTGCATATTCCACAAAAAGAGTGTTGCAAAACTGCTCTCTCAAAAGAAAGTTTCAACTCTGTTAGCTGAGTAGATCCATCACAGAAAAGTTTCTGACATTGCTTCTATCTAGATTTTCTTGGAAGATATTTCCATTTTCACCGTCGTCCTGAAAGCGCTCCAAATGTCCACTTCCAGGGAATGCAGAAAGAGTGTTTCCAACCTGCTCTATAAAAGGGAATGTTCAACACTGGGACTTCAATCGAAACATCCCAACGAAGTTTCTGAGAATGCTTCTGTCTAGAGTTTATATGAAGCCATTCCCGTTTGCAAGGAAATCCTCAAAGCTATCCAAATATCCTCTTGCAGATTTTACAAAAAGAGTGTTTCAAAACTGCTCTATCAAAAGAAAGGTTCAACTCTGTTAGTTGAGGGCACACATCACAAATAAATTTCTGAGAATGCTTCTGTCTAGTTTTTACGGGAAGATATTTCCTTTTTCACCATAGGCCTGAAAGCGCTCCAAATGTCCTCATCCAGATACTACAAAAAGAGTGTTTCCAACCTGCTCTATGAAAGGGAATGCTCAACTCTGTGACTTGAATGCAGACATCACAAAGAAGTTTCTGAGAATGCTGCTGACTCCTTTTTATTTGTAATCCCGTTTCCAACGAAATCCTCAAAGCTAGCCAAATATCCACTTGCAGATTCCACGAAAACAGTGTTTCAAAACTGCTCCTTCAAAACGATGGTTCAATTCTGTTAGTTGAGCAAACACATCACACGTAAGTTTCTGAGAATGCTTCCGTCTAGTTTTTATGGGAAGATATTTCCTTTTTCAACATAGGCCTGAAAGCGCTCCAAATGTCCACTTCCAGATACTACAAAAAGAGTGTTTCAAATCTGCTCTATGAATGGGAATGTTCTACTCTGTGACTTGAATGCAACATCCCAAAGAAGTTTCTGAGAATGCTTCTGTCTAGAGTTTATCTGAAGACATACCCGTTTCCAACGAAATCCTCAAAGCTATCCAAATATCCTCTTGCAGATTCTACAAAAAGTGTGTTTCAAAGCTGCTCTTTGCAAAGAAAGGTTCAACTCTGTCAGTAGAGGGCACACATCACGAACAACTTTCTGAGAATGCTTCTGTCTAGTTTTTATGGGAAGATATTTCCTTTTTCACGTTAGGCCTGAAAGCACGCCAAATGTTCACTTATAGACACTACAAAAAGAGTGTTTCAAACCTGCTCTGTGAAAGGGAATGTTCAACACTGTGACTTCAATTGAAACATCCCAAAGAAGTTTCTGAGAATGCTTCTGTCTAGAGTTTATCTGAAGACATTCCCGTTTCCCAAGAAATCCTCAAAGCTATCCAAATATCCTCTTGCAGATTCTACAAAAGGAGTGTTTCAAAACTGCTCTTTGCAAAGAAAGGTTCAACTCTGTCAGTAGAGGGCACACATCACAAACAAGTTTCTGAGAGTGCTTCTGTCTAGTTTTTATGGGAAGATATTTCCTTTTTCACCTTAGGCCTGAAAGCAATCCAAATGTTCACTTACAGACACTACAAAAAGAGTGTTTCAAACCTGCTCTGTGAAAGGGAGTGTTCAATTCTGTGACTTGAATGCAAACATCACAAAGTAGTTTCTGACAATGCTGCTGTCTGCTTTTTATACGTATTCCCGTTTCCAACGAAATCCTCCAAGCTGGCCTAATACCCACTTGCATATTCCACAAAAAGAGTGTTTCAAAACTGCTCTCTCAAAAGAAAGCTTCAACTCTGTTTGCTGAGTAGATACATCATGAAAAAAGTTCTGACATTGCTTCTATCTAGTTTTTATTGGAAGATATCTCCTTTTTCACCGTAGACCTGAAAGCGCTCCAAATGTCCACTTCCAGATAGTACAAAAAGAGTGTTTCAAACCTGCTCTATGAATGGGAATGTTCAACACTGGGACTTCAATTGAAACATCCCAAAGCAGTTTCTGAGAATGCTTCTGTGTAGAGTTTACATGAAGACATTCCCGTTTCCAACGAAATCCTCAAAGCTATCCAAATATCCTCTTGCAGATTTTACAAAAAGTGTGTTTCAGAACTGCTCTATCAAAACAAAGGTTCAACACTGTCAGTTGAGGGCACACATCACAAATAAGTTTCTGAGAATGCTTCTGTCTAGTTTTCATGGGAAGATATTTCCTTTTTCACCATAGGCCTGAAAGCGATCCAAATGTCCACATCCAGATACTACAAAAAGAGTGTTTCAAACCTGCTCTATGAAAGGGAATGTTCAACTCTGTGACTTGAATGCAAACATCACAAAGAAGTTTCTGAGAATGCTGCTGTCTGCTTTTTGTATGTAATCCCGTTTCCAACGAAATCCTCCCAGCTAGCCAAATATCCACTTGCAGATTCCGCAAAAAGAGTGTTTCAAAACTGCTCCTTCAAAACGATGGTTTAGTTCTGTTAGTTGAGTACATACATCACAGATAAGTTTCTGAGAATGCTTCTGTCTAGTTTTTATGGGAGGATATTTCCTTTTTCAACACAAGCCTGAATGCGCTCCGAATGGACACTTCCAGATATGACAAAAGGCGTGTTTCAAACCTGCTCTCTCAAAGGGAATGTTCAACTCTGTGACTTCAATGCAAACATCACAAAGAAGTTTCTGAGAATGCTGCTGTCTGCTTTTTACATGTATTCCCGTTTCCAACGAAATCCTCAAGGCTGCCCTAATATCCACTTGCATATTCCACAAAAAGAGTGTTGCAAAACTGCTCTCTCAAAAGAAAGGTTCAACTCTGTTAGCTGAGTAGATCCATCACAGAAAAGTTTCTGACGTTGCTTCTATCTAGATTTTCTTGGAAGATATTTCCATTTTCACCGTCGTCCTGAAAGCGCTCCAAATGTCCACTTCCAGGGAATGCAGAAAGAGTGTTTCCAACCTGCTCTATAAAAGGGAATGTTCAACACTGGGACTTCAATCGAAACATCCCAACGAAGTTTCTGAGAATGCTTCTGTCTAGAGTTTATATGAAGCCATTCCCGTTTGCAACGAAATCCTCAAAGCTATCCAAATATCCTCTTGCAGATTTTACAAAAAGAGTGTTTCAAAACTGCTCTATCAAAAGAAAGGTTCAACTCTGTTAGTTGAGGGCACACATCACAAATAAATTTCTGAGAATGCTTCTGTCTAGTTTTTACGGGAAGATATTTCCTTCTTCACCATACGCCTGAAAGCGCTCCAAATGTCCTCATCCAGATACTACAAAAAGAGTGTTTCCAACCTGCTCTATGAAAGGGAATGCTCAACTCTGTGACTTGAATGCAGACATCACAAAGAAGTTTCTGAGAATGCTGCTGTCTCCTTTTTATATGTAATCCCGTTTCCAACGAAATCCTCAAAGCTAGCCAAATATCCACTTGCAGATTCCACGAAAACAGTGTTTCAAAACTGCTCCTTCAAAACGATGGTTCAATTCTGTTAGTTGAGCAAACACATCACAAGTAAGTTTCTGAGAATGCTTCCGTCTAGTTTTTATGGGAAGATATTTCCTTTTTCAACATAGGCCTGAAAGCGCTCCAAATGTCCACTTCCAGATACTACAAAAAGAGTGTTTCAAATCTGCTCTATGAATGGGAATGTTCTACTCTGTGACTTGAATGCAACATCCCAAAGAAGTTTCTGAGAATGCTTCTGTCTAGAGTTTATCTGAAGACATACCCGTTTCCAACGAAATCCTCAAAGCTATCCAAATATCCTCTTGCAGATTCTACAAAAAGAGTGTTTCAAAGCTGCTCTTTGCAAAGAAAGGTTCAACTCTGTCAGTAGAGGGCACACATCACGAACAAGTTTCTGAGAATGCTTCTGTCTAGTTTTTATGGGAAGATATTTCCTTTTTCACGTTAGGCCTGAAAGCACGCCAAATGTTCACTTATAGACACTACAAAAAGAGTGTTTCAAACCTGCTCTGTGAAAGGGAATGTTCAACACTGTGACTTCAATTGAAATATCCCAAAGAAGTTTCTGAGAATGCTTCTGTCTAGAGTTTATCTGAAGACATTCCCGTTTCCCAAGAAATCCTCAAAGCTATCCAAATATCCTCTTGCAGATTCTACAAAAAGAGTGTTTCAAAACTGGTCTTTGCAAAGAAAGGTTCAACTCTGTCAGTAGAGGGCACACATCACAAACAAGTTTCTGAGAATGCTTCTGTCTAGGTTTTATGGGAAGATATTTCCTTTTTCACCTTAGGCCTGAAAGCAATCCATATGTTCACTTACAGACACTACAAAAAGAGTGTTTCAAACCTGCTCTGTGAAAGGGAGTGTTCAATTCTGTGACTTGAATGCAAACATCACAAAGTAGTTTCTGACAATGCTGCTGTCTGCTTTTTATACGTATTCCCGTTTCCAACGAAATCCTCCAAGCTGGCCTAATACCCACTTGCATATTCCACAAAAATAGTGTTTCAAAACTGCTCCCTCAAAAGAAAGGTTCAACTCTGTTTGCTGAGTAGATACATCATGAAAAAAGTTCTGACATTGCTTCTATCTAGTTTTTATTGGAAGATATCTCCTTTTTCACCGTAGGACCTGAAAGCGCTCCAAATGTCCACTTCCAGATAGTACAAAAAGAGTGTTTCAAACCTGCTCTATGAATGGGAATGTTCAACACTGGGACTTCAATTGAAACATCCCAAAGCAGTTTCTGAGAATGCTTCTGTCTAGAGTTTACATGAAGACATTCCCGTTTCCAACGAAATCCTCAAAGCTATCCAAATATCCTCTTGCAGATTTTACAAAAAGTGTGTTTCAGAACTGCTCTATCAAAACAAAGGTTCAACACTGTCAGTTGAGGGCACACATCACAAATAAGTTTCTGAGAATGCTGCTCTCTGCTTTTTGTATGTAATCCCGTTTCCAACGAAATCCTCCCAGCTAGCCAAATATCCACTTGCAGATTCCGCAAAAAGAGTGTTTCAAAACTGCTCCGTCAAAACGATGGTTTAGTTCTGTTAGTTGAGTACATACATCACAAATAAGTTTCTGAGAATGCTTCTGTCTAGTTTTTATGGGAGGATATTTTCTTTTTCAACACAAGCCTGAATGCGCTCCGAATGGACACTTCCAGATATGACAAAAGGCGTGTTTCAAACCTGCTCTCTCAAAGGGAATGTTCAACTCTGTGACTTCAATGCAAACATCACAAAGAAGTTTCTGAGAATGCTGCTGTCTGCTTTTTACATGTATTCCCGTTTCCAACGAAATCCTCAAAGCTGCCCTAATATCCACTTGCATATTCCACAAAAAGAGTGTTGCAAAACTGCTCTCTCAAAAGAAAGGTTCAACTCTGTTAGCTGAGTAGATCCATCACAGAATAGTTTCTGACATTGCTCTATCCAGATTTTATTGGAAGATATTTCCATTTTCACCGTCGTCCTGAAAGCGCTCCAATTGTCCACTTCCAGGGAATGCAGAAAGAGTGTTTCCAACCTGCTCTATAAAAGGGAATGTTCAACACTGGGACTTCAATCGAAACATCCCGACGAAGTTTCTGAGAATGCTTTCTGTCTAGAGTTTATATGAAGCCATTCCCGTTTGCAATGAAATCCTCAAAGCTATCCAAATATCCTCTTGCAGATTTTACAAAAAGAGTGTTTCAAAACTGCTCTATCAAAAGAAAGGTTCAACTCTGTTAGTTGAGGGCACACATCACAAATAAATTTCTGAGAATGCTTCTGTCTAGTTTTTACGGGAAGATATTTCCTTTTTCACCATAGGCCTGAAAGCGCTCCAAATGTCCTCATCCAGATACTACAAAAAGAGTGTTTCCAACCTGCTCTATGAAAGGGAATGCTCAACTCTGTGAATTGAATGCAGACATCACAAAGAACTTTCTGAGAATGCTGCTGTCTCCTTTTTATATGTAATCCCGTTTCCAACGAAATCCTCAAAGCTAGCCAAATATCCACTTGCAGATTCCACGAAAACAGTGTTTCAAAACTGCTCCTTCAAAACGATGGTTCAATTCTGTTAGTTGAGCAAACACATCACAAGTAAGTTTCTGAGAATGCTTCCGTCTAGTTTTTATGGGAAGATATTTCCTTTTTCAACATAGGCCTGAAAGCGCTCCAAATGTCCACTTCCAGATACTACAAAAAGAGTGTTTCAAATCTGCTCTATGAATGGGAATGTTCTACTCTGTGACTTGCATGCAACATCCCGAAGAAGTTTCTGAGAATGCTTCTGTCTAGAGTTTATCTGAAGACATACCCGTTTCCAACGAAATCCTCCAAGCTATCCAAATATCCTCTTGCAGATTCTACAAAAAGTGTGTTTCAAAGCTGCTCTTTGCAAAGAAAGGTTCAACTCTGTCAGTAGAGGGCACACATCACGAACAAGTTTCTGAGAATGCTTCTGTCTAGTTTTTATGGGAAGATATTTCCTTTTTCACGTTACGCCTGAAAGCACGCCAAATGTTCACTTATAGACACTACAAAAAGAGTGTTTCAAACCTGCTCTGTGAAAGGGAATGTTCAACACTGTGACTTCAATTGAAACATCCCAAAGAAGTTTCTGAGAATGCTTCTGTCTAGAGTTTATCTGAAGACATTCCCGTTTCCCAAGAAATCCTCAAAGCTATCCAAATATCCTCTTGCAGATTCTACAAAAAGAGTGTTTCAAAACTGGTCTTTGCAAAGAAAGGTTCAACTCTGTCAGTAGAGGGCACACATCACAAACAAGTTTCTGAGAATGCTTCTGTCTAGTTTTTATGGGAAGATATTTCCTTTTTCACCTTAGGCCTGAAAGCAATCCATATGTTCACTTACAGACACTACAAAAAGAGTGTTTCAAACCTGCTCTGTGAAAGGGAGTGTTCAATTCTGTGACTTGAATGCAAACATCACAAAGTAGTTTCTGACAATGCTGCTGTCTGCTTTTTATACGTATTCCCGTTTCCAACGAAATCCTCCAAGCTGGCCTAATACCCACTTGCATATTCCACAAAAAGAGTGTTTCAAAACTGCTCTCTCAAAAGAAAGGTTCAACTCTGTTTGCTGAGTAGATACATCATGAAAAAAGTTCTGACATTGCTTCTATCTAGTTTTTATTGGAAGATATCTCCTTTTTCACCGTAGACCTGAAAGCGCTCCAAATGTCCACTTCCAGATAGTACAAAAAGAGTGTTTCAAACCTGCTCTATGAATGGGAATGTTCAACACTGGGACTTCAATTGAAACATCCCAAAGCAGTTTCTGAGAATGCTTCTGTGTAGAGTTTACATGAAGACATTCCCGTTTCCAACGAAATCCTCAAAGCTATCCAAATATCCTCTTGCAGATTTTACAAAAAGTGTGTTTCAGAACTGCTCTATCAAAACAAAGGTTCAACACTGTCAGTTGAGGGCACACATCACCAATAAGTTTCTGAGAATGCTTCTGTCTAGTTTTCATGGGAAGATATTTCCTTTTTCACCATAGGCCTGAAAGCGATCCAAATGTCCACATCCAGATACTACAAAAAGAGTGTTTCAAACCTGCTCTATGAAAGGGAATGTTCAACTCTGTGACTTGAATGCAAACATCACAAAGAAGTTTCTGAGAATGCTGCTGTCTGCTTTTTGTATGTAATCCCGTTTCCAACGAAATCCTCCCAGCCAGCCAAATATCCACTTGCAGATTCCGCAAAAAGAGTGTTTCAAAACTGCTCCTTCAAAACGATGGTTTAGTTCTGTTAGTTGAGTACATACATCACAGATAAGTTTCTGAGAATGCTTCTGTCTAGTTTTTATGGGAGGATATTTCCTTTTTCAACACAAGCCTGAATGCGCTCCGAATGGACACTTCCAGATATGACAAAAGGCGTGTTTCAAACCTGCTCTCTCAAAGGGAATGTTCAACTCTGTGACTTCAATGCAAACATCACAAAGAAGTTTCTGAGAATGCTGCTGTCTGCTTTTTACATGTATTCCCGTTTCCAACGAAATCCTCAAAGCTGCCCTAATATCCACTTGCATATTCCACAAAAAGAGTGTTGCAAAACTGCTCTCTCAAAAGAAAGCTTCAACTCTGTTAGCTGAGTAGATCCATCACATAAAAGTTTCTGACGTTGCTTCTATCTAGATTTTCTTGGAAGATATTTCCATTTTCACCGTCGTCCTGAAAGCGCTCCAAATGTCCACTTCCAGGGAATGCAGAAAGAGTGTTTCCAACCTGCTCTATAAAAGGGAATGCTCAACACTGGGACTTCAATCGAAACATCCCAACGAAGTTTCTGAGAATGCTTCTGTCTAGAGTTTATATGAAGCCATTCCCGTTTGCAACGAAATCCTCAAAGCTATCCAAATATCCTCTTGCAGATTTTACAAAAAGAGTGTTTCAAAACTGCTCTATCAAAAGAAAGGTTCAACTCTGTTAGTTGAGGGCACACATCACAAATAAACTTCTGAGAATGCTTCTGTCTAGTTTTCATGGGAAGATATTTCCTTTTTCACCATACGCCAGAAAGCGATCCAAATGTCCACATCCAGATACTACAAAAAGAGTGTTTCCAACCTGCTCTATGAAAGGGAATGCTCAACTCTGTGACTTGAATGCAAACATCACAAAGAAGTTTCTGAGAATGCTGCTGTCTGCTTTTTGTATGTAATCCCGTTTCCAACGAAATCCTCCCAGCTAGCCAAATATCCACTTGCAGATTCCGCAAAAAGAGTGTTTCAAAACTGCTCCTTCAAAACGATGGTTTAGTTCTGTTAGTTGAGTACATACATCACAGATAAGTTTCTGAGAATGCTTCTGTCTAGTTTTTATGGGAGGATATTTCCTTTTTCAACACAAGCCTGAATGCGCTCCGAATGGACACTTCCAGATATGACAAAAGGCGTGTTTCAAACCTGCTCTCTCAAAGGGAATGTTCAACTCTGTGACTTCAATGCAAACATCACAAAGAAGTTTCTGAGAATGCTGCTGTCTGCTTTTTACATGTATTCCCGTTTCCAACGAAATCCTCAAAGGTGCCCTAATATCCACTTGCATATTCCACAAAAAGAGTGTTGCAAAACTGCTCTCTCAAAAGAAAGGTTCAACTCTGTTAGCTGAGTAGATCCATCACATAAAAGTTTCTGACGTTGCTTCTATCTAGATTTTCTTGGAAGATATTTCCATTTTCACCGTCGTCCTGAAAGCGCTCCAAATGTCCACTTCCAGGGAATGCAGAAAGAGTGTTTCCAACCTGCTCTATAAAAGGGAATGTTCAACACTGGGACTTCAATCGAAACATCCCAACGAAGTTTCTGAGAATGCTTCTGTCTAGAGTTTATATGAAGCCATTCCCGTTTGCAACGAAATCCTCAAAGCTATCCAAATATCCTCTTGCAGATTTTACAAAAAGAGTGTTTCAAAACTGCTCTATCAAAAGAAAGGTTCAACTCTGTTAGTTGAGGGCACACATCACAAATAAACTTCTGAGAATGCT